>NC_000021.9:33334846-33644800 GCF_000001405.40 Homo sapiens | reverse complement strand
TTAATCTCTTACAGGAGGCTTGATAGTTTGTCCCAGTCTAGGCACTTGGGGAAAAGATAAACTTGAGCAGAGGTTCTACTACCAATATTGAAGATAAGCTTTAGGGAAAAGAAAATTGCTAGTCGACTGCCAAAAAAAAAAAAAAATGCTAACAGCGACAAACATTTCACAGAACTAACTTGCTACCACTCATTTTATGCCCTATTTCACAATGCTTAGTATCTGTGCAATCCGCAGGGTTCCAAAGTACATTAAAAATTTGTTCATTTCCTCTCTTACTCAGGCAGAATAATAAAAGAGTTTTGTGACGGTACCATGCGCCGTAGCAATTTCAACAGAAGCATTCCTAGATAAAGAAATACCATTTTTTTAAAAAAAGATCATACTATCAGAAATGATCTCCACTGGACTACTTAAAGGTGTCTGAAATAATTTTAACACCATCATCAAATTAGTGTCCCTCACTTCTTAATTTATATGACTTAAAAGTCCCTGGATTCTTTACAAACCCATCTGCACTAAGGATTTTTCTTTCATATGTATGTATTTTTCAATGTTTTTACTTACAAGGAAACTCCCATCAAAATAACGTTTCAAGCACACCAGTAAAAGAAATTTTAAACAGAAACATATTTTGTTCTCAGAGATAAACTAAGAAATAATAACTATGAAGGATGTTTAAGCTTCTGCACTCTCAACCTTAAAGTCATCTAAAAATAAAGGTATCCCAACAAATACATTCCTCCTATTCATATTTTGGGGGTTTAGAGTGGCACCATGCAAACCAGCTGGCCTGCTGGGTCCTGGCCCCAGTTCCTGCCCTCACATCCTGTCCACTACATAATCCATGAGATCTCTGTGCCTTTCTTTTCATCCGTTCCACGGGATTAGCAAAACTGCCTCCCCGCTGACAGAACTGA
Organism: Homo sapiens; assembly: GCF_000001405.40. Taxonomy (NCBI): domain Eukaryota; kingdom Metazoa; phylum Chordata; class Mammalia; order Primates; family Hominidae; genus Homo; species Homo sapiens. The sequence goes on along the minus strand of NC_000021.9, from coordinate 33,643,880 downwards.
GAATTTCTAGAGGCATTTGTTTGTATGGGATTTGCTGTTATTATCTACCCTCTTCATTGGCCTTGCCTTTATTATCTGTACGTTTTGATCAAGAGGAGCAGCAAGAGAAGAATGCCAACAGACAAGCACAAAGAAACGCATCTGGCCGGAGCCTGCATGTATCTAAATTTCCAGGTTGCTGCTGCCCTCAGAATAGCACTGATGATGGCAAAGTTCTAGAGGAAACTTTCATATTGAAGAGGCTATAAAAATCTCTATAGCCTCCAACTCCACAGAGAAGCCGCTAATCTATTTCTTCCAAAGCAAAGCCTTCTTGAGTCTGAATCACAACAAAAGATTGCCCATAGGAAATGTAATCTCCGAAGTTGTTTTCTAATCCCAAGGCAAGCAGAAGCGCAGGAAGGTGCGGCCGATTCCTCGCCGGTTTCCTTTTTTTGGGAATTCGGATTGCATTCGTGCAAGCAAGGGACTGCAATTGTGTCTTGGGTCCACACCACAAAACCGTGTCGGTGCGTAAGAAGGGAAGGGACGCGGCGGACCCGGGGACGCGCTCACAGGGCGCGGAAGACGCTCCCCTTTAAATGCCTTCAGGGGCGGCCCCGCGGCGCGCCCTGGGGCCGAACGGCATTGCCTGCCCTTCACTGACCCAGGATTCTGCAGGCTTGCGAGCGAGGGGCCGAGGAAGGAGCCGGGGCTCCAGGCAGAGGCGGCGCCGCTCCCGCCAACGCGGGTCCCCGGGAGGCCGGCGGGAGGCGAGGCCGGGCCGCCCCTCGCCGGCGGCCGAGGGCAGCGAGGTCAGCCCGGGAAGGAGCGGCCGCCCGGGGTCCCCGCGAGAGGAGGGAGCCCGCTCGGCGGCGGGGCCGCGGCGCCCATTCATCCCCACGCCCGTCCCGCGGCCGCCACCCCACGGCCCACCGCGGCCCCCGGCCTCCCAGTGCGGGTCCGCCCGCCACTCCGCCGCCACCCCCGAGGACGGGAAGGACAAGGCAGAGGGGCAGCCGCTGCCGTCTCTCGGGCGCGCGGCGAGGGGCTAAGGGCGGCCGGGGAGACAAGCGCCGGGCGCGGGACGGATGCCCCGGGCAGCCATCGCGCAGACCCCCGCGCCGACCCCCGCCCCCGCTGCAGCCGCCCGTGGTCCAGGCCGCCGCCTTGCAGCCCTCTCCTCACCTCATCTCCGGGCGGGTCCGCGCTGCCGCCCCAGGGACAAATCAGTGCCGCTCACGCGCCGCTGGGAGGGACGCAGGAGCCGCAGCCCCGCACACCATCCCCGCCCGCCTCTCTGTCCGTCCCGGAGCCCGCTCGGGATTCTTCCTCGCGAGCCGCCGTACTACGGAGCAACCAAGCTACGCTCCCTCCCCTGGCGCCTCCACTCTTCTCTACCTCCTTCGCTCCCTCCCTCGCTCCCTCGCTCCCGCCTATCTCCTCATCTCCCTCCGCTGCCTCCCCCGCCCCCCATCCACCATCCATCTCCGCCCATAAGTGGGTGGGGAAACCGCCAGCCAATTGGAAGAAGGGGCCCGCACCTTCTCACCACCCCCTACCACTGGCCCCGCCCACCGTGCGAACCCAAAGAGGGTGAGCCAAAGAAATGTAAGACAACAGAGTGACAAGCCGAATGAGCCAATCAGCAGGGGCTGTGTGGGGGCAGGATTAGCACTCTCCCCCTCCTCCCCATGTAGGCGTAACAGGAGATTTATGGTCTGAGGTTGCCTATCGTGGTTTATGGAGATTTTGTTGCACGATTTCGGTGCATCTGCTCGTTGCCGTGAGAGACACTAGATAGGATGCACTTAATTGACTTAATTATTGGAGGTTTTCAAGGAGAGAATAATGTGGAAAGGAAAAAGGCGAAGCACAACCCAAAGGGGTTGGCCGGGCCTATGGTTGGAATGAGGAAGGGTGTGGTCTTCGGCTAAAATTTGCATAAAACGGAACCCATCCGGGCGATTCCAACTTCGCCCATTTATTGGTAGTCCTTGGGGCGGGGCCTCGCCTCTTTCTCCGCCCCCGAGCGGAACATGACGGGAGATGTAGTTCCGAGACCGGTTGCCATGGCGTTCTGGACAGCCTCGCGAGTCCGACCCCGCCCTTCAGGAGTGACGAGCGGCCTGACCAATGGGAGCAGGGGGCGGGCTCTCTGACGAAGGACTGGAAGGTGGCGGTGGTGAAGGTGCAGGCCGTTGGGGCGGCTCAGAGGCAGGTGAGCCCCGGGAAACGCGTCCTGTGTCTTGGGAAACGGGCCTTTAAGCGAAAGGTGGAGAGATGCCCCACAGAACCGTGCAGCCCTGGGGAGGATGGTGGTTCGCGTCGAACCCTAACCTGGGACTTGTTCGGGCCCAGGCCTAGCTTAGCTGAGGCCGCTGAGGGGTGGGTAAGACTAGATTTGAGGGACAGTTTCCTGGACCTTGACGGGTTTTGATTGTAGGTCTTATCTCAGTTTGCATCTCCCTCTACTTTTATGGAGGCAGAGGTCTGGGAGTGCCCTTCCACTTAATCTCCCAGGTTGGGTTTTTCTCCTCTGCTTCTTGTTCCTAGAATTTGAGTGTCTTTTTCTTTCTCTGTTACTTCTTCTCAGCCACTTCTTTCTTCCTCATCACTTTGCTGTTTTCGGAAAGCAGTTAGTAGTTATTCGCTGTATGTGGCTTTTGAGCCAGATCGGCCCTCTTCATTATGCTAAACGGCGGAATCATCTGGAGCGAGATGTAAGCATCGCCTTGGGATAGGTCTGGGTCGGGGCCGAACATCTGCGTTTCTAAGAAGCTCCCAGGTGCTGCTGTCCACGTTATGAGTAGAAAGGTTTTACCTGAACTCTGTCCAGTACAAATATAATGCGAGTCCCTTATGTCATTTTAATTTTGGGGTAGCTACATTTAAAAAGTGAAAAGAAACACGTGAAATTAATTTTAATTATATGTTTCATTTAGCCTAGTATATCTGAGACATTATCATTTCAACGCTTAAACAAATATTTAAAAATTGAGATTTTACGTTCTTTTCTTCGTATTAAATCTTCAAAATTAAATTAAAAAATTAATTCTTCAAAATTAAATCTTCAAAATCTGATGTGTATTTTCCACTTAACAGCGCATCTCAATTCCGACTAGACACAGTTGGAGTGCTCAATAGCCACCTGTGCTAGTGGCTGCTACAGTAGCCTACTGCAGAAATTAAAAGGTGGGAAAAATAAGGTTGCATTGACCAAACCCTTTGCAACTCTATGAGATGGGATTCAGAACTACTTTAGAGATTCTCTGTAATTGAGATGTGCCCAATTTACAGAAATAATAGTCAAAATAGCCAACATTTCTGAAAGTATGATGTTGCGCTGAGTGCTTTGCAGGTATTATTTAATCCTTATGGCAACCCTCTGAGATAACTGCTATTATTATCTAAGATATGGGATCTCAGGCCCAGAAAGGTTAAAATTAAGTAGCCCAAAGTCATACCGCTAATAAGTAGGAAAGCCCCGATTCAAACTCGGGTCAGTTATGACTTCTAAATCAGATCCCGCAGCCATTGCAGTGTATAATTACTACCTTTTATCACTAATTTCCCTTATCGATGCCTCTGTTCCAGCTTACAGCAGGGGATAAGACGTTTAGATTTGAAAGTGAGGTAGTTCGCCATACAAGATAAAGCTGCCAGCCTTGTGCAATGAAATATTTCTAAGATTAACTATGCTCTTTTTGTAGACCCAATGAACTACATTGAGCTCAGGAGAGTTTTATGAGCAGAAGAGCAAAAATACACATATTGGCCGAGCGTGGTGGCTCACGCCTGTAATCCCAGCACTTTGGGAGGCCTAGGCGGGTGGATCACTTGAGGCCAGGAGTTCGAGACCAGCCTGGCCAACATGGTGAAACCCCGTGTCTACTAAAAATACAGAAATTAGCCGGGCATGGTGGTGCACGCCTGTAATTCCAGCTACTCAGGAGGCTGAGGCAGGAGAATTGCTTGAACCCGGGAGGCGGAGGTTACAGTGAGCCAAGATCACGACCACCACACTCTAGCCTGGGCAACAGAGTGAGACCCTGTCTCAAAAAAAAAAAAAAAAATACACATCTATATATGCTAAAATATGGTATTTTACAAAAAAAAAAGTCTTCCATTTTATGCATAATAAAGACATGAAATTATTTTCTCTTGATTTTTGAATTAGTAAATATTTAATCAAAATTACAATTCATATTTTTCATTTGAAGCAAGAAGTGGTTTCTCTACAATCCTCTAGTGAACTGGAAAATTAAGCATTTACAAACTTCAATAATGTTAGTAGGTGGAAAAGAAAGTCAGTTAAATGGATTGGAGGGGAGCGAGTAACTGTTGTGTGGTAGAGTTTCGGGAGGATCCCTCAATTAGTTATTCTCATCACCAGAGGCCTCCACCTGCATTGTCCCAGAGTCACATAATTAAGCCACCTTATAAAGGGAAGACTCATTCATCACACCGTTCGCTCCCTTGTTCCCCAGTAGTACAATATAGGAAAATAAGATGCTCATTCAAAAATATAAATGAAAGTTAAGTTTCTGTTGTTCTGGATCATATTATATTAAATAGCCCTACATTGAATAGTAACTGGATCAGAGATTTTCAGATCTTTGGGATAATGACCATCCCACGTCTCCAACCCCCAGAGATATGGGTGGGGAATTGGTCATGTAAGAAACCCTAGACTCTTAAGTCAAAATGCCACCTGAAAATCAACAGATAATAAAATAAATCCCTCATGGAGGTGGGGAGGTCATCAAAAATTCTTTTGAGATCCAAAAGAGTTCTTTGTTGAGAGCCACTGTAGGCAAAAAAGAAACAATTTTCCTTTTCTGCTCCTTTATCTATCTTTAGATCTCAAGTTGCATAAGATGTAGAGATTATGCCACACATGTATAAATTCAATCGAATATGCCTTGATAATATTTATCAAGATTGTCACAATTAGAAGAGAACTAAATGGTCATTTGATCCACCTGTCCCACTCAGTTGACTCTGGAATCTGCTTTATGAAGCCTGTGTAATATGTACCCATCCTCTGTTTCAGTCCCTCTAGTGATAGGGACCATCTAATGTTACGCATTTTCCATTTAGTTTTAAGTTATAATGCCTAAAGTTCTTATATTATCAGCTGGAATTGCTTTACAAGGTTTAGCCAGATATAAGCCACTGTCACAATATCTCCTGTGCCCATCTTATATAATAACAGGCACAAAAGAGCACTGCAGTTGTGCACAGCAAAACACCCAAAACACCTGTGGACTCATTGCTAGTGCAAAGTGTCCTTTGAATATACATATTTCTAGAGACTGTTGACTATACCATGTAGAGATATCCTCAACTGTTATAACCATGCATTCACTACCCTCTTTAAGAAGCAGGCCAAGTGCAGTGGCTCACGCCTGTAATCCCAGCACTTTGGGAAGCCGAGGTGGGTGGATCAGGAGGTCAGGAGTTCGAGACCAGCCTGGCCAACATGGTGAAACCCCATCTCTACTAAAGATACAAAAAAATTAGCTGGGTGTGGTAGCGTGCGCCTGTAATCCCAGCTACTCGGGAGGCTGGGGCAGGAGAATCACTTGAAGCCGGGAGGCGGAGGTTGCAGTGAGCCAAGATTATGCAGCTGCACTCCAGCCTGGGTGACAGAGCAAAACTCCGTATCAAAAAAAAAAAAAAAAAAAAGCAGACCTGACCCATTAGGACTACCATCCTCCACACCCTGCAGAATATATTTGAGCCAAACCTCCAGCTAGTTGCTTTGATTATGGTGACTATATTCTTTTTAATCAAATATTTGGGCATATTTCTTTTTCCAATGTGTGAATATGTACAAAAAGTCTCACAGATTAATGTGAACATTGTTAAAATTTAACATTAATTCACCTTTTCCCAAATGATCAAAATATAACTGAAGATTTCCCCCTAACAATCCAGCTAGTATTATAATGCTATGCACAGGTCCCAACGATGGATGGGTAATAGGGTATTGGATACTGCCCAAGAGAGCCTGGCATGGTGACCAGGTTGAGCATACAGGGCCACATTTCAGAGTTGACTTCATCTGTTTTTCTCTTGTCTAGCTGTTTATATGTGTGTGTGTGTGTATATATATATATATATATATATATATATGTTTTTCTCTTGTGTAGCTGTTTATATATATCTTTGCTTTCCTTAAAAATGAAGGTAGGTTAGAAACATTATAACCGAACTCTGAACCTGGAGTGGCCATAGTATTATAAAGTTTGTGTTGGGGACTAATAAAAATTTGAGCATGTAAGAAGAGGAGTTTGGACTTTCAGGAATTAAATTAACCATAGGGGAATAGATGAGTTGAATGAGGGAGAGTATTGAAAGCATTTGGCAGCCTATCGCCACAGCCCGAGCCCCAGGCATTGAGGTGAAGGTGATGGGATGGATCTAAGGTACTCTTTTTTTTTTTTTTTTTGAGACAGAGTCTCGCTCTGTCGCCCAGGCTGGAGTGCAGTGGCGCGATCTCGGCTCACTGCAAGCTCCGCCTTCCGGATTCATGCCATTCTCCCTTCTCAGCCTCCCAAGTAGCTGGGACTACAGGCACCCGCCACCACGCCCGGCTAATTTTTTGTATTTTTAGTAGAGACGGGGTTTCACCGTGTTAGCCAGGATAGTCGCCATCTCCTGACCTCGTGATCCGCCCGCCTCGGCCTCCAAAAATGCTGGGATTACAGGCGTGAGCCACCGCGCCCAGCGATCTAAATTATTCTTGATGACTAGAGAGTACAGCAAAATCTTGTTTGGGGGAAAGATGAGTCCAGCTTTGTGTCTGTTAAATTTGAAGTTGGTCTGATGCTCAAAACACTTTTGGCCTGAAAGTGTAGGTAAGGAATGATTTGTAGAGGTTTTATTTACAACTAAGAATAGATGAGTTTTATACAAAAAATTAGCCGGGCGCAGTGGCGGGCGCCTGTAGTCCCAGCTACTCGGGAAGCTGAAACAGGAGAATGGCGTGAACCCCGGAGGCGGAGCTTGCAGTGAGCCGACATCGCGCCACTGCACTCTAGCCTGGGCGACAGAGTGAAACTGTCTAAAAAGAAAAAAGAATAGATGAGCTTCTTGGGGGATTGAGTGTAACAGAGGAGCAAGTGGAGTTCATGTTGCTATTATAAGAAGGATGAAACCATTTGAAACTACTTCCCATTGATTTTTTAGAAATCCCTTAACAGATCAGTATTTTTATTAACTACTTTCTTGAAGTGTTTGTAGTCAAGTGTTTAATTTATGCAAAGTTCTCGTTCTGCTTTTGCTAAAAATTATTCTAAATTGGTATTATCTCCTTAATTTTTGTTTCTCCAGATTTTTTAGTAAGTTTACTGTATGGCCAATATAAAAATTTATAGTATTACTAACATAATCCTCAGTTTGTGGATTAATTCAAACATTTTGAAATTCTGATATACCTGTAAAAGTATAAAATTTCTATGCTTTTCACAGGCTATATCAGCCTACATTTTTAAACAGGTTTATTGTAATTAAAAAGTTTTGTATGTTTAAGAGACAGGGTTTCACTCTGTTGTCCAGGCTGGAGTGCAGTGTTGATTATAGCTCAAAGCAGCCTCCAATGCCTAGATAGAACTACAGGTGAGCACCACTACGCCAGGCTTATTTATTTATTTATTGTATTTTAAGAGACAGGGTCTTGCTTTGTTGCCCAGGCTGTGGAACTCCTGGGCTGAAGCAGTCCTCCTACCCCAGCCTCCTCCCAAATTGTTGGGATGACAGGTGTGAGCCACCACTCTGGGCAAAAAGTTTTATATCATACTTTTTTGGTATAGTAAAATTTATAGTAGAACTTATAATTTTGAAGTTACATGACTTTTCTTAGAAATGTCATATTATATATTTTGTTTTATTTATTTGTTCATTTATTTATTTTTGAGACAAAGCCTCGCTGTGTTGCCAGGCTGGAGTGCAGTGGCGCGATCTCAGCTCACTGCAACCTCTGCCTCCCAGATTCAAGCGATTCTCCTGCCTCAGCCTCCCGAGTAGCTGGGACTACAGGCATACGCCACCACGCCCAGCTAATTTTTGTATTTTTAGTAGAGACAGGATTTCACCATCTTGGCCAGGATGGTCTGTATCTATTGACCTCATGATCCACCCGCCTCGGTCTCCCAAAGTTCTGGTTACAGGCGTGAGCACCATGCCCGGCCTATACATTTTAATTTATATTTTTATTTTATAAAATGTTTAATACTTTTATGGCCGGGCGCGGTGGCTCACGCCTATAATCCCAGCACTTTGGGAGGCCGAGGCAGGCGGATCACAAGGTCAGGAGATCAAGACCATCCTAGCTAACACGGTGAAACCCCGTCTGTACTAAAAAATACAAAAAAAATTTAGCCAGGTGTGGTGGTGGGCGCCTGTAGTCCCAGCTACTCCGGAGGCGGAGGCAGGAGAATGGCGTGAACCCAGGAGGCGGAGCTTGCAGTGAGCTGAGATGGCGCCACTGCACTCCAGCCTGGGCGACAGAGCGAGACTCCGTCTCAAAAAAAAAAAAAAAAAAAAAAGTTTAATACTTTTATGTCCTATGTGCAAATGTATTTTAAGTCAATACAAATTTTATTAAATAACATGAGACTTGGCAGAGTGTGAGACAAAAAACAAAAAATAAAATGAAATACAATTTTGTTACGTAATAGACTGTTTTATTTAATCTGCCTAGGAAACCATGTGGGCCTTGAATACCATCCATTCTACCATTTTCCTAGTACTAGGAACTCAGTATTCTTTTTTTGGGCTTTCAAGACAAATATTTCCTCAGTTTTCTTCTGGCTACTTTTGTAAAAACACCTCTCTTTCTTTACTTTGTAACTTTAAGGATATTTTTGTTCCCATACAATTCTCAATTGGACCAACTGAACATTACTTTTTTCCACCAACCAGGGCAATTTTCACCTAATTTAGAGAAACTATTTAGGATGATGTGACTAAAAATATTGCCATTATTTTATATATATATATATATATATATATTGTTGTTGTTGTTTGTTTTAAGGGATACTAGGGGTACAAACAAGCAGTTATCTTCCAGGGTCTTTGAAATTGGGGCACAGTCTAAGGTCCATGTGACTGCTTATCTGGGAGACATGCCATATATTTCAAGATTCAATGGGCAGAGAAAACAGTAGCTTCCAGTATCACAAAGCAAGATGCTTTGAAATCAAGGCATTGATACGTAATTGTTCCACTTCTCAAAAAGGCAATTCTAGTAACTCCAGACTGAGTAGGAACAGAGTTGTTTTTTTTTTTATTTAATAATAATGGATATATTTCCCAGGCAATGGTTGGGAAAGCCCGCTAGTTAGTAAATAAATAAAGCAAGGTTTCATTAGTGTGTAATGAAATCGGGAAGCATGGAACAAATGGAGTGAGTGTCACTGGGGATGATTCCAGAGAGGGGGTAGAACTTGAACTTTATTTACTTAGCAGAATCTAAATTACAGCATTCTGTCAGAGAACAGGCCATGCCTAGAAGCTCTGAGATGGGGTAACCATATGATGTAAAGTCATACTAACTAGATAGAGGGTATGTGCTTGGACATTGTGGAAGCAGTAAGGTAGAGTAGGGAGAGAGAGTATGCATTTTAGAGAGCCTTCAAAGGAGGTTAGATTTAATGCTGGAGGGAATACGTAAATGTTGTATCCATGCTTCGGTTCTCCCCAGCCCCCAAACAAAAACATTGACACAAAGACCTTCTGCAACCAAAGCGTTAGAATTAATCATTTAACCTAGCTTAATCCTGCTTTTATATACTTCATTGATACATGCTACATACGTAATTTCTATATATGTCTTGAATGTGTATTCATTTCTGTTAATTCCAGCGTTTGATTATCACGTCCGAGAAACCAACAACCATTGCTCAACTACACTCTGTAAAAACTCTTTACGTATTTGGATCCAAGTAGATCCACTAACATTCAACACAGAGGGCTGGCTTTATGGACATATGGCCTATGCAGTCTCACTGACCTCAGATTCAGAAGAGACTTTTGCTTGATTTCATGCTCTGCTATCTTGAAATTCTAATAATTTCTAGACAAGGCTTCCCACATTTCCATTTTGCACTAGGCTCTGCAAATTATGTAGCCAGAACTATCAATAGGTACTTAATTATTATCTTAAAGGTATTCCACTTTAGGCCGGGTGCGGTGGCTCATGCCTGTAATCCCAGCATTTCGGGAGGCCGAGGCAGACGGATCACAAGGTGAGGAGATCAAGACCATCTTGGCCAACATGGTGAAACCCCCTCTCTACTAAAAATACAAAAACTAGCCAAGTGTGGTGGCACGTGCCTATAGTCCCAACTACTCGGGTGGCTGAGGCAGGAGAATCGCTTGAACCTGGGAGATGGAGGTTGCAGTGAGCCGAGACTGCGCCCTCCAGCCTGGCGACAGAGCAAGACTCTGTTGCAAAAAAAAGAAAAAAAAAAAGTATTCAACTTTAATTGATATATCTAATGTTAGCAGCTCAGTAGGAAACCATTAAAAGCCATGGTTAGGAGTAATGACTTTGGAAGAAGTAGCACCTAGTTTATATCCCAGTTCTGGCCCAGCTGGTGCTATGAGACACCAGCTACATGCTTTAAGCTAAGACTCACTTTCCTCATTCATAGAATAAATGAAATAATAGTATTCTTACCAAAAAGTATATACAAGAATGTTTTTAACAGAACAATTCATAAGAGCCCCAAACTGGAAACAATTCAAGTGTCTGTCTATAGTGGAATGGATAAATAGCAATTTGTTTATACAGTGGAGTACTATGTAGCAATACGAATGAATGGAATACAACTACAAGTAACAACATGAGTGAGACTCACAAACCTAATATAGAAAGAAAGAAAACAGACATTAAAGAGTATAATTTTATTTATATAAAGTTCAAAAGCAGACAAAACTAATCTGTGCTGTTAAAATTTAGGATATTGGGTCTCCTTAGGAGGAGAAGGGGACACAGGGAACTTCTGGAGGTGTATGATGATGTGTCTCCTGCCATGATGTGGGCATATTCACACTGTAAAATTCAACAAGTTATGCGCTTCAAGGATTTGTGTACTTTTCTATATTTTATACTTCTGTAAAATTTGCATAAAAAATAGTCTTACCACATAATTACTCTGAAAATTAAAGAAACAATTGTGGAATCTTTAGAGATACCTCAAGAAGTTCACAGAGCCGGGCGCGGTGACTCATGCCTGTAATCCCAGCACTTTGGGAGGCCGAGGCGGGTGGATCACCTGAGATCAGGAGTTCGAGACCAGCCTGGCCAACGTGGTGAATCCCCATCTGTACTAAAAATACAAAATTTAGCCGGGCATGGTGGCGCGTGCCTGTAATCCCAGCTACTAGGGGGGCTGAGGCAGGCGGATCGCTTGAACCTGGGAAACGGAGGTTGCAGTGAGCCAAGATCGTGCCACTACACTCCAGCCTGGGCAATAGGGCGAGACTCCATCTAAAAAAAAATAAATAAATAAGTTCACAGAATATAAGTTTATTTATTTTATTTTATTATTTTTTTGAGACAGAGTTTCGCTCTTGTTCCCCAGGCTGAAGTGCAATGGCGCGATCTCGGCTCACCGCAACCTATGCTTCCCAGGTTTAAGCGGTTCTCCTGTCTCAGCCTCTTGAGTAGCTAGGATTACAGGCACGCACCGCCACACCTGGCTAATTTTTTTTTTTTTTTTTTTTTTAGTAGAGATGGGGTTTCTCCATGTCGGTCAGGCTGATCTCGAACTCCTGACCTCAGATGATCTGCCTGCCTTGGCCTCCCAAAGTGCTGGGATTACAGGCGTGAGCCACTGTGCCCGGCTATAAGTTTAAATACTTCCATTAAATGGTTTATAGACTGATACAGAAGAATTAGGGCCACAATTTTCAACCGGTGTCTTGGCTGTTCACTTTCTCCTTTTTAATGATCTTTAAGACTTCGAAAGCCTTTCATAAACGGTAATTAAAGGAAAATTTAATAAAAGGTAAATAAAATTGAGTTTCTCTGGCCATCATAAGGCTTCTTTTAAGTAATCTTTTTTATTGTATAGGAAAGTAAAATGAAGCATGTTTGCCTTTGTAGTAAAAGGTTGAACTGTAAACCCATTCTCAGTAAGACAGGTGCCCAGAGAGTGTTGCATATTCTCTTATTTGATCACTTTGTGAAAGATTTTTTAAATTTACTTATTTGAAAACTACATTTGTAGTTGTCGTTTTATCCTTTGCCAGCACTGTTTTTCCATTTTTGCTTACATTTAGTCTGGAAGACTTGTTATTTTATTTCATTTATATATATTTATTTTTAGGTGACTATGAAAGGCTTATATTTCCAACAGAGTTCCACAGATGAAGAAATAACATTTGTATTTCAAGAAAAGGTAAGAAAAAATGTTTAATCATTAAAGTAGTTAGTGTATTTTTATCTGCAATAAACCCACTTTTAAATGACGTTATTTTCAGTGAGACTTAATGAACAAAATTACTCAAATGAAACTCCTCAAATTACAGTACTTTCCTTTAAATTTTATGTGAAAATGGTGGTTCATATAGTAGTTTAACTATTTTTTAAGTTTTATTTTGTTTTTAATTGGCACATAATTGTACATATTTATGGGGTACCCTGTGATGTTTTGATTCATGTATAAATTATGTAATGATCAAATCAGGGTAATTAGCATATCTATCAGTAAAATACTTGCCATTTTGTTGTGTCATTTAAAATCCTCTCTTCTAGCTATTTTGAAATATGCAATACGTTGTTAACTATAGTCACCTTGCTGTACAATAGAACACCAGAACCTATTCCTTCCATCTACCTGTAACTTTGTACCTGTTGACCAACCTCTGTCCCCAGCTCCCACCCCTTTAATCTCCCCAGCCTCTAATAACCATTATTGGACTCTCTACGTCTATGCAATCAACTGTCTTAGATTCCATATTTGAGTGAGATCATGTAATATTTGTCATTCTGTGCTTAGCTTATTTCACTTAACACAGCGTTCTCAAGATTCATCCACATTTTCACAAATGACAGGATTTTACTCTTTTTATGGCTGAATAGTATTCTGTTGTGTATATATACCACATTTTCTTTACCCATTCATTTGTTGATGGACGCTTAGGTTGATTCCATATCTTTGCTGTTGTGAATAGTGCTGCAGTAAACATGGAGGTACAGATATCACTTTGACATATTGCTTTCATTTCCTTTGGATGTATGTATACCCAGGAGAGGGATTGTTGGATTAAATGATAGTTCTTTTTTTTTTTTTTTAATTGCGACAGAGTCTCACTCTGTTGCCCAGGCTGGAGGGCAGTGGTGCCATCCCACCTCACTGCAACCTCTGCCTCCCAGGTTCAAGTGATTCTCCTACCTCAGCCTCCTGAGTAGCTGAGATTACAGGCACGCACCATCACACCTGGCTAATTTTTGTATTTTTAGTAGAGACAGGGTTTCGCCATGTTGGCCAGGCTGGTCTCAAACCCCCGACCTCAGGTGATCCGCTCGCCTCAGCCTCCCAAAGTGCTAGGATTATAGGCATGAGCCACTGCGCCCAGCCTGGTAGTTCTATTTTTAATTTTTTGAGGAACATTCATATTTTTGTCCATAATGGCTATACTAATTTACATGACCACCAGTGGTGTATAAGAGTTTCCATTCTCCACATCCTTACCGGCATTTGTTACTTGTTGTCTTTTTGATAATAGCCATTCTAATGGGGATGAGGGGATATCTTCCTGTGGTTTTGATATCTATTTCCCTGACGGCCATGATCGAGTGGTGTTCATCCCAGGGATGCAAGGATAGTTCAACATAAGTAAATCAATAAATGTGATACATCACATTAACAGAATGAAGGACATAAACCCTCTGATCATCTCAATAGATACAGAAAAACCATATAATGAAATGTAACATCCCTTCATGATAAAAATCCTACATAAATTAGGCATAGAATGAATATACATCAATATAATAAAAGCCATGTATAACAAACCTGCAGCTAACATCATACTGAACAGGAAAAAGTTGGAAGCTTTTCCTCTAAAATCTGGAACAAGGCAAGGATGCCCACTTTCACTACTTCTATTCAACATAATAATAGAAGTCCTAGCCAGAGCAATTAGGCAAGAGAAAGAAAGAAAGAGCATTCGAATTGGAAAGAAGAAAGTCAAACCATCCCTGTTTGCAGATGACGTGATCTTATATATAGAAAACCCTACAGACTCCACCAAAAACCAGTTAGAACTAATTAATGAATCAGTAAAGTTATAGGATACGAAATAAAAAATCAGTAGGAGGCTGGGCATGGTGGCTCACGCCTGTAATCCCAGCACTTTGGGAGGCCAAGGCGGGTGGATTGCCTGAGCTCAAGAGTTCAAGACCAGCCTGGGCAACACGGTGAAACCCCATCTCTACTAAAAATACAAAAAATTAGCCGGGTGTGGTGGCGTGCGCCTCTAGTCCCAGTTACTCGGGAGGCTGAGGCAGGATCATTGCTTGAACCCAAGAGGCAGAGGTTGTAGTGAGCCAAGATTGTGCCACTGCACTACAGCCTGGGCAACAGAGCAAGACTCCATCTCCAAAAGAAAAAAAATCAGTAGCAGTTCTTTGTTGTTGTTGTTGTTGTTGTTTTTTGAGACAGGGTCTTGCGCCATCACCCACACTGGAATACAGTGGCGCAATCTGGGCTCACTGCAACCTCCCCCAGCATCAGCTCCCACCTCAGCTTCCTGAGTAACTGAGACTACAGACATGTGCCACCATGTCTGTCTGACTAACTTTTTTTTTTTTTTGGTAGAGGCAGGTTTTGCCATGTTGCCCAGGCTGGTCTCAAATTCCTGGGCTCAAGCTATCCTCCCACCTCAGCCTCCCAAAGTGCTGGAATTATAGGCGTGAGCCACCGCGCCTGGCCGAGTAGTAGTTCTCTGTAGCGACAGCAAACTATCTAAAAAAGAAATTAAAAGGCCAGGTGCCTATAATCCCAGCACTTTGGGAGACCAAGGATGGAAGATCACTTGAGCCCAGGAGTTCAAGTTCAGCCTGGGCAACATAGGGAGACCCTGTCTCTACAAAAAAAAAAATTTTTTTGAGTTAACCAGGCATGCTGGCTGACACCTGTAGTCCCAGCTACTTGGGAGGCTAAGGCGGAAGGATCACTTGAGCCCAGGAGGTCAAGGCTGCAGTGAGCCGTGATCTTGACACTGCACCCCAGTCTGGGCGACAGGGCAAGACTTGTCTCAAAAAAAAAAAAAAAAAGAAAGAAATTAAGAAGGCAACCCCATTTATAATAGCTATAAAAAATAAAATGCCCAGGAATAAATTTAACCAAGGAGGTGAAATATCTCTACGATGAAAACTATAAATATTGATGGAAGAAATTGAAGAGAACAGTAATAAGTGGAAAGATAGTCTATGTTCATTAATTGGAAGAATTAATATTGTTAAAATGTCCATACTACCCAAAGCCCTCTACAGACTCAATTCAATCCCTATCAAAATGCCAGTGGCATTATTCACAGAAATAGAAAAATAATCCTAAAAATCATATGGAACCACAAAAGACTCTGAATAGCAAAAGCCATCTTGACCAAAAGAATAAAGCTGGAGGCATTACACTACCTTACTTTAAAAAATATTTTTAAAAGAATTACTGCAAAAGAGTTTTTAGTTCCTCAGGGTGGTAGTGTAAAAGGTATTAGGAAGACAGAACAAACTTAATAGTCTTACATGTTGTGAAAGTAACCCAATGTATTCCGAATACCACAATAATGCAAGTTTCCAGAAAGTAGCCATGTTTCAGAAAAGACCTTGTCTCGGCCAGGTGCGGTGGCTTACGCCTATAATCCCAGCACTTTGGAAGGCCAAGGCAGGCAGATCATGAGGTCAGGAGATCGAGACCGTCCTGGCTAACACGGTGAAACCCTGTCTCTACTAAAAATAAAAAAAAATTAGCCAGGCGTGGTGGCATGTGCCTGTAGTCCCAGCTACTCAGGAGGCTGAGGCAGGAGAATGGTATGAACCCGGGAGGCGGAGTTTGTAGTGAGTGGAGATCACGCCACTGCACTCCAGCCTGGGCAGGAGAGCAAGACTCGGTCTCAAAAAAAAAAAAAAAAAAAAAAACCATGTCTCATATGTGAAATGGAAGAGGTAGAAAGATATTATTTTCCATACACATTTCAGAGAGTGCTGAAGTTACCTGATTTACTAAGTTTTAAATGATCACTCATATTCATATTATCACCAAGTTTTTTATTACTTTAAGCATAGATAGTAGAATTTTCATATACAGTATTGGTGATTATTAGAAAGATTTGTGGCAAGCCAAAATCATTCTTCCATAAATTTAGGGATTAAAAGTAAGTGTTATATGTAAATCAGTATTTCATAATAATTATGAGAGTTTTGATCGTGAACACAATCCAGTTTTCTCTCTTGTCTGTCACTAACTCCTAAAACATTTAGGCCAGGCACAGTGGCACACGCCTGTAATCCCAGCACTTTGGGAGGCTGAGGCAGGAGGATCACTTAAGCCCAGGAATTCAAGACCAGCCTGGGCAAAAAAGTGAGACCCCTATTTCTACCAAAAAAATTAGCTGGGCATGGTGGCACCCACCTGTGTAGGTCAAGGCTACAGTGAGCCATGTTCACACCAGAGCACTCCAGCCTGGGTGATAGAGCAAGACCCTGTCTCAAAAAAACAAGAACAATTAGGCCAGGAGTCTGTGTTTCAGACAGCTTGGCTTCTATCATTGATCAGGATGAGGGTCAGGGGTTGATTGGCTCTTGGGAAGAAACATCTCCAGGTTCACAAAATCATGAGTAAAATTCACAAACTCACCAATATTAATGAACATCTTCATATTATCACCAAGTTTTGTCAAAACTGTGATTTAAAAAGATGTTCTCAGATTGTGTTCATGACAAAACACAGTAATCCCTTTGATACATCACAGGAGGGGCTATGTAAGTGGCTATTCTTGGCTAGCTTTTCATCTAATTGTGGGCATATTGGGTAGAGGAGACTGATTTAATTATTAGTACCAGGTTCAGTTGTTTAGATGAGGTGATACTGTATTTAATAATATAGGTGGATGACATTGAGTGTCTGAATTTGGACTATTTTTGCCTTTGAATTTCTTTTCTTTTTCTTTTTTTTTTTTTTTGAGACAGGGTCTCGCTCTGTCACCCAGGCTGGAGTGCAGTGGCACAATATCAGCTCGCTGCAACCTCCACCTCCTGGGTTCAAGCAGTTCTCCTGTCTCAGCCTCCCAAGTACCTGGGACTACAGGCATGCGCAACCATGCCCAGCTATTTTTTGTATTTTTAGTAGAGACCGGGTTTCACCATGTTGGCCAGGCTGGTCTCAAACTCCTGACCTTAAGTGATCCACTTACCTCGGCCTCCCAAAGTGCTGGGATGACAGGCGTGAGCCCCCATGCCCGGCCTTGCTTTTGAATTTCTATCTAGAAGTGGAATCTGAGGGATAATTAGGTTCAATTACGTTGGTATGTTGAGCCCAGAATCCCATGGGGCATGATGAAATGCCCAAGGCACATGTTAAGGAAGAGTTGAATAAAGGACGCTAAAGAATTCCACTGGCTAGCCAGGCACAGTGGCTTACGCCTGCAATCCCAGCACTTTGGGAGGCCAAGGCAGGCAGATCACCTGAGGTCAGGAGTTCAAGACCAACCTGGCCAACATGGTGAAACCCCATCTTCTACTAAAAATACAAAAAAAAATTAGCCAGGCATAGTGGCTCATGCCTGTAATCCCAGCTACTCAGGAGGCTGAGGCAGGAGAATCACTTGAACTCGGGAGGCAGAGGTTGCAGTGAGCTGAGATTGCGCCACTGCACTCCAGCCTGGGTATCTCAAAAAAAAATGAAAAAAGAATTTCACTGGCTGGGCACAGCGGCTCATACCTGTAATCCCAGCACTTTGGAAGGCCAAGACAGGAGGATCACTTTAGCCCAGGAGCTCAAGACCAACCTGGGCAACTCAGCGAGACACCATCTCTATTTTTTTTTAATTATATTTTTAAAAAAGAATTTCACTTATAGCGTTAAGAAAATTTAAGGGCTGGGCACTATGTCTTATGCTTTTAATCCCAGCACTTTGGGAGGCTGAGGCATGAGGATTGCTTGAGCCCAGGACTTAGAGACCAGCCTGGGCAACATAGCAATACCCCAGCCCTACAAAAAAATTAAAAATCAGCTGGGTGTGGTGGTGCATGCCTGTAACCCCAGCTACTCAGAAGGCTGAGGCAGGAGGATCACTTAAGCCTTGGAGGTTGAGGCTGCAGTGAGCTGTGATTGCGCCACTGCATTCCCGCGTGGGAGACAGAGTGAGACCCTGTCTCAAAACAAAACCAACAAAAAAAGGAAATTCTAAAAATTAGTAAAGGCCTGCTGGGCGTGGTGGCTCACTCCTATAATCCCAGCACTTTGGGAGGCCGAGGCGGGCGGATCACAAGGTCAGGAGATCGAGACCATCCTGGCTAACACAGTGAAACCCCGTCTCTACTGAAAATACAAAAAATTAGCTGGGCATGGTGGCGGGTGCCTGTAATCCCAGCTACTGTGGAGGCTGAGGCAGGAGAATGGCATGAACCCGGGAGGCAGAGCTTGCAGTGAGCCGAGATCGCGCCACCGCACTCCAGCCTGGGTGACAGAGCAAGACTCTGTCTCAAAAAAAAAAAAAAATCAGTAAAGGTTATACGTTATGTGTATATGTGTTTAAGGATATCCCTGTAAATGTGAAGAGCCGGTGTTCTGAGATTATTTAGGTTGAAATAAAGGAGTACAGTATTTGCTGCTTTACTTTGTTATCCTAACTTTATTGTCTACATATATATCCATATTGTTATTTGAGTACTTTTAAAAATATGTATCCAAAAGCTTTTTTAAAATTGTACCCCCAAATTTTCTTTATTTTTTTATTATATACATTTCTATAATTACTTATAGTTGTTAAAATTAGCTGTGAGATTTAGGGTCTGTCTAATTTTGTTTAATTACATGTAAAAATTTTCACAGCATAAAGACATATTCTCATAGGAATGTGTAAAATAACATATTGTTTTGTTATCATTTGGTTCTAGGAAGATCTTCCTGTTACAGAGGATAACTTTGTGAAACTTCAAGTTAAAGCTTGTGCTCTGAGCCAGATAAATACAAAGGTATTGGTTCTTTTATTATGGCACAAAGTAAAATGAGAGTTTCTTAGTGTATTTAGTGTATAAATATAACGATAACTGACCTCTCAATGTGAAGAATTTATTACCATCTTCATTTTTGTTAATTTTTTTATTTGAGACGGAGTTTCACTCTTGTTGCCCAGGCTGGAGTGCAGTGGTGCAATCTCAGCTCACTGCAACCTCTGCCTCCTGGGTTCAAGCAATTCTCCTGTCTCAGACTCCTGAGTAGCTAGGATCACAGGAGCGCACCACCACACCCAGCTAATTTTTGTATGTTTTTTCATAAAAATGGGTTTTGCCATGTTGGCCAGGCTGGTCTCAAACTCCTGACCTCAGGGGATCCACCTGCCTCGGTCTCCCAAAGTGCTGGGATTCCAGGCATGAGCCACTGCGCCCAGCCTACCATCTTTAGAATAGAACAGCTAGGGGAAAAAATTTAGTGTGCTTTTGTATATTTCTATATAAGGGACATTATTAGTCTGATTGAAGTTACGTATTTTATATGAAAATACAAATATTTTATAAGAAAACAGACATAATGTAAATATTTTATAATATTTTATAAACTCCTTTACATTGCAAAAAACTAAGAGTTTATAATTAACAAAGCCTATTATTAAGGAAGAAATAAATAATAAAATAGAAACTAGAAACCTAATCAGTTTATTAGCTACCAATTAGATATTTAACTAATATTACTAGTTATGGTTCATATTTCTCTTGTCATTTCTTTTTGTGTCGCTCTCTCATAAACATACATCTTTACCTCACATTACCCTGCAGTAATCTTTCATTATTGACCATGAAATACATAGAATGTTTTCAGTGGTAAATAAACTGTGGTTAAATGTGCCATGATAAATTGAGCAGGTCCATTTACTCCGTTTTTTTGTTTGTTTTGTTTTATTTTTTAGGATTAATGCCATAGTTTACATGACCCGTAACTTATTGGATTATAATGTGACTATAATTTTTAGGAACCTAAAAGTCTTCTTTGATAAAGTCACACTTAGGAAATTACAGACCAGGTATAGGCTTTCACTGGGCAACTCTGTAACATGAGCATGACTTGAGAAATGCATTAGTGGGATCCCCTGAAGTCTTTTCACAAGAGTACTAGTACTAGACCTTGTCTGCAGACTTCTGTTTTCAGATGTTTTTATTAAAATGGAAAAATCCATTAAAATCCAAGTCTAAGAAATAATCTCCTTGTCTAACAGAAATAAATAGTAAATTATAGTAAAATCGGTTGAATGAAATATTGCACATCTGTTAAGCATAATGGTTATGAAAACTGTGTGGGTAATGTAAGAAAATGCTTATGGTAAGTGAAGGAGCCAGGATGCAATTGCTAAAACCATAGTTTTAACTCCATACAAATGTGCATAAAAGAAATACTGTGGCCAGGCACAGTGGCTCACACCTGTAATCCCAGCACTTTGGGAGGCCGAGGCAGGCAGATCATGAAGTCAAGAGATCAAGACCATCCTGGCCAACATGGTGAAACCCTATCTCTACTAAAAATACAAAAATTAGCTGGGCATGGTGGCACGTGCCTGTAGTCCCATCTACTCAGGAGGCTGAGGCAGGAGAATCGCTTGAACCTGGGAGGCGGAGGTTGCAGTGAGCCGAGATCACACCACTGCACTCCAGCCTGGGCGACAGAGTGAGACTCCATCTGAAAAAAAAAAAAAAAATAGAAAAGAAACACTGTAAAACACCCAGTACTTCTATAAGAATGTCATATGAACATCTTAAGAAAAGTATTATGTTCCACATTGAAAAAGAGACTTCTGACCATCAAGTATACAATACAGGAGATCAGAAAATTGAAAAATAAATATAGAAGAGAATTAATTTCTTTTTACTTACTGTTCCTAAAATATTGTGGTATCTACAAATACGTTCAGCATCTGTAGTGTTAAGTGCCAGGAGCTTAAACCACGGGCTTAAAGACAGTATACCCTGTTACTTCAAAAGACAAGTACTTACAGTTAATTTGGTCACAATCTAATAAAATACCAATCTCTTAAAAATTTAGCCTTAACCAAAAGAAACTCCAGTCACCATGAATCTGAAATTATATGGCAGATTACCTGTTAATATCCATCACTACTTCTCACCCACTCCCTAACCCAAGGCTTTTGAGAACTCAGGTGATTTTAAAGGGTATAGGAATGGAGAACCCTTTGTTCTCATTGGCCACACCCCCTTATTCAACAGTCTTCTCTCCAGACTACCCTCCCTTCACCTGAGTAAGATGACTGATAGTGTTTAGCCAATCAAGAAATGTTTTGGCCATAATTTCCCTTCATACTTGGCAGAGTAAAGATGTTAAACAAAGGATGTTAATGGTAATTTGAATAATAATATTCATTCCTAAGTCCTGCAGAACAACTAATGCCTCAGTAAATTCTTGGTTTCCTACCCTTTAGAGAAACCTATTTTGTGAAGTTATTTGCTTTGTCTCAGTTCCAAAACTTGAACCATATTTGCTCTTTCTGTGATTTGACTTTTACTCTCGCTTTCCTCATATATAATGGAGTCCAGGATTTCTTCTGACAATAGTATGTTAACTGCCTTTGTCATGATTTAGCTTCTGGCAGAAATGAAGATGAAAAAGGATTTATTTCCTGTTGGGAGAGAAATTGCTGGAATTGTATTAGATGGTAAGTATACAGATGTGAGTATATGTATTTATTTTCTAAGGTAAAAGAGATTAAATGTAGCTAATTGGTTTACTGGTACATAAAATTATATACAGCCTTTCAAATTTAAATTTAATTATATGAACATGTCCTTTTTTATTTTTATTTTTATTTTTTGAGAGACAAGGTCTCTCTGTGTTGCCCAGCCTGATCATAGCTACAGCCTTAACTCCTGGGTTCAAGCAATCCTGCTGCCTCAGCTTCCTGAGTAGCTAAGTCTACAGCAAGCTTGTCCAACCAGCATGCAGCCCAGGACAGCTTTGAAGTCAGCCCAACACAAATTCGTGAATTTTCTTAAAACATTATGTGATTTTTTGGCCAGGCGCAGTGGCTCATGCCTGTAATCCCAGCACTTTGGGAGGCTGAGGCGGGCGGATCACAAGGTCAGGAGATCGAGACCATCCTGGCTAACACGGTGAAACCCCGTCACTACTAAAAATACAAAAAATTAGCTGGGCGTGGTGGCATGCGCCTGTAGTCTCAGCTACTCGGGAGGCTGAGGCAGGAGAATGGCGTGAACCTGGGAGGCAGAGCTTGCAGTGAGCCGAGATGGCGCCACTGCACTCCAGCCTGGGCGACAAGTGCGAGACTCTGTCTCAAAAAAAAATCTATTAATTTGAAAAAAAATTACATGATGTTTTTTTTTTTTTGGTTCATCAGCTGTCATTTAGTGTTAGTGTATTGTATGTGTTGCTCAAGACAATTCTTTCTCTTCCAGTATGGCCCAGGGAAGCCAAAAGATTGGACACCCCGGCCGGGCGCGGTGGCTCACGCCTGTAATCCCAGCACTTTGGGAGGCCGAGGCGGGCGGATCACGAGGTCAGGAGATCGAGACCATCCTGGCTAACACGGTGAAACCCTGTCTCTACTAAAAATACAAAAAATTAGCCGGGCGAGGTGGCGGGCGCCTGTAGTCCCAGCTACTCGGGAGGCTGAGGCAGGAGAATGGCGTGAACCCCAGGGGGCGGAGCTGCAGTGAGCCGAGATTGCGCCACTGCACTCCAGCCTGGGCGACAGCGAGACTCCGTCTCAAAAAAAAAAAAAAAAAAAAAAAGATTGGACACCCCTGGTCTACGGGTACACGACATTATGCCTGGCTTTGTCTAGCTTCTTTGGTTTTTGTTTTGTTTTGTTTTGTTTTTGTTTTTTTTCAGAGTCTCACTCTGTCTCCCAGGCTGGAGTGCAGTGGCGTGATGTCTGCTCCACTGCAACCTCTGCCTCCCAGATTCAAGCAACTCTGCCTCAGCCTTCCAAGTAGCTGGGGCTACAGGCGCTCATCACCATGCCTGGCAAATTTTTGTATTTTTTGGTAGAGACGGGGTTTCACCATGTTGGCCAGGCTGGTCTCGAACTCCTGACCTCAAGTGATCTGCCCACATCGGCCTCCCAAAGTGCTGGGATTACAGGCATGAGCCACCATCCCTGGCCCCTTTTTTTTTTTAATTGAAAAGAAAAATAGGACTCAATTGGTATTTTATAAGTGAAGAGCTTATTACAGTGGTAAATATTTAGGGGTTATATATTTAAATCCACAAGTAATCATATATTGAATAGAATGACCAATATTGTCTTTTTATGATGAAATAATGATCTTTACATACAGAACAGTAAGCCTTATATCAGGCATTTGATATAATTTGTTTCTAAATAGACCTATACTTAATATTCACTAACAGGTGGTTCATGATTAACGTGTTTGCTTTTACCTCCTATGCGAATGAATAAATGTGTTAAGGTATGTTAGAGTATATTTGAGTTTTACCTGGGATTTTAACGTAGAATAGATTTGATACTCTATGTAATCTTCTGACATAGCTAAATGATAATTATGTTTCTTTTTTCTCAGACTGTAGAAAAATAAATACAATAACTAGATGATCATTCATTTTACATTTAATGAGCAATTGCTAACTGCTTAGGATATAAGTGAAACGAACTCCTTGCCCTTAAACGGTTCACTCTCTAGGGGAGAGACAAATATACACATGAGCAGATTATTATGTAAGCTTGGAAGAAAGTTGCTTAACCTGGCCAGAAGAAACAGGAAAGGCGTCTTGGAGTAAGATGTCCAAATCATAAGGGGCAAGCATGTTGAGAATCACACCTAGCAGGGAGGATATTATGAGCAAAGACAAGCAAGTGAAAGTGGGATGTGTATAAGAATTACAAAGAGTTTGGTATTGCTAGAGCAAGATAAAGTCCTGGGCAGGCGTCAAGGGTATGGTACTTGGTAGCAGAGAAACATTTTGTCAAGAAAATTCTCCTCCTAGGCTGGGCTTGGTGGATTACACCTGTAATCCCAGCACTTTGGGAAGCAGAGGTGAGAGGATGGCTTGAGCACAGGAGTTTGAGCCAACAGAGCAAGACCCTGTCTCAAAAGAAAAAAAAGAAAAAGAAAAAAAAATTATCCTTCGAATATTGCAGAATAAAAGATATTGTACAAAATACTTTCATGATTATGTGAACACTAATTCCTGCCTTCCTAAAATGAAGCAGGAGGATAGGCAAGGGCCAGACCTTTGGTTGAGCCTTAGATATCAGATTGTATTTTAGGGAGATTATTAGAGTAGGCATTTGAAGGAAGGGTGGATGTAAGGCAAACGAGTCTAAAGGCAAGAGGACTGGTTGGGTTGTAGACCAAGAGGCAAGAAACAGCAAAGTCCATAACCTCAACAGTGGTGGCAGAGGTGGAGAAGAGGGATGGATTCAAGACATATTGAGGAAATAAAGTCTGCAGGACCTAGTAACTGGGAAATTAAAAACAGATCAGAACCAGGAATGGCTTACAGAGTTCTTGTTCAGGCTTGAATTGGAACCAACATTTGATAAAGGAAGATGATCCAATTTGGAGGAATATTATGAGTTTAGATTTATACTTACTGAGTTCAAGGAACTTAAGTGACATCTCACTGGCAATATCTAGTAAGCAATTAAATGAGTTAAAGCTCAAGGGTGAGAGATCTATGCTGGAAAGTACATATTTGAGAAATGTCAGCATGTAGGTTGTATTTGAAATAATAGAATTGATGAGTTCTCCAAGGGATAGAGTAGAAAAGGAGGAGAGATGTAAACAAAGAACCCTTTGGAATGCACTGTTTGAGGGTCAATTAAAAGAAGAGGAGTATGAAAGAAACCAAGAAAAAAAGAGTCAGAGTGACCTTAGGAGGACAGGGATCAGCAGTAGAAGGGAAAGATAAAAGTATAGTGAATCAGAAGCCAAAAGGATTGGGGGATGATGGCACAGGAGGGAGCCAAAGAAGAAGCAAACTCCAAAAGAAAGACTTGAAAGTAGAAATACCAGGCTTCGAATTACTTGCTAGTGGCAACAAATGCACTCTGGGGCCATTTTGTTGACAGAGCCAGTCAAAGGGGCCATTTCCAGATTCAGGTTTCCAGCTTACTTCACCGCTTCATGTCAGCTTCCTTGTCTGTTAAATAGAAATAATAATACCTACCTTATTGGTACATTGTGAAGTTTAAATGCATAAACACACAACAATGCTGGGCACAAGGAGGCATTCAACAATATTTGGAGTTTTTTCCTCCCCTTTCCTCTTGTAACTCATTGAATGAAACTACTCAAATGAATTGACTGATAGTCGAGGCTTTTTCTCTACATATGCAGAGAAAATGTAACTATATCATTTCTTTTTTTTTTTTTTTTTTTTGAGACGGAGTCTCGCTCTGTCACCCAGGCTGGAGTGCAGTGGCGCAGTCTTGGCTCACTGCAAGCTCCGCCTCCCAGGTTCACGCTATCCTCCCGCCTCAGCCTCCCAAGTAGCTGGGACTATAGGCACCCACCACCACGCCCGGCTAATTTTTTGTATTTTTAGTAGAGATGGGGTTTCACCGTGTTAGCCGGGATGGTCTTGATCTCCTGACCTCGTGATCCACCCGCCTCGGCCTCCCAAAGTGCTGGGATTACAGGCGTGAGCCACCGCGCCCGGCCATCATTTCTATAAAGTTCCAGAAAACTTCTTGGTACCAACCTGAATTTATTTCCCAAATCAAAGTAATTTTAACGTCACTCTTCTTAAGGGAGGAGACCACCCCTCATCTTATGCCCAATTTCTACTTCCAAAGAAAGAGGAAGTAAAAACTAAAAGGCAGAAATGAAATCCACAGGCAGACAGCCCAGCGCCACGCCCTGGGCCTGGTTAAAGATCGACCCCTGTCCTAACCGGTTGTGTTATCTGTAGATTCCAGACATTGTATGGAAAAGCATTGTGAAAATCCCTGTCCTGTTCTGTTCCGTTCTGATTACCAGTGCATGCAGCCCCCGATCACGTACCCCCTACTTGCTCAATCGATCACGACCCTCTCACACGGACCCCCTTAGAGTTGTAAGCCCTTAAAAGGGACAGGAATTGCTCACTTGGGGAGCTCAGTTTTTGGAGACGTGAGTCTTGCCGAAGCTCCCGGCCAAATAAAGCCCTTCCTTCTTTAACTCAGTGTCTGAAGAGTTTTGTCTGCGGCTTGTCCTGCTGCATTCTCAGAATTCCCTGTTGTATGAGATTCTGCAACAAAAATAAAGACAGATTGGGCTAGCCACAGGAGGAGTAGAAAACAATATAATTATCATAGAAGCTATAGAATAGATTAGTTTCTTTACTCCTTCTTCCTTAAAGTCAGCTAAATAGAGGCCAGTCACAGTGGTTTACACCTGTAATCCTAGCACTTCGGGAGGCCAAAGCGGGTGGATCAGTTGAGGTCAGGAGTTCAAGACCAGCCTGGCCAAGGTGGTGAAACCCTGTCTCTACTAAAAATACAAAATTAGCCAGGCATGATGGTGCATGCCATTAGTCCCAGCCACTCGGGAGGCTGGGGCACAAGAATCACTTGAACCTGGGAGGTGGAGGTTGCAGTGAGCCAAGATCGTGCCACAAACTCCAGCCTGGTTGACAAGAGCAGAACTCCATCTCAAAAAAAAAATGAATAAAGTCAACTAAATAGGCAAAGAGAGAGATACTTCTCCTGGTCACAATAATCGCATGGCCCAAATATCTAGAGAATCCAGATTTGAAGTGCTGTATATCCTGTAGTCTTTACAGACCATCAAAATGTTATTGACATTTTGGTCCTTTTTTCCACATTAAACAAAATCAGTCTTTTTACAAATCCACAGATTTTAAAAATGTATTTTAATAGATAAGAATTATATTTAATAAACTTGTAATATTAACTATTAATTTTCTTCACTCTTTAGTTGGAAGCAAGGTATCATTCTTTCAACCAGATGATGAAGTAGTTGGTAAGTTATAGTTCATAGTCTTATTTCAAGTCATCTATTTTACCGTCATCTCTGTTTTTTCTATATAACTATTAATGTTCACTGTGACCTTGCTTCATATAGAAGTACTTTCCCGGCTGGGTGCTGTGGCTCACGTCTGTAATCCCAGCACGTTGGGAGGCCAAGGTGGGCGAATCACCTGAGGTCGGGAGTTCGAGACCAGCCTGACCAACATGGAGAAACCTCGTCTCTACTAAAAATACAAAATTAGCCAGGCATGGTGGCACATGCCTGTAATCCCAGCTACTCAGGAGGCTGAGGCAGGAAAATTGCTTAAACCCAGGAGGCAGAGGTTGTGGTGAGCCGAGATCACACCATTGCACTCCAGCCTGGGCAAGAAGAATGAAACTCCATCTCAAAAAAATAAAGAAAGAAAGAAATGCTTTCCTGGTTTTTGGAATTTACTGTCAAATTTCTATTGATGATAAAAATTGGGACCTTGATTGCAATAGCAGAACATTTAAAACTCACAAGAACAAAAAACCAAACACCGCATATTCTCACTCATAGGTGGGAATTGAACAATGAGATCAGATGGACACAGGAAGGGGAATATCACACTCTGGGGACTGTGGTGGGGTTGGGGGGGGGAGGGATAGCATTGGGAGATATACCTAATGCTAGATGACGAGTTAGTGGGTGCAGCGCACCAGCATGGCATATGTATACATATGTAACTAACCTGCACAATGTGCACATGTACCCTAAAACTTAAAGTATAATAAAAAATATATATATTTAGCTGTAGAACAGTTTTATAGATAAAAAGATAATCATAGTTGCTATAGTGCTTGGTGTAGCCTTTTTCTGGCAGATGCTTAGTCTGTGGCCAGACTGAAGTCTTTAGGGAGAAGGAAAGTTACAAGTCACATGCTTGAAGGCTGCTGACTGACTGGGCCATATAGAAGCTCCATGCACCGTTTCAACTGAAATCATACAGAGCTTTTCTCTTACAACTCTTGTAAAACTAAAAATTGACTTAAAACTTTTATTGTTTTTTAAAATCCACAGTATTTTTGCAATTTTGCAACCTGTGTCCTAGACAGTCACACAAACATAGGCTATGACTTTTATAGTTGCAACCTGCATCCTAGACAGTCACACAAACATAGGCTATGACTTTTATAGTAATCCTTGAAATTTTCATTTCTCTGTGGAAGACATAAAGTTAGAAAACATTTATATAACTTGTATTATATAGGGCCATATAATATATATTATGTGGTGGCTCACACCTGTAATCCTAGCACTCTGTGAGGCCAAGACAGGAAGATCACTTGAGCCCAGTAGTTCAAGACCAGCCTGGGCAACATTGCAAAAGCTCGACTCTACATAAAAAATACAAAAATTAGCCAGGCGTGGTGGCACACACCTGTGGTCCCAGCTACTCAGGAGGCTGAGGTGGGAGATCGCCTGAGCCTGGAAGTTTGAGGATGCAGTGAGCCATGATCACACCACTGTACTCCAGCCTGGTGACAGAGGGAGACCTTGTCCAAAAAAAAAAAAAAAAAAGAGAGAAAGAAAAGAAAGAAAAAATATTTAGCCTTATAGCGTTAAAATTATAGCATGCTTGAAATTCTTAAAGGATAGATTTGTAAGAAAGTTTTCATCAGCTTTTTATAGTATTGCCTTTGACTCAGGCATTATCCTGGAGAATTGATTATTTCTTTCTTGTCTTTTTATTCTGCTCAGGAAATCAGTGGCACTCTGTATTATTCAAGATTCTTTTTGTGAGAAACCAAAAACAAAATCAGACTAGCTTAGAAGAAAAATGGGATTTTATTAGAAACATACTCTGGCTGGGTGTAGTGGCTCACACCTGTAATCCCAGCACTTTGAGAGGCTGAGGTGGGTGGATCACAAGATCAGGAGTTCGAGACCAGCCTGGCCAATGTGGTGAAACTGTGTCTCTACTAATAATACAAAGATTAGCTGGGCGTGGTGGTGCACGCCTGTAATCCCAGCTACTCGGGAGGCTGAGGCAGGAGAATCGCTTGAACCCAGGAGGCGGAGGTTGCAGTGGGCTGAGATCGCGCCATTGCACTCCAGCCTAGGCAACAGAGCGAGACTCTGTCTCAAAAAAAAAGAATTGAAACATACTGAGGTATGTCATGGAACCAAACTATAGGAAGGTAGCTATGCATCAAGGACAATTTTGTTTATTTGTTTCTTAGTTTGAGACAGAATCTTGCTCTTGTCACCCAGGCTGGAGTGCAGTGGTGTAATCATGGCTCATTGCAGCCCTGAACTCCTGGACTCAAGCAGTCCTCCTGCCTCAGCCTCCTCAATAGCTAGAACTACAGGTGCATACCATGATATCCAACTAATCTTTAAATTTTTCTTCTGTAGAGATGAGGTCTCACTATGTTGACCAGGCTGGCTTTGAACTCCTGGCCTCAAGCAATCCTCCTGCCTTGGCCTCCCAAAGTGTTGGATTACAAGTGTGAACCACCATGCCCAACCCATCAGGGACAATTTTTTTTTTTTTTTTTTTTGACACAGAGTCTCGCACTGTCGGCCGGGCTGGAATGCAGTGGTGTAATCTCAGCTCACTACAACCTCCACCTCCCAGGTTCAAGCGATTCTCCTGCCTCAGCCTCCTGAGTAGCTGGGATTACAGGCGCCTGCCACTATGCCCAGCTAATTTTTTATATTTTTAGTAGAGACAGGGTTTCTCCATGTTGGCCAGGCTGGTCTCAAACTCCTGACCTCATGATTCACCTGCCTCGGCCTCCCAAAGTGCTGGGATTACAGGCGTGAGCCACCACGCCCAGCCCATCAGGGAGAGTTTTAACAAGGAGTCCAGATGCTCCCAAGACTCTGACTTTGTTCTATAACATCAGCCATCATCTTACTGTCACTCAGAGGGGAAAGAAGAAAGCGATAGCAGGAGTGGCACAGTGCACTTCCCATCCCATTTCTGAATTTTTTCTTGTCCACACTAGTAATTACTGGAACCTTCCTCAAAATTTCACTGAACAAAATTTGTAATAATACTGGCCTCTCATTAGGAATGAATTTTTGACTTACATCCCTTTAATTTCTTGTTTTGATTTTTAGGAATTTTGCCCCTGGACTCTGAAGACCCTGGACTTTGTGAAGTTGTTAGAGTACATGAGCATTACTTGGGTATGTAGCAATTCAGTACTTTGGAGCTCACATAAGTCTTACTTCACTGACATATGGTTTAATAACATTTTAATTTTTTTGAATCTACCATAAGTGTTGTACTTAATAAAGTATCATTAGCCAGTCATGTATGTAAAAAATGTTGGCTGGTCATGTGAATACTTCTAGCTTATAATTAGTATTCATAAAATTCATATTCAGACTAAACAATATATAGACCTTTAAGTTTTACTAACACTGCTCATGGTAAGATCTTTGAAAAGTGATTTCTCTCTTGGCTCTTAAATTATATACCTAATCAGAATTAAAAATTTTTTTTTACTCTTGGTTATTGACTGAAACAAAAAACATATAAAATTTAGACAGTACATGGAGAGTTTGAGACGGGAAAGAATCAAGAACACTCATCTCAAGCTAGGTGTGGTGGCTCACACCTGTAATCCCAGCACTTTGGGAGGCCAAGGTGGGCAGGTCACCTGAGGCCAGGAGTTTGGGACCAGCCAGGCCAACATAGCAAAACCTGGTCTCTACTGAAAAGACAAAAAAATTAGCTGGGTGTGGTGACACGCACCTATAATTCCAGCTACTCAGGAGGATGAGGCATGAGAATTGCTTGAACTCTGGAGATGGAGCTGAGATTGCACCACTGCACTACAGCCTGGGTGACAGAGCGAGACTCTGTCTCAAAAAAGAAAAAAAAAGAGCACTTATCTTTGGTTTCTAATATCTTTTGACTAGTGTTGAGTTTAACTGAAATATTCGTTTTTAATTTTTCTTATGGTAATTTATTTTTTGAATATTTAAAGTACATGTACACACACACACACTTCATGAAACCATATTAAACAGTTGCTTCATCTCCTAAGTAATCAGGGGAAAGCAATTAAAACCACTTAGAGATAACATTATGCATCCACCAGACTGACAAAAGTTAAAAAGTCTGACCATCAGCCAGGCGCAGCGGCTCACGCCTGTGATCCTAGCACTTTGGGACGCTGAGGCGAGCAGATCATTTGAGGTCAGGAGTTTGAGACCAGCCTGGCCAACATGGTGAAACTCTGTCTCTACTAAAAATACAAAAAATCTTAGCTGGGCTGTTGGCGCACGCCTGTAATCCCAGCTACTCGGGAGGCTGAGGCAGGAGAATCACTTGAACCCGGGAGGTGGAGGTTACAGGGAGCCGAGATGGCACCACTGCACTCCAGCCTGGGTGACAAGAGTGAGACTTCATCTCAAAAAAAAAAAAAAAATGACCATCCCAAAGTGTGGGAAGGATGTGGAATGATGGAACCTTTCATGTGCTGGAGTGTAAGTTGGTACAAATATGTTAGAAAACAATTTAGCTTTATCTAATTAATGATGTATATATACCAGACCTAGTAATTCCACTCATGTAGCCTATGGAAATTTGATGTGCACTAGGAGGCATACTGCATAAGAGTTGATAGCAGCTTATTTGTAATAGTGAAAGAAACTGGAAACAGCCCAAATGTCCATCACCAAGCAAATAGATAATTGAAAATATTCATAGAATGAATTTCTATTGAGCAGTGAAAATGAGTAAGAGCTAAACATATCAAAGTGGATGACTCTCACAAACAGCATTGAGTGAAAAAAGCAAGTTACAGAAGAATACAAACAGTCCCATGCCATTTATTTATATACAGTTCAAAAATGTACAAAATTAAGCATATGTTATTTAAGGATATAGAGAAAAGGTAGAGGATGGAAAGTTGGGTGGAAGTTACCTGTGTGAGCAGGGGAGGAAGATGTGGTCAGTGGATACACCAGGACTCCAGTGGTACAGCCAGCATATATTTCTTATGCTGGAATTCATTATGTTCTTCATACCATATCCATAGTAGCAAATACCTTCTCTTATGTTCTTGAACTATTGAATTAAACCTTTTCCTAAGTTCTTTTCTTAAATAATGTGATCTCTAATCAGACCTTTTGGGGACAGAGGCTAATTTGGATTTGGGTCTTCCAAAAATAGTAATCTTACTCAGTTAAGTCCTTACAGTAACTTGAGCTAGGCTACCAAATCTTTGGCATTTCATTTCTAAAATTATAAATTTAAAGTAATTTTTATTTAAATTAATGTCATTCATTATATCTAAAATTTCCAATAATACTTTATTATTTTATTAAAAATTAATTTCCAAAAGACACTTTTTCAGAGATCTGAGGGCTGCACTTATTGGAACGTACATGAAGCCTAGTGAGGAGCCAAGTGTGTGTCTTCCTTTGAAAGATAAAGACCTCTTTCAAATACCACGCAGTGAGAGTCTCTAATCCAGAGCTATCTTGAAATTGTGCAGTTTGAAATTTGAGGACTGCCACGGGCTCCTTTACAGGAAACTATCCTATTTTTGGCCCCAGAGTTTCCTTGAATGGTTGGCCTTATTGCCCTGTTCTTTCGAGTACGTTGTGAATATGGAGTCTTTTCATTAAGTAACCAAAACTAAATTGCTATAGAAGATAAATTATTAAAAACAACAACAATTGGCTGGGCGCGGTGGCTCATGCCTGTAATCCCAGCACTTTGGGAGGCCGAGATGGGTGGATCGCCTGAGGTCAGGAGTCCGAGACCAGCCTGGCCAACATGGTGAAACCCGTCTCTACTAAAAATATAAAAACTAGCCGGGCATGGTCGTGGGCGCCTGTAATCCCAGCTACTCGGGAGGCTGAGGCAGGAGAATCGCTTGAACTCAGGAGACGGAGGTTGCAGTGAGCCAACAGTGCCACTGTACTCCAGCCTCGGTGACAGAGTAAGACTCTGTCTCAAAAAAAAAAAAAAAAAAAAAAAACAACCAAACAAGGCCCATTCCTTTAGGCACTGATGAACACTGGAGAATTATGACATGGACCAGAAGGAGAAAAGCAAATTAGAGCATCCATTTTCTAGCTATAAAGTTTAAGCTAAGACCGGCAAACCACACAAATGGCCTTTTTCTTCTACCTTATTTATAAATCAGGAGGATGGATTAAAGTCCAGAAATCCATTAAAGTATATAGAGAAAACAATTGCAGATATTCCTTGAGGAAGAAAACACAGCAAAATGTTTCTTTAAAAGAAGTACGACAGGCGTGGTGGCTCATGCCTGTAATCCCAGCACTTTGGGAGGCCAAGGCAGGTGGAACCCCTCAAAAGTTTGAGACCAGCCTGGCCAACATGACAAAACCCCGTCTCTACTAAAAATATAAAAAATTAGCCAGCTGTGGTGGCACATGCCTGTAGTCCGAGCTACTCAAGAGGATGAGGCACGAGACTCGCTTGAACCCAGGAGACAGAGGTGAGCCAAAATTGTGCCACTGTACTCCAGCCTGGGCAACAGAGCAAGACTCTGTCTCAAAAAAATAAAATAGCATAAAATAAGTACTTTAAGGCTGGGTGTGGTGGCTCATGCCTATAATCCCAACATTTTGGGAGGCTGAGGTAGGAGGATTGCTTGAGCCCAGGAGTTCAAGACCAGCCTTGGCAACTTGCTTGTCTCTACCAGCAAATAAAATTTTGTAAAAAAAAAAAAAAAAGGCTAGGCATGGTGGCTCACGCCTGTAATCCCAGCACTTTGGGAGGCCGAGGCGGGCGGATCACAAGGTCAGGAGATCGAGACCATCCTGGCTAACACAGTGAAACCCCCTCTCTACTAAAAAATACAAAAAAATTAGCCGGGCGTGGTGGCAGGTGCCTGTAGTCCCAGCTACTCAGGAGGCTGAGGCAGGAGAATGGCGTGAACCTGGGAGGTGGAGCTTGCAGTGAGCCGAGATCGCGCCACTGCACTCCAGCCTGGGCAACAGAGCGATAGAGCGAGACTCTGTCTGAAAAGAAAAGAAAAGAGAAGAGAAGGAAAGAAAGACTTTAAGAATGGGCAACATAGCAAGATCATCTCAACAAAAAGTTTGTTTAAAAAAAAAAAGTACTAGGCCAAGCACAGTAGCTCACACCAATAATCCCAGCACTTTGGGAGGCCAAGGCAGAGCCAATTGCTTGAGCTCAGGAGTCCGAGACTAGCCTGGATAACATGGTGAAACCCCATCTCTACAAGAAATAAAAAAAATAAATAAATAATAACTAGATATGGTGGTGTGTGCCTATAGTCCCAGCTGCTTGGGAGGCTGAGAAGGAAGAATCGCTTGAACCTAGGAGGTTGAGGCTACTGTTAGCTGTATTTGCGCCACTGCACTCTAGCCTGTCTCAGAAAAAAAGTAGTACTTTAAGAAGGAGCTCTTACACAGCAAAGGAAACAACAGTGTGCAGAGACAGCCTACAGACTGGGGGAAAATGTTGATAAGCCGTACATCTGATAAGGGGTTAATATAGTGATATAGAAGGAGCTCAGAAAACAGCAAGAAGAAAAAAACAATTAGAAAAGGGTCAAAGGACCTGAATAGACATTTCTCAAAAGAAGACATGTGAAAAAATACTCGACATCAGTAATCATTAGGGAAATGCAAATTAAAACCACAAAGAAATACCATCTCATACCTGTCAGAATAGCTGTTACCAAAAAGATGAAAGGTAAGTATTGGCGAGAATGTGGAGAAAAGGGAAACTTTGTACGCTATTGGTGAGAATGTAAACTAGTACAGTCATTATGGAAAGTGTATGAATGTTCCTCAAAAATCAAAACATAGAATTACCATATGATTCAGTAATCCTCCTTCTGGATATTTTCCCGGAAGCTTTGAAATCAGATGTCTTGCACTCCCATATTCATTGCAGCACTATTCACAACAGCCAAGTTGTGGACTCAACCTAAGTGTCCAGATGAATGAATAATATGATATAGATATACACAATGGAATACTGTTCAGCCTTTAAAAAGCAGGAAATTGTGTCATTTGTGACAACACAGATGGAAATGGAGAGCACTATGCTGAGTGAAATAAGCCAGGCACAGAAAGGCAGATACAGCATGTTCTCACTTCTATGTGGAATCTAAAACAAACTCATAGAGGCAGAGAGTAGAATGGTGGCTACAGAGGCTGCGGGCTGGGGAGAATGGAGTGTTGATGGACAAAGGGTATAAAATCTCAGCTAAACAGGAGGGATATGTTTTTATTTATTTGTTTATTCATGAGATGGAGTTTTGCTCTTATTGCCCAGGCTGGAGTGCAATGGCGTGATCTCGGCTCACTGCAACCTCCGCCTCCCAGGTTCAAGCAATTCTCCTGCCTCAGCCTCCCGAGTAGCTGGGATTACAGGTGCCAGCCGCCACACCTGGCTACTTTTTGTATTTTTAGTAGAGACGGGGTTTCTCCATGCTGGCCAGGCCCGTCTCGAACTCCTGACCTCAGGTGACCTGCCCACCTCGGCCTCCCAAAGTGCTGGGATTATAGGCGTGAGCCACCGCGCCCAGCCAAGGGATATGTTTTTATTTTCAGTTCTTTGCACAGCATGGTGAGTATAGTTAATAATAGAGTATTGTACATTTCAAAATTGCTGAGAGTAAATTTCAAATGTTTTCATCATAAAATATGTTAAGTATTTGAGATGATGGCTATGTTAACTTGCTTGATTTAATTATTCCACATTGTATTCGTAAATCATAGCATCATTTTGTGCCCCATAAATTTATACAATTATAACTTGTCAATTTACAATGTTTAAAAAAAAAAGAATGATGACTAACAGTGTGACCTTTAGGCTAGATCCTAGGCATGCTGACTGCATCTATAAATGAGGACACTCAACTGAATAACCTGTAATCTCTGTTGTAGCTCCAACCTTTTGTAAAAGGGAATAATTTCAGTTTCCCGGCAAGTTTGTAGGGGAAAACTTTCAGTTCACCACAACTCTATTTTAGTTTCTATTACTTTCCTGGTGATTTTTTTTGTATATAATTTGTTTTTATTTTTAATTTGTCTTTGGTGTTTTGTTTTTTGTTTGCTTGTTTATTTTTGAGACAGGGTCTTACTCTGTAGCCCAGGCTGCAGTGAAGTGGAATTATCACAATTCACTGCAGCCTCAAACTCCTGGGTTCAAGAGATCCTCCCACCTCAGCCTCCCAAGTAGCTGGGACAATAGGCATGCACCACCATGTCTGGCTAACTTTTTTTTGTAGAAACTGTCTTGCCATGTTGCCCAGGCTGGTCTCTAACTCCTGAGCTCAAGTGATCTTCCCGCCTTGGCCTCCCAAAGTGCTGGCATTACAGGTATGAGCCACTATGCCAGCCTTCATGATTGTTTAATGAGTGCTCAGTGCTCAGTCACTTTCAACTCAAATAAGTCTGTTCTTTACCAAACCAAAGAGCTATGTTTCAAACATTCCCCCAAAATGTGGTGTTAGTCCTATTTCTCAAACTTGATAATAGAGTTAAAGAGTAGAGTAATTCTTCCAACTCTTTTGTACTTTTCAGTTCTTAAGCAATTCTGTCAAGCCTAAAACTAATTTTATTTTTCATTCAAAATTTTCAGCATTGTTGTTTTTATTCCTTTGGAGCTAAACTAGAAAGAGATCAAATTATAATTCTTAGATGCTGAAATATGGCTCGCATTTATTTGTTTAATTGTTTTTTGAGATGGAGTTGCACTCTTGTTGCCCAGGCTGGAGTGCAATGAATGGTGTGATCTCAGCTCACTGCAACCTCTGCCTCCTGGGTTCAAGTGATTCTCCTGCCTCAGCCTCCCAAGTAGCTGGGATTACAGGCATGCGCCACCACGCCTGACTAATTTTTTGTATTTTTAGTAGAGATGGGGTTTCTCCATGTTGGTCAGGCTGGTCTTGAACTCCTGACCTCAGGTGCTCTGCCTGTCTCGGCCTCCCATAGTGCTGGGATTACAGGTGTGAGCCACTGCACCTGGCCTTATTTGTTTAGTTTTTATAACATAATAAACACCTGTGGACCCCCAACACAAAAGCAAGTGTGTTGACATTAACCCACATCTAACCATGCAATTTTTTTTTTGAGACAAAGTCTTGCCCTGTCACCTAGTCTGGAGTGCAATGGCGCGATCTCAGCTCACCGCAACCTCCATCTCCTGGGTTCAAGCGATTCTCCTGCCTCAGCCTCCCAAGTAGCTGGAATTACAGGTGCCTGCCACCATGCCTGGCTAATTTTTGTATTTTTAGTAGAGACGGGGTTTCACCATGTTGGCCAGGCTAGTCTCAAACTCCTGACCTCAGGTGATCTGCCTACCTTGGCCTCCCAAAGTGCTGGGATTACAGGTGTGAGCCACCTTGCCTGGCCGCAGTTAGCATTTCTTTAAGGACAACATGATTGAGTTTTTAATAAAAATATGGTAGTCCCAATCCTTTTGATAGAAGATGTTCCCAATAAGTAAATTATACGTTGATTGAGCGTGCACTGTTGAAATAGATGTGCTTTAAAGTCATATATTCACCTTATGAGCTATGTGGCATTAGACAAATTAATCAATTACCCTGAACCCTATTTCATCATCCGTAAAATTGGGAGAATAGCTATCTTAAAGAGTTACCTAAGGAATAAAGTACTGTGTGTGCTATCACCTGGTGCTTAATATGTTTTTACTGTTTTAATTCTCAGCTCTTGTCTGAGCATTTCAACATGCATGTTTGAATGCTCCACTTCGCCCACTAGATGGCACTAGTTTGTTGCTAAATGCAGTGCTGACTACTCTGGCTAGTCCACATGAATCATTGCTACTAGAGGAAGCATTTCAAAGAGCTGGTAAAGACTGTGAAAGTGTTATAAAGTTGATCTTAGGTAAAATGAGAAAGAATTTCTTGGCCAGGCGTGGTGGCTTACACCTGTAATCCCGGCACTTTGGGAGGCCAAGGTAGGCAGATCACCTGAGGTCAGGAGTTCGAGACCAGCCTGGCCAACATGGTGAAACCCCGTCTCTACTAAAAAAATACAAAAATTAGCCAGGCCTGGTGGTGTGCACCTGTAATCCCAGCTACTTGGGAGGCTGAGGCAGGAGAATTGCTTGAACCCAGGAGGGGGAGGGTGCAGTGAGCCAAGATCACACCACTGCACTCCAGCCTGGCGACAGAGTGAGACTCCATCTCAAAAAAAAAAGAATTCTTGTACTGCGGAAAAATTACATCAGTGTACAACATAAATACAAAACAAAAATTAAATAGTGAAACATGTTAAGGAATAGTTTCACGGTCAGATCATGCGGAACTTTTTAAACTATATTAGGAGTTGCATTTGGTTCCAAGTACAGTGTAAAGCCATTGATAAATTTTAAGCAGGGAATTGTTAGGATGTCAGTTATCTTTTTAAAATATCATTCTGATGATTCTGTTTTTTAAAGATACTGTTAAAGAGATTGAAAACAGAAGGCACAAAGTTGAAAATAATATTTACAGCACATGAACAAATGACTTCTCTAGAATATATAAAGAATTCCTGTAAAGCTCTAAATAAGAAAAAGACAAAACAATAGAAAAATTGATTAACACTTGAAAAAGGAATTCACAAAAGGAATTCCAGATGGCCAGTGAACATGGAAAGATGCTCAACCTCTTTTAGTAGTCAGAGAAAGCAAATTAAAATCATAGTAAGAAACTATTACCTACCTACATAATTGGTAAAAATATATAAATGTGATCATTCCACAAGTTGACAAGGACATTCACAGCAACAGGACACTACTGTGGGAAAGTAAATTGATGCAATTACTTTGGAAAGGTGTAGTTAAGGAACAGATAATATACCTGGGACCTAGGATTTCCACTCCAATTTAAGTATCCTAGGAAAACCCATGCACGGTGTAACAATATTTTTCATATACGAACACACTTAGCAGCATTGTTTGTAACTGACAAAAATTGGAGACAACACAAATGTTCATCAGCTAAACAATGGGTAAGCAAATGAAGGTGTTTTTAATATATTGGAATGCCATAAAACAACAAGAATGAAAGTGCTCTAACAGCCTCATCCACAGAATGGATGCCTTAAAAACATAATATGGAACATAAAAAGCA
The DNA here is from genome assembly GCF_000001405.40 of Homo sapiens. NCBI lineage: Eukaryota > Metazoa > Chordata > Mammalia > Primates > Hominidae > Homo > Homo sapiens. Next base: position 33,604,613 of record NC_000021.9, on the reverse strand, counting down.
AGGTAGAAAAGAATGCATATGGTATGATTCCATTCAGATAAAGTTTAAAGCCTTGGCAATATGAAATTTTTTTTTTTTTTTTTTTGAGACGGAGTCTTGCTCTGTCACCCAGGCTGGAGTGCAGTGGTGCAATCTTAGCTCACTGCAACCTCCACCTCCCGGGTTCACACCATTCTCCTGCCTCAGCCTCTCCAGTAGTTGGGACCAAAGGCGCCTGCCACCACGCCTGGCTACTTTTTTTTTTTTTTTTTTTTTTTTGAGACGGAGTCTCGCTGTGTCACCCAGGCTGGAGTGCATTGGCATGAGCTCTGCTCGCTACAAGCTCTGCCTCCCGGGTTCACACCATTCTCTTGCCTCAGCCTCTCCGAGTAGCTGGGAATACAGGCGCCCGCCACCACGCCTGGCTAATTTTTTGTATTTTCAGTAGAGACGGGGTTTCACCGTGGTCTCGATCTCCTGAGCTCGTGATCCGCCCGCCTCGGCCTCCCAAAGTGCTAGGATTACAAGCGTGAGCCACCACGCCCGGCCAGAGACGGGGTTTCACCGTGTCAGTCAGGATGGTCTCGATCTCCTGACCTCGTGATCTGCCTGCCTCGGCCTCCCAAAGTGCTGGGATTACAGGCGTGAGCCACCACGCCAGGCCAGGAAATTGTATTGTTTAGGAATGCGTACTAATGAGTGATACAAATAAGAAATTGCATGAGAATGGTGGTGACCTTTGGTGAGGAGAGAAGAGGCTGCTGGGGTGATGGTTGTGCTCTCTCTCCACCAGGATGGTATACCGTTAACTTTGCATATTTCCTTTATATTTATTCATCCAGCTATATTTTATATTTTACATACTTTTTCTGCACATTTTATTTCACAATATAAAAAGTTTTAAAAATACACACACACTGACTCCTATATGGAGAATTATTCATGGGCAAATAATGGAAAGTATTGTAGGTGAGAGAGAATGGGAGTAGGGGCTTGGACCAGGGCCATAGTAGTACTAGAGATGGAGAGAAATAGATCCAGGAGGTAGGACTTGTGGGACTTGCTAACAGATTGTTTCTTCTTGTTCTTTATGATAGTTCATAAACCAGAAAAGGTCACATGGACGGAAGCAGCAGGAAGCATTCGGGATGGAGTGCGTGCCTATACAGCTCTGCATTATCTTTCTCATCTCTCTCCTGGAAAATCAGTGCTGATAATGGATGGAGCAAGTGTAGGTGCTAATGGTTTTGTTAAGAAACAGACAAGCATACAGTAAACTTAGGAAATTTAGCAATGAGCCATCCATTTGCTAATATAATTCTTTGCCAATAGCTTATTGATTGACTTTTTTTCCAGTGTCCTATTTTGTTATAATAAGCAGCTTTTATCAATAGAAGATCAAAGTTAGATTTAGTGTGATTAGTTTATGACTTTGAATCTGCTGGTACATTAAAAAGACAAGCCATTTTTATTCATTCCTGTTAGACAAAGCCTAAGATGCCACATGAGCCTTTGAAGTCATAGTCCAGAATTCCCTAATAGCTTTGTAGCCTATTTCCCACCCTCACACTTACGTTGATCAAGTATTGGCATTTTATGTATAGATGGATCACACAAAAGATCAACACGTCCTAATTTAAACATATTACATATATCAAAAAATAGTTCAAGACACTAAAAGAATACATAAAATATTGTCATCTAAAAATGTTAAGAAAATCTTGAAATTAACTTATAGTTTTATTTTCTAACTGGCTTGTGATGAAATGCTTTCTTCCTGCTTTTCTTTGAAGAAAAGGCAAAGCTGTCTTCAGCACTGGCTTCAGCCTGATATCCAACATCAGGATAGTAGTGTTTCCCCAAACTTACCCTATAGGTCTGAACAGGATGGAGCTTTTGAAGTGTTTTGATCTTCAAAGAGAGATAGCTGGACTCCCATATATAGTATATAATTAGCTTAGACCATCGCATTGACAAGGCCCAGTTTTCTCTTTGCAAGGCCATGTGTCTGAATGTGGCCCTCCATCCTTGAAATTATGTGCTGTGGTCAGACTGAGTGACAGCGTGTGACATGCAGCTTTTCCACCACCCCTTGTAAAGAAGAAAGTCAATCAAATATTTCCCCTATTAAACTTGCCCATAACTTTGCTCTTTTCCTATTAGATAACATTTTAAAATATACTAAAGTAACACTAAAGAATTATACTTTATTAAATAATATAAAGAAATCAATTCGATATGGCCTCTGTTCTATAACCATACACCCACTGTATATTTTTTTCTACACAGGCATTTGGTACAATAGCTATTCAGTTAGCACATCATAGAGGAGCCAAAGTGATTTCAACAGCATGCAGCCTTGAAGATAAGCAGTGCCTTGAAAGATTCAGACCTCCCATAGGTGGGTAATATTATGAGCACAGACTTTAAAACAGGAAATTTTGAAGGAAAATCACCTTTAAAAATGTACTTGTAAAACCAAGTACAAAATCCCTGGCCAGGTGCAGTGGCTCACAACTGTAACCTCAGCACCTTGGGAAGCCAGGATGGGAGGATTGCTTGAGCCCAGGAGTTTGAGACCAGCCTGAGCAACATAGAAGACCTCATCTATATATAATCTTAAAAAAAAAAAAAAAGAATTTATAAAATCCCAAATGAAAGTCAGTTTCAAAATGCAGTGTATGTGCTATCTCCCAATTTGCTTTTTTTTTTTTTTTTGAAACAGGGTCTCACTGTGTCACCCAGCTGGAGTACAATGGCACAATCGTGGCTCACTGCAGTATGGACCTCCCCAGGGTCAGGTGATCCTCCCACCTCAGCCACCTGAGTAGCTGGGACTACAGGCATATGCCATCACGCCCAGCTAATTTTTTGTATTTTTTGTAGAGACGGGTTTAGCCATGTTGCCTAGGCTGGTATCAAACTTCTGAGCTCAAGCAATGCACCCACCTTGGCCTCCCAAAGTGCTGGAATTACAGGCATGAGCCACCATGTCCAGCCCCAGTTTACTTAAGTGATAGTTTTAATTTTAATTATTTTTTTTTAAACTTACATTTTTCAATGTTTTTTCCTGTTTGCCCCATTGTTTTCAACAATTTACTTAATTTTGAATTAGGTGAACTTTGATGCAGTTTAGAAACACCTGATGCAGGCTGGGTGTGGAAGAACTAGAGACAAGCCTCAGAGAACTAGCTTCTCCAAGGATATACACCTAGTAAAGGACTGGAATGAGATTTGAACCCAGGCCTGTCTGACAGTAAAGCTCACATTATTTCCACTGTTACATTATGCTTGTGACAGAGATAACCAAGAAATAGAAGGAAGGCAATACAGGGGCTGGAGAAAGGAGGAGAAAAGGAAAAAGAAGAGATCTGAAAATAGAATGGAGAAAGAGCACAGGCTGGGCGTGGTGGCTCACATCTGCAATCCCAGCACTTTGGGAGGCCGAGGCGGGTGGATCACTTGAGGTGAGGAGTTCAAGACCAGCCTGGCCAACGTGATGAAACCCCATCTCTATTAAAAATACAAAAATTAGCTGGGCGTGGTGGCAGACGCCTGTAATCCCAGCTACTCAGGAGGCTAAGGCAGGAGAATTGCTAGAACCTGGGAGGTGGAGGTTGCAGTGAGCCGAGATCGTGTCAGTGCACTCCAGCCTGGGCAACAGAGCGACAGTCCGCCCCCAAAAAAAAAAAAAAAAAAAACTTTATGGACCGGGCACAGTGGCTCATACCTATAATCCCAGCACTTTGGGAGGCCAAGGCGGGCAGATCATGAGGTCCAGAGATGGAGACCATACTGGCTAACATGGTGAAACCTGTCTCTATTAAAAATACAAAAAAAAAATTAGCTGGCATGGTGGCGGGCACCTGTAGTCCCAGCTACTCGGGAGGCTGAGGCAGGAGAATGGCGTGAACCTGGGAGGCAGAGCTTGCAGTGAGCCGAGATCGCGCCACTGCACTCCAGACTGGGTGACAGAGCGAGACTCCATCTCAAAAAAAAAAAAAAGCATGAATGGTATTAAAAAAAAGAACATGAACGAAGGGAAAATTTCTTATTTGTTAATTTGCCTTTCCTAGATTGCTTTGTCCCCCTTTCCCTTTTGTCCTCTTCCTCCTTGCCTCCAAGTCCTAGATTACTCTGTTGGACTACACCACTAATCTGAGCAGCTCTAAGAGGAATTCTCTTCAGCTAGAAGGTGTTGAAAGATAGAGAAAGGAAATACAAACATGTTGTTATTTGCCAGTTCAAAATTCTGAGAATTATTTTTAATTCTGTCAATAATTTATATTCTATTAATAGGATACTACTAATATCCTTTAATGCAGCCAATTAAAATCTGTTTAATTTTTACTGACTTGCCTAAAAATCATGCTCCTTTTCCTTAGCTTTAAGATTTTTCTTCATTTGGGAGAGTAAGTGGGGAAGAGAGGGAGATTTCTATGACTGAGAAAGGGTGAAACAGCCTCTAGTAGATAATTACCATATTATACAAATACAGACTGTCCCCAGCTGACAGTGTTTCGATTTAGGATTTTTTAAATGTTACGATCGGTTTATTGGGGTATAGAGTGCATTTTTGACTTACGGTGGGTATATTGGGATGTAGCCCATCGTAAAGATGAGCATATCATCTGTATATTTTTATGTTTTTTAGCTCTAAAGACTATTAAATATGAACATACTTGAGAAACTACTTAATCTAGCTGGGGGTGGTGGCTCACCCTATAATCCCAGGGATTTAGGAGGCCAAGGCAGGAGGATCACATGAAGCCAAGAGTTCAAAAATAGCTTAGGCAACATAGCAAGACCCTCTCCCTACAAAAAAAAATTAAAAAAATAGCCATGCGTGGTGGCATGTACCTGTAGTCCTAGCTACTTGGGAGGCTAGGGCAGGAGGATTGCTTGAACCCAGGAGTTCAAGGCTGCACTGGGCTGTGATCACACCACTGCACTCCATTCTGGGCAATGGAGTGAGAACCTGTCTGAAAAAAAAAAAGAAACTGACTTAATCTTCCATTTCATGTCGTATTATATATGTACCTCTGTGTTTTCAGATTCCTAATTCTGGCAACATATCCTATAACTGTAGAGAATAGTGCTCTGTGTCAACAGACCAGCCTTGGATCACCTTCTCCACAAAATGTTCACATTTTAGTTTTATTAAATATACAAGTCTCTTCATTTAGACTGCTATATCCCATATTGGGTTAGATGAGAAAAAGTATAATTTAAATTGACTTTCTCCCTTTAAATTCAGTAATTGTTTGAATTGCTTAACTCATTTCAAGAATAGATATTTATTTGCTTTTCTTTTTCTTTTTCCCTGATTTGTTTGTGTTGATCACATAGAGAACAGTACAATTGCCTGATTTCCTGTCCTTTACAGCCCGAGTGATTGATGTATCTAATGGGAAAGTTCATGTTGCTGAAAGCTGTTTGGAAGAAACAGGTGGCCTGGGAGTAGATATTGTCCTAGATGCTGGAGGTAGGTACCTTATGAAATTAGTAGCCTGTGTAGTTTTTTTAGTTTGATGAATTTAAGAAAAAAAATTTAACCAGGGCATAATTATTAATGCACTTATTAAACCAGATGTTCAGTTTTAGGTTTTGTTTTTAACTGAAGACTTTTTAATTTAAATTGGAACTTCCACTTTATTCTCATTGTAAGCGCTGTATGTAAGAGAGAACATGCTTATCTTTTACAGCGTAGACTAGGGGTGTCCAATCTTTTGGCTTCCCTGGCCACATTGGAAGAAGAATTGTCTTAGGCCACACATAAAATACAGTAACACTAATGATATCTTATGAGCCAAAAAAAAAAAAAAAAACTCAAAAATGTCTTATAATGTTTTAAGAAAGTTACGAATTTGTGTTGGGCAGCATTTAATGCCATCCTGGGCAGGCTGCGAGTTGGACAAGCTTGGTGTAGACATTAGAGTAACAAATGACATATCGCTACAAGAAATCTAGAAACATGGCCTCCTCAGTGGCTCCCAGAAAACACAGCATCATTCTCATGCCTTTTCAGTCCCATCTGCTGTGTGTGGCTGCCTTCGATTGGATAGTTGACTTCTGCAGTCTCTATTTGGAAAATATCAAAATTTGTTCCAGTTTCACTTTTCTTGAATGTTTTTAGTTTAACCAGTATTTATTTAACACTTACTCTGAACACACTTAAGTAATAGCATGACTTCTAAAGGATAGGCTTTACGAGCCTGCAAAGTGCTTCTATTTATACTTTGGTAGGATTTATCTTCTAATGTGAGAATCATGGATGAATATGGTTATGACTATAGTGTGGTTTTTTAAACCAGTATTTTCTAAGATTTGAAAATAGCTCAGGAAAATCTGTCAGTGGAAGTAAATACATACTTTATTGCATCATTTTTTCACATGGACATTTCAGTAATTATGTTAAGACTATCTTGAGTCTATGAGTTTTTTAATTGGGAATCAATTCATCTCACTATATTAAGCTATCAGTGTTAATTGTCAGATTTGGTTATGTGTTACATTACTTTGCCTGGTTTTCAAATGAAGATAGACTTTTTATCTTTATTTATTTCTATAATAAGTAGATTTACAATAAATTACAATTAAATGTTGAATAAATTTTATGATCAGTTTAATGCAAAAAGTAGATTTTAAGGTATCAGAATACATTGTGTGTTGCTTTTTCTAAGAAAAATATTTCCTCATTTGTACATTAAAAAGTAAGGAGGGCTGGGTGCTGTGGCTCATGCCTGTAATCCCAGCACTTTGGGAGGCCGAGGCGGGCGGATCACGAGGTCAGGAGATTGAGACCATCCTGGCTAACACAATGAAACCCCGTCTCTACTAAAAATACAAAAAAAAATTAGCCGGGCATGGTGGCGGCGCTTGTAGTCCCAGCTACTCAGGAGGCTGAGGCAGGAGGATGGCGTGAACCCGGGAGGCGGAGCTTGCAGTGAGCCTAGATCGCGCCACTGCACTCCAGCCTGGGCGACAGAGCGAGACTCCGTCTCAAAAAAAAAACAAAAAGAGAGTGCCGGCGGACACAGTGGCCTGTGCCTGTAGTCCCAACTACTCATGAGGCTGAGGCTGGAGGATTGCTGGAGTCCAGGCCAGCCTGGGCAACATAGTAAGACCTTGTCTCTAAATAAATAAGAACTTGTTTGAAGAATAAATTTTTGTCAGATTATTATAAAATATATTTCTTCTCTCTCTCTTTTTTTAAAACTATTCCCTTGCAAGTGAGATTATATAGTAAAGATGATGAACCAGCTGTAAAACTACAACTACTACCACATAAACATGATATCATCACACTTCTTGGTGTTGGAGGCCACTGGGTAACAACAGAAGAAAACCTTCAGGTACTATCAGAAACCATAAAGCGTTACCATTACACCAAAGGGGTGTAATTAACAAACAATAATGCCTAAGTTATTTGAGGCAAGGTATGACTAAATTAGTATAAAATCTGGGCCAGGCATGGTGGCTCACACCTATGAGTCCAGCACTATGGGAGGCCGCGGCGGGCGGATCACTTGAGGCCAGGAGTTCAAGACCAGCCTGGCCAACATGGTGAAACCCCATCTCTACAAAAAATACAAAAATTAGCCAGGCATGGTGGCACAGGCTTATATTCCCAGCTCCTTGAGAGACTGAGGGCTGAGGCATGAGAATTACTTGAACCTGGGAAGCGGAGGTTGTAGTGAGCCGAGATTGCGCCACTCCACACCAGCCTGGGTCACAGAGTGAGACTCTGTCTCAAAAAAAAAAAAAGAAAAAAATCTGAAAAATAAAGAAATTTAGCTTTTTTTTTCCATTCCATATTTTATATCAGAAAGAAATGTAGCTTTTTTTTTCACTTTAGCAACATGTTGGCCAAAATGTTGAAATACTGCCTAGTAGAGACATCCTTTCAATGACGATGAAGTGTAATTTTATTTAGTGATTTAGACATGTGACTTACGAATTTATTTTATTTTATTTTTTTATTTTTTTATTTTTTGGAACAAAGTTTCGCTCTTGTTGCCCAGGCTGGAGCACAATGGCATGATCTCGGCTCACTGCAACCTCTGCCTCCCAGGTTCAAGCGATTCTCCTGCCTCAGCCTCCTGAGTAGCTGGGATTACAGGCGCCCGCCACCACGCCCAGTTAATTTTTGTATATTTAGTAGAGACAGGGTTTCACCATGTTGACCAGGGTGGTCTTGAACTTCTGACCTCAGGTGATCCACCTGCCTCGGCCTCCCAAAGTGCTGGGATTACAGGTGTGAGCCACCACGCTGGCATGAATTTTTAATAGTATTTCAGATAGCATTTTTTCTCGGTGACATTGTTGACATATACTTAGCAAAATATTTCTATATAAAATTATCACAATTTCCTAATTATTCAAATTGGAATTACTATATATGTTTATGTATCTCTCAAGGTTATATTTTTCAGCATTCTAGTTACATATTTACATGATGGCTGATATGCAAATACCGTAATTCTCACCTACCAATCTTCACTGATTTTCCAACACCCTCATGAAGATGGCCAGAAAAGACACACACACACCCCTACCACTTCACCACCAGGATTCTAGATTGGCCTTGCATCTGCCATGTACTTATCACCTCGCTGTTTCATCATTTTGGACCATGAAATAGAAAATATTATCGTTTACGTTATTAAAGTTTATGTGCATATTTTTGTGATTTGGACATCATTTAATTTGTGTAGAAGTTTTTCTGACTCGAGATACCAGTCATCCTGCTGTTAAACTCACAATAATTGATTAGTCTTTGTTTCATTCTATCCAAGTTGGATCCTCCAGATAGCCACTGCCTTTTCCTCAAGGGAGCAACGTTAGCTTTCCTGAATGATGAAGTTTGGAATTTGTCAAATGTACAACAGGGAAAATATCTTTATATCCTTTTTATCGACTGATTGAGTTTCTGGCTTGAACTTTGTACTGTACTAAGTTCTTTCATTACGATAATAGGAAATAATAATAGCAGTTAAGTTTCCTTAAGTATTCCAAACAGTATTCCAAGTGCCTTGCAAGTATTCATTTAAACATTAAAACAGCCTTTTGAGATGTAAGTACTGTTATCATCCCCATTTCACAGGTGAAGAAACAGAAGCACAGAGATGTTGATACAGACTCAAGGACGCAGCAAGTGGCGGAGCAAGAATCACACTCAGGCAGTCTCTCTCCTTTCTGAACAGAGATGAGCCCTAAGATACCTGGAAGATTTTGTTTTTAACCTCACATTAAGGAAAGCACACATCACCTTGAAAGGTTGCACACTTACTCCTATGATGGTGCCATTGCACAGAAACATTTCAGAATACTTTTCTAAATTAAAGAGTTTGTGGAGTGTTTTATAAATATCAATGCTAGGAAATCTTTATCAAATGAAGATAGGTTTGACTTTTTGAAACAAAAGTCATTCAGAGATAAGTCTGGTGTGATTGAAGCCAAATCATTCCAGTTGAGTAAAAATAATAAAAAGTTTGGAATATACAAACAATTTCAAAAAGAAAGGTGCAAACCTCTTTAGAGTAGGGTCAACTTAAGAATTCCTTTTATTTCTAAAATGACTGGCTTAGAGGCAGCAGCACTTGGTAAAAGTTTTAATGTATTGGATAAAAAAAAAGTTATCATTACTTGATAGAGCATATGTGTGTGTCTGAAGAAAGATTTACATAGCCTTACACTTCTCTCTACTGAATATCATACGTTACTTTTCTTAAATGTGTCTAGTCATATATGTGTGATATGTATAAAGGCCAGTTCCCTCCAGGAGCAATGACAGTCTTTATTCGGAGCTTTAAGGTAGTTATGTAGGCCGGGCATGGTGGCACATGCCTGTAATCCCAGCTACTCATGAGGCTGAGGCAGAAGAATCGCTTGAACCTGGGAGGCAGAGGTTTCAGTGAGCCAAGATTGCACTACTACACTCCAGCCTGGTGACAGAGTGAGACTCCATCTCAAAAAAAAAAAAAAAAAAAAAAAGTTACGTAATTAGTATACTGCATGTGTTAAGTTTTAAGGAGTAGATTTCAAAACCCCTTCATGTAGTGAATGTATGAGTTTAAAGTTATTTCTGATTAAATATTTCCTATTAAATTTGAAAATTAGATTTAACTTTCTAAAAGGATTTTTAATTAATTTCATTTTTTAAAAAGGTACATGAGCTGGCACAGTGGCTCATGCCTGTAATCCCAGCACTTTGGGAGGCCGAGGTGGGGGATCACGAGGTCAGGAAATCGAGACCATCCTGGCTAACATGATGAAACCCCGTCTCTATTAAAAATACCAAAAAAAAAAAAATTAGTTGGGTGTGGTGGCACACGCCTGTAGTCCCAGCTACTCCAGAGGCTGAGGCAGGGGAATTGCTTGAACCCAGGCAGTGAAGGTTGCAGTGAGCTGAGATCGCGCCACTGCACTCCAGCTTAGCTACAGAGCGAGACTCTGTCTCAAAAAAAAAAAAAAAAGTAAATGTCCAATCCAATAACATTGTAATTATTAAGAATAACATGGAATGATGCTACAGTGGAGAATACCATGTGGCTATTAAAAGTAACAGTTAACAAAAGTAACATTAGTTAAGGTTAGAATACTATGTAGCTATTAGTTTTGATTTTTTTTTTTTTTTTTTTTTTTTTTTTGAGACAGAGTCTCACTCTTGCCCAGGCTGGAGTGCAGTGGCATGAGCTTGGCTCACTGCAACCTCCAACTCCTGGGTTCAAGCAATTCTCCTGTCTCAGCCTCCTGAGTAGCTGGGATTACAGACATGCGCCACCACGCCTGGCTAATTTTTTGTATTTTTTAGTAGAGACGGAGTTTCACCATGTTGGTCAAGCTGGTCTCAAACGCCTAACCTCAGGTGATCCACACGCCTCAGCCTCCCAAAGTGCTGGGATTACAGGCATGGGCCACCACTCCCGGCTGTAGCTATTAGTTTTGAATCTTACATGTTGGAAACTAGACTGCTCTGCTTATAGTATATAACTTAATTCTCTCAAACCACCTCTCCCGATGAGAAGGCAATTTTAACCTATTTGACAAATCCTTGGACCAAGTTGAAACATGACATGTGTATATGAAATACTGTACATTTTCCAGAATCAGAAATACATGCTTTGCACACAGGTAAGAATTTTATTAACAGCAGTAGGAAGGGAACTTGCAGGGATGTGAATTAGTAAATTTATATTCTTTAGTTTCCTTTTAAAAATATTTTTAGGCCAGGTGTGGTGGCTCACGCCTGTAATCCCAGCACTTTGGGAGGCCAAGGTGGGCGGATCACGAGGTCAGGAGATTGAGACCATCCTGGCGAACATGGTGAAACCCCTTCTCTACTAAAAATACAAAAAATTAACCAGGCATGGTGGCGGGCACCTGTAGTCCCAGCTACTCGGGAGGCTGAGGCAGGAGAATGGCATGAACCCAGGAGGCGGAGCTTGCAGTGAGCCGAGGTCGTGCCACTGCACTCCAGCCTGGGCAACATAGCGAGACTCCGTCTCAAAAAAAAAGAAATGTTTTAAATGACTTATATTTGCTAATTTGCATTTTCTTTCTTTCTTTTTTTTTTTTTTTGAGATAGAGTCTCGCTCTGTCACCAAGGCTAGAGTGAAGTGGCGCCATCTCAGCTCACTGCAACCTCTGCCTCCCAGGTTCAAGCAATTCTCCTGTCTCAGCCTCCCAAGTAGCTGAGACTATAGGCGCATGCCACCATGCCCACCTAATTTTTGTATTTTTAGTAGAGGCAGGATTTCACCATATTGGTCAGGCTGGTCTCGAACTCTTGACCTCAGGTGATCCACCTGCTACAGCCTCCCAAAATGCTGGGATTACAGGCGTTAGCCACCGCACCCAGCCCTAATTTGCATTTTCTAAAGTCCTGAATCATACAGTAGTCCTCACTTGTGCAAACCCTCCTCATTCAGTTCATACAAGCTAAGTTGCTGCTTGTGATTTAACAGAGACATCTCCTTCCAACTGTGTCATTCTGGGCCATAAATAATTCAGAAGTACGGGCAATTACATAGAATCTTGATCTTAGTATTATAATTTCAATTAAATTAGCAAGATAGATTTTTTCTTTGATTTTTACATCATTTTCTGATTCTCTTAGTGACATACGATCAGCCCCCTGTATCTGAGGGTTCCACATCCAGGGATTCAACCAATCAAGGATCAAAAATATTTGGAGGCTGGGGGCAGTGGCTCATGCCTGTAATCCCAGCACTTTGGGAGGCTGAGGCAGGAGGATGGCTTCATCTCAGGAGTTTGAGACCAGCCCGGGCAACATAGGGAGACCCTGTCTATACAAAAATAAAAATAAATTAACCTGGTGTGGCGGTGAATTGCTGTGGTCCCAGCTACTTGGGAGGCTGAGGATCACTAGAGCCTGAGAGGTTGAGGCTGCAGTGAGCCATGATCATGCCACTGCACTCTAGCCTGGGCCACAGAGGGGGCCCCTGTCTCAAAAAAAAAAAAAAAAAGCTCTGAAAAAGTAATAATACGACAATAAAAAAAACAAAAAAAATAGCATAACCACTATCTACATAGTATTTACATTGCATTAGGTATTATAAGTAATATAGAGATGACTTAATGTATAATGGAGATGTGCCTCGGTTATATGCAAATACTAGGCCATTTTTTTTTTCTTTCTTTTTTTTTTTCTTTTGAGACAGGGTATTGCTCTGTTGCCCTGGCTGGAGTGCAGTGCTCATTCCAGCTCACTGTAACCTCAAACCCATGTGCTCAAGGGATCCTCCTGCCTCAGCCTCCCCAGTAGCTGGGGCAACAGGCACATGCCACCATGCCTGGCTAATTTTTAATTTTTTTGTAGAGAGCCTTGTTTCCCAAGCTGCTGCACTATTTTCTATAAGGGACTTGAGTATCTGGAGATTTTGGTCTTCATGGGGGTCCTGGAACCAATCCCTCATGGATGCGTGAGGGATGACTGTATATCATACACACATAAAGTTTACTGGCTTCTGCAAACAAATTTTGAGCCCATTAACCAACCAGCCTGGTCAACGAATGTACATCTAAAGTAAGATATATACGTGCTAAAATTGTTTTTAACTAAAAATGCCATATGTAGTGTAGAAATGAAAACTAGACACTATTTCATTCGCATCCATTGAGATAATAGTGGTGAGCACTTAGGATAAGCACCAGGCTTGACTTGCTGCTCTTGTCACTTGTCCTTGGAAATTTAGGCTCTATTACACCACCAACTCTCAAATCATTTCCCTGTTGTAGAGCTAAACTTGACGTCCTACAGAATTTCTCTAACTTAACATGTTGAGTCTCTGAGAGTGCAAAACTTGAAACAAGAGAAAGTGGCCTGCCTGGCATCCTCTGCTTATTGAATGGTTTTATTTAATTCTCCTTTACATTGCCACCTTAACAATCCTTCCAGCTACGTATCTTAAAGGATGTGATGGAGAAGTTATCAACTGGTGTTTTCAGGTACGCTAAAGTAACCAAATCATTGTTCTTGTTTGTTTTTCTATTTTCAGGGAGCTAAGGCAGGCAGTCCCACTTTTGTTTTAGCTCTCGCCATGTACCTGTTGCCTCCATATTTTATTATTAGGTTGGTGCAAACATAATTGTGGTTTTTGCCATTGAAAGTAATGGCAAAAACTGCATTTACTTTTGCACTGATCTTATATTTCGTTTAAATAGCTGCTCTTTAATATTTATCAAAGTGTATCTGGTGGTACACCAGTAGGTACTCGCAGAGATAGAAGTGGCTTGTGAGTTTTCCTCACTCCATTATGTAGTGTACCTCACCCTTTGCTTTTCCTCATCACCCCTCCCAAAGCAACTTGAAGTAACCAATAGCTTGAAGGAGAGAAAACCATGGTATATTTGTTTAAAGTTGAATATGTTTATCAGTTATAAAAGAGGGAGTAGGCCAGGCGTGGTGGCTCACGCCTGTAATCCCAGCACTTTGGGAGGCTGAAGTGGGTGAATCACCTGAGATCAGGAGTTCGAGACCAGCCTGGCCAACATGGCAAAACACTGTCTCTACTAAAAAATAGAAAAATTCGCTGAGCGTGGTGGCGAACGCCCATAATCCCAGCTACTGGGAGGCTGGGGCAGGAGAATTGCTTGAACCTGGGAGGTGAAGGTTGCAGTGAGCCGAGATCACACCATTGCACTCCAGCCTGGGCAACAAGAGAAACTCCGTCTCAGAAAAAAAGAGGGAGTAAATAAAGTAGATAATTTTTTTCCTTCAAAACTTAACCACTTTTAACATTGGAAACACTAATGGACGAATTTGTTTGAATTACTTAAAGTAATAGATTTGAGGCCGGGTGCAGTGGCTCATGCCTGTAATCCCAGCACTTTGGGAGGCTAAGGTGGGTGGATCACTTGAGGCTAGGAGTTCAAGACCAGCCTGGCCAACATGGTGAAACCCATCTCTACTAAAAATACAAAAATTAGCCAGGCTTGATGGTGCATGCCTGTAATCCCAGCTACTCAGGAGGCTGAAGTATGAGAATTGCTTGAACCCGGGAGCCGGAGGTTGCAGTGAGCTGAGATCGTGCCACTGCACTCCAGCCTGGATGAGAGAGCCAGACTCTGTCTCAAAAAATTAATTAATACACTAATAGATTTGAGCACTAGCATTTGTCATATACCACCCTGTTTGTTCTACTTATCTTTAACTAGACCTGACATTTCTAATTTCATTCCTTCTCAGACCTCAGTTGGATGAACCCATTCCACTGTATGAGGCAAAAGTTTCCATGGAAGCTGTTCAGAAAAATCAAGGAAGAAAAAAGCAAGTTGTTCAATTTTAATTTTCTTCTTTCTCAGACCTCAGTCGGATGAACATATTCCAGTATTTGAAGCCAGAATTTTCTTTGGAAATTGTTGAGAAAAACCAAGGAAGATAAAACAAGTTGCATTTTTAAGCACGTTTCTCTGCTAAGACAAGATGCTCAGTTGACACATTTGAAAAGTGTTTGAAAAATTCTTGTGCAAATGATCAAGATAATTCTATAATTAACATCTTAAGGGAATTTTTCTAAAAACCTTTTCATTGTTTCTATATATTTTGCCCCTGCTATAAAATTCCTTCCATGAAGAAAACTGCTGCTTTCAGCAAAAGTCACACTACTCTTGATAAAAGCTGTTGCAGGCCTTTGCTAAGCTATCAAAGTAACGTATTAATTTTGTATCAACTCCGTTCTCAACACCTTCCTTAAGTCTTTGCTGTCATAATTTAAGCATTTGAGTATATTTTGAAGTCTTAAAAGACTTAGCCCATAGGCACTTAAATTTTGTGTTTTCAACTATTCATTCACTCCGGCTTTCCCCAGGATCAAAGAAGATCCCATTAACTTGCCAGTGGCAGCTGCCTGGAAGTCTGAGATGACCAGGCACTGGGAACGGGGAAGGGAGGGATGTCGGTAGGCTGCGCTGGCATAGGAAGCGTGCTGACGTCTTATCTGAGTTCTCTGGGGGTTGAGGAAGGTGGCCTAGTCCCCTCTCCTCGCCTCTTGAGAGCAGTAGCCACTGCCCTCTCTTAAGTTTATGGAAGCAGCAGCCCATCGCCGCAGCTCAAGTTTGTTTCCTTTTCATCCAGGCGCCAAACCCCGGGCTGATCACATCCCTGCTGCGGGCTTAAATAGAGTTAAGCTATTTCGGTGCCCCACAGGGTAGTGCACATCAGCGCCCTGGATCGCATACTTTCCAGAAGCGTCGCTGAACCTGGCGACTGGACTCTGGCCGAGGACCTGGCAGAAGCGCCAGGGCAGGGTCACCGCTGGGACAGTGGGCGTTGACGGCCACCCGGGATCGCCGCTGCGGGCTGCGTCTCGCGGGCTGCCCACTGCGCATGCTCCGCTCGGAACCGGCGGGGGCGGAGGCGGGGCCGCGTCGGGGGCGGGAGCTCGGCGAGGCGCCACGTCAGGGGCGGGCCCGGCGCGCGCGGGAAGTCTCTGTAGGGCGGCCGGCTACCCTCAGCCGCCGCGCGTCATGGCCCTTTCGGTGCCCGGCTACTCACCGGGCTTCCGAAAGCCGCCCGAGGTAGTGCGGCTCCGACGGAAAAGGGCCCGGAGCCGTGGAGCTGCCGCCTCCCCGCCCCGTGAGCTGACGGAGCCGGCGGCCCGCCGAGCCGCCCTGGTGGCGGGGCTGCCTCTTCGCCCTTTCCCTGCTGCGGGGGGCAGAGGCGGTGGCAGCGGCGGCGGCCCGGCCGCTGCTCGGAGGAACCCCTTCGCCCGCCTGGACAACCGACCGCGGGTCGCCGCGGAGCCCCCCGACGGGCCGGCCCGCGAGCAGCCGGAGGCCCCGGTCCCGGTGAGTGTCTTGTAGCCTGGCCGCCAAGGGGCTCTTGTCTTTCGTGGGTTGAGCCAGCTGTGAATGGGGGATGGAAAGTCCTCGCGTTCGAGGCAAGGAAATGGGCGCGAAGACTTCGGCCGCCCGTGGCCTTAGGGTACCCCGCCCTGGGAGCCGCGATTCTGGCAAGGCCGGGTTTGTGGGAAGAGCGCTCCCCTGGCTACCCCGCTGCGGGCTGTGCTCACGGGACGCGTTCCCGAGGAAAGTGAGGGGGCCCCAGAGGGCAGCGAGGAGCCCCTTGGAGAGGACTTAGAGGTGACTTGGAAAAGAGCTCGAAAAACCCTGAGAGCCCCCATCTTGCAAGGACGCTGTTCGATGGGGCAGGTGACAAGCCCTGCTTCCCCCGTGATTTAGGGCCTCCCTTCTCTCACGCACTCCAAATTATTCTGGAGATGGGGGAATGTCGAGGATTCGTGGGGTCAGAATTCACTAGCATCTGTCTTACCCAAAGCCTTTTGGATCTTTCGGTTTGAAACGCCGGTCCCTGTTCCCCTCAATTTTGATACTAAAGTTCAGACACAAAACTGAAGTGTTGAAACTCATAGATTGGATGGGGTGCCTCTGAATTTAGGTGTACTTGCGTTTATTGAGAAACATGTATGCCAGGTGAGGCTCTGTACATATTTAACGCAAACTTCAGCATCCTTTAAATTTTAAAGGAGAATATATTTAACCTCAGTTTTTAGATTCTAATCAAGAAAATGATTTGCTATGGGAAGAGAAGTTTCCTGAAAGAACAACTGTTACTGAATTACCTCAGGTAATACTTTTTAAATATCATTAGAATGTGTATTTGTATAAACTTTTTTTTCATAGGATTTGAGCCTATTTTTAAAAATACATTTATACTTCTCAGAAGCATTTTGCTTGGAAAGTAGTTTTACAGAGAGGCTTGATCATCTCAACCAGGGATGAAAATACCGCATCAGCCAAGGTAAAGGAGTTGGTTTGATACAGTAATGATGACTGTAAAGATAGCCAGCGCTAAAATAGGCCTGATAGACGTGGGGGTTTTCTTTTACTCTCTAACAGTTTTTACCACTCTTCTTTGGGCAGTTGACTTCTCCAGTTCATCACTCAGAGCCAGCCCTCCTGGCCCACCTCCACAGGTTGTGGCATAGCACTGAACCTCGTTGCTCCTCTCCCCTAACACACACACGTTTCCATTCCCCAACTACTACCATTGTGCTGTGTAGTTTGATAAATGCGGTTTGTCCTAATGGGAACAGGCTAGAAGAGTTCTCCAAGACCCAGTTTCTCTTGTAAATAAGTGACCTTCTTATGGTCTATCCAAGATAGTTCCCCCTTCTCTGATATTTTATTGTGATATAAAAGAATGCTTGGCCGGGCACAGTGGCTCATGTCTGTAATCCCAACACTTTGAGAGGCTGAAGCAGGCGGATCACACCTGAGGTCAGGAGTTCGCGAACAGCCTGGCCAATATGACGAAACCCCCGTCTCGACTAAAAATACAAAAAAATTAGCCAGGCGTGGTGGGGCACGCCTGTAGTCCCAGGTACTCGGGAGGACGAGGCACGAGAATCGCTTGATCCTAGGCGGCAGAGGTTGGTACTGAGCCGAGATCACACCACTTCACTCAGCCTAGGCGACAGAGGGAGACTCCGTCTCAATTTAAAAAAAAAAAAATTCTTGTATTGTGGAGAACGTCGACCTGAAGCAGACAGGTTGAGGGGAAATATTTGAAGTCAGGAAATGTTTCTTAAATATGGGCTTTGTTAGCCCTGGATGCAGAGTTTCAGAAGCTTAAAAGATCCAAAATGTTTTAACACTTGGAATATTTCTACTTCAATACAAACATCTATACTACCATAAAGAACTGTAAAAACTAAAAAGTGAAATCTGCCCCTCCACCACCCCTACCCCCAACAACAAATTCCCGCTTCCCATAGGTAACCATGGTTAAAAGTTTAGTGTGACTCCTTTCAGACTTTTTTACAGTGTGTAATGTATTTTTCATGTTATTTATTATACAGCTTATATGATTTTTACTTTTCAGTGATCATGTTAGCTGATAAAATCTTTAGGTTGAAGGTTTTTTCTTGATACTCGACTAATTTTTGCATTCTTTGTTTTCTAAAGACTTCACATGTATCATTCTCCGAGCCTGATATTCCGTCCTCAAAAAGTACTGAGTTACCTGTGGACTGGAGTATTAAAACGCGACTCCTTTTCACCTCTTCTCAACCCTTTACCTGGGCAGATCATTTGAAAGCACAGGAAGAAGCTCAAGGTCTTGTCCAGCATTGTAGGGCAACAGAAGTTACTTTGCCTAAAAGTATACAGGTAACTCTGAAATAAAATAGTTATGTGTTAAAGTAACAAATTAAGTGTGAAATGCTCTCCTTTGCAAAATAGCAGATGCTGCCTTCCATTAAGTTTTTCTTTGGAAATTTAAAGATACAAAGACAGGAAGTTTTGTCTTTCCCAGATGGTGCTTATGGTGCTTTCATACCTTTTTTTTTTTTAAGTCAGATTGAGTAACTGCTCATACATTTAGAGACTTGTCTTGCAAATTAATCAGTGTTGCAGGCAAGAATTGTTAAATTATTTTTCTCTAAGGCTTTTTGAGAAAGAAAATACAAAGAAAGAAGTGAAAAGCAATTGGGTGGGATTGCAAGGGCTGATGGATTTACAGATTTTCTTACCTGTATAAGAAAAATTTTATGAATTTTGTGGAGTTTGTGAGTTCTAGAATGGTTTTAGAGATATACATTTTGATTATTTTAAAGCATCAACTCAAAACTAGGAGGCTGGGCACAATAGCCCATGCCTGTAATCTCAGCATTTTGGGGGCTGAGGTGGGGGGATTGCTTGAGACCAGCCTGAGTAACGTAGTGAGACCCCATCTCTACAAAAAAAAAAAAAAAAAAAAATTAGCTGAGCATGGTGGTGGGTGCCTGTAGTCCCAGCTACTTGGGAGGCTCAGGTAGGAGGATTGTTTAAGCCCAGGAGGTCAAGACTGCAGTGAGCTCTGATTGTGCCACTGTACTCTAGCCTCAGTGACAGAGTGAGACTATCTTAAAAAAATTTTTTTAAAGTCTCAAACTAGGTTAAAAAGGATTACCCTGAAAAAGGTCTTGGTATATTATACATCTTTTCAATAAATAGATTAGGATGATTTGTGATTTGCCGTATCAGTGTTTACTGGCTACTTTTAAAACAGCCTTTTGGAGAGAGGGTTGGATGTAGTGTTACCTACACACACATGCCCACCCCTATTCCTCATGATAAAAAAGGTAGTCATTGTCCTTAAGGATGGTAGAAACAGGAAAATGTTCCCATCTATGTTTAAATGTTCTGATACTACGGCTTACCATTACATCTGGCTCAAATAAGGATAAACTATGTTTTCGTTCCTATAACAATTATTAATGCTTTCCTATAGAAAGCAATAAAGATTCTTAGACCTAAGTGTTTGGTAAAGATTGTCTTTAATAAAATTCTCTATTTCTCAATGGGCAAAAACTGCCCACTGTCACCTTTGGATTTTAGGATCCCAAACTCTCCTCTGAGCTCCGTTGTACCTTCCAGCAGAGCCTTATCTATTGGCTCCACCCTGCTTTGTCTTGGCTACCACTGTTCCCTCGTATTGGAGCTGATAGAAAAATGGCTGGAAAGACAAGTCCTTGGTCAAATGATGCAACCCTGCAGCATGTTTTAATGAGTGACTGGTAAGATTAGTAAGAGAAACTTGTATAATTCAATAGTGAATTTTATTTTAGCAGCATTCTCTATCATATTTGTGACTGGATACGTTAATGGCAGAAGGGTATCTAGATCCTTGTGAATTTTATCTGAACCTATTAATAACCAACATATAAACTGTTTACTTTTTTTTTTTTTAGCTGTTACTCATTCTTTACCCAATTGTGGTAGAATGTATATAAGTGTTGGTTAAATATATACAGACAGGCAGGCCGGGTGTGGTGGCTCACGCCTGTAATCCCAGCACTTTGGGAGGCCGAGGCAGGCGGATCACAAGGTCAGGAGATTGAGACCATCCTGGCTAACACGGTGAAACCCTGTCTCTACTAAAAATACAAAAAAAATTAGCCTGGTGTGGTGGCGGGTGCCTATAGTCACAGCTACTCGGGAGGCTGAGGCAGGAGAATGGCATGAACCTGGGAGGCAGAGCTTGCAGTGAGCCGAGATCGCGCCACTGCACTCCAGCCTGGGCGACAGAGCGAAACTCCGTCTCAAAAAAAAAAAAAAAGTATATATATATATATATATATATATATATATAAACACGCAGCCCTAATTCTTTAATGCTACTTCTTGTCAGTCTCTGCTTCCTTTTTTAGCAGCAGCTCAGAGAAAGTCAGCAGGCAATTCTCAATTAAGTTTTGTTTAAAGAAAAAATAAGTGTTTAAGTGGTATACACTATTTGTTAAAGTATTGAGAAGTCATCAGCGAGTCCTCATAACCAATTTCAGTCCTTTAAAGCTAAGTCATACGTAACCACAAAAATTAAAACCATTATCTAAAATATTTGTGTTGTGTTTTAAACCAGGTATCAAACTGAATTATTCAGAATTATAAACATTGCATTAAATGTTTAATAATACCTTAAGAAAATTTTTTTACTTCATAGGTCTGTGAGCTTTACTTCTCTATATAATTTGCTGAAGACAAAACTTTGCCCCTATTTCTACGTTTGTACCTATCAGTTTACTGTCCTGTTCCGAGCAGCAGGATTAGCTGGAAGTGACTTAATCACAGCTCTCATATCTCCAACAACTCGAGGTTTAAGAGAAGCTATGAGAAATGAAGGTAAAAGTTTAGGTTTAAAGTGAGAATACTATACTATATAGTAAACCTATTTTGGCCTAAAAGCTATTTAAATTTAAAATGCCTTTTACCAGTTGATTAGCAACATTAAGAAATATATTATTTCTTTATTTCTGGCTTTTTTTCCCTCCCCCACAATTATTTAATCCAGCAGTCCGCAAACTTTTTGGCACTAGGGATCAGTTTCATGGGCAGTGAGGAGGATGGTTTCGGGATGAAACTGTTACACATCAGATGATCATTCTTTTTTTTTTTTTTTTTTTTTTTTTGAGATGGAGACTCGCTCTGTCACCCAGGCTAGAATGCAGTGGTGCAATCTCGGCTCACTGCAAGCTCCGCCTCCTGGGTTCAGGCCATTCTCCTGCCTCAGCCTCCCGAGTAGCTGGGACTACAGGTGCCTGCAACCATGCCCGGCTAATTTTTTGTATTTTTAGTAGAGACGGGGTTTCACCGTGTTAGCCAGGACGATCTCGATCTCCTGACCTCGTGATCCGCCCGCCTCGGCCTCCCAAAGTGCTGGGCTTACAGGCGTGAGCCACCGCGCCCGGACAAGATCATCATTCTTATAAGGAGGGCACAACCTAGATGCCTCACATGCACAGTTCACAGTAGGATTCGTGCCCCTGTGAGAATCTAATGCGACCACTGATGTGACAGGAGATGGAGCTCAGGCAGTAATGTTCACTCGACAGTCGCTCACCTCCTGCTGTGCAGCCCGGTTTCTAACAGGCCACAGGCCAGTACCAGTCCACAGTCCAGGGGTTGGGGACTCCTGATTTAAACTGTTCCTTCCACATAGTGTTCTCTGATCTCTAAAATAAAACACATATTGGGCCAGATAGTCACTATCTGAATATACTCTTCTAGAAATTCTTCTATAGTACCAATTACCCCTTTAATAACAAAATTTTCAAACTGAGTAAACCCATTAGTGGATCATGAAATCTACTTAATGGGCCCAATCAGTACTTTTTCAAAAAGTGAACTGGAATACAATATGATTTATGAAAGAGTGTTACATGTATGTGTTGTTTCCCGAACCTCTTTCAAGGAGAATACGTTTTATGCATGTTTGTAGGTTTGTGAAGAAAGCTTGAAAACTCTACTGCCTTAATAGATCATTTGTAAAAACTAACATTTCAAATTTTTTACACTCTAAAAGTACAGCATGCCTGTTAAATACTTTAAATGACAACTCAGTTACATTTTTGTTCCTCATATAGGTATTGAATTTTCTCTGCCTTTAATAAAAGAAAGTGGCCATAAGAAGGAGACAGCATCTGGAACAAGCTTGGGATATGGGGAGTATGTGATTAAAATAACTTTATATCATCCACTGACTTATGGACTCATGAAATAGATTTGCACAGGAACAGCTTGTGAAATAGGGACTCTAACTGTAGCAATTTCCTAGGGAGCAAGCCATCAGTGATGAGGATGAAGAGGAAAGTTTTTCCTGGCTGGAAGAGATGGGTGTGCAAGATAAAATTAAAAAGCCAGACATACTTTCTATCAAGCTGTATCCTTTCAGTTGTTGTTAACTAGAATTAATTTTCATTGAATGACGTTAGTGAGAAGTTTAACATTGGCAGTTTTATATGATTATAATCTTAAATTATCTTCAGGTCATATTAAAACTAATTCTCCATTGTAATACTAAATAAGCCCCTAAGTATCAACAAATGGTGAACTATTAAACCTTTTTTAATCAAAACGTTCAATTATGATTGTGGGAGAATAGGTGTGTTTTGACTAGAGAAGAAATTAGGTTTAGGTGTCAGTTTGTAGCAAATTCAGATTGTTAACATTTTGATTGAAACATATGCCTTATGATTCGGTAAAGAGAGGTAGCAAGAGGATTTCCATTTCATTATGGAGAAAAGGAGTCTCAGGTGATTCAGAATCAAGATAACTGCTTTCCACATTAGGTGAGATTTGCTTTTGCAATTTCCTTGATTGTCATCTTCAGGCGTAAAGAGAAACATGAAGTACAAATGGATCACAGACCTGAATCTGTTGTGTTGGTAAAAGGAATCAACACCTTTACATTGCTCAATTTTTTGATTAACTCTAAGAGTTTAGTTGCTACCTCAGGTCCACAGGCAGGACTTCCTCCAACCCTCTTGTCCCCTGTTGCTTTCCGAGGTGCCACAATGCAAATGCTTAAGGTAATAAAAGTCTGCATAACCTAGCTTTTAAGAAGTACTTTACTTTGATAGGATAAATTCTTGATTTAAAAAAAAACCTCCTAGCATTTTTACTTGGTACATATTTTCATTTTGCTTTCCTCCCATTAAAAAAAGAAACAAAAATTATATAAGACAGTTATATCAAAGAAATTATGTGGAAATATATAAATTATATGAAATCCTTTTTATTTTCTTTTCGAGATGGAGTCTTGCGCTGCTATCCAGGCTGAATGGAGTGCAGTGGCGTGATCTCAACTCACTGCAACCCCTGCCTCCCGGGTTCAAGTGATTCTCGCGCCATGCCTCAGCCTCTTGAGTAGCTGGGATTACAAGCACACACCACCAAGCCTAGCTATTTTTTTTGTTTTTTTTTTTCTTGTTTGTTTTTGTTTGTTTGTTTTAAGAGGGAGTCCCACTCTGTCACCGGCTGCAGTGCAGTGGTGCGATCTCGGCTCACTGCAGCCTCCAACTCTGGGGTTCAAGCGATTCTTCTGCCTCAGCCTCTCGAGTAGCTGGGGTTACAGGTGGGCACCACCACGCCCAGCTAATTTTTGTATTTTTAGTATAGACGGAGTTTCACCATATTGGCCAGGCTGGTCTTGAACTCCTGGCCTCTTTTTAAATTATACGAACATTTATTTTCTTTTTTTGGTTGGGGAGACAGGGTCTTGCTGTAGTGCAGTGGCACAGCTCACTGCAGCCTCAACCATGTGGGCTCAAGTGAAATTCCTGCCTCAGCCTCTCGAGTATCGGACCACAGGACTGCCATGCCCTGCTTTTTTTTTTTTTTTTTTTTTTTTTTTTTTTTTTTTTTTTTGAGGTGGAATCTCACTCTCACCCAGGCGTGTGCCACCACGCCTGGCTAATTTTTTTTTTTTTTTGTATTTTTTGTAGAGACGGGTTTTCACCATGTTGGTCAGGGTGGTCTCGAACTCCTGACCTCATGATCTGCCCTCGGCCTCCCAAAGTGCTGGGATTACAGGCATGAGCCACTGCACCTGGCCGCCCTGCATTCATTCATTCATTCATTCATTCATTCATCTATCTATTTAGAGACGGAGTCTTGCTCTGTCACCCAGGCTGGAGAGCAGTGGCTCAATTTTGGCTCACTGCAAACTCTGCCTAACGGGCTCAAGCGATTCTTCAACCTCTGCCTCTGGGGCTCAGGTGATTCTTCTGCCTTAGCTTCCCAAGTAGCTGGGACTATAGGCTCACACCACCATGCCTGGCTAATTTTTTTGTATTTTTAATAGAGACGAGGTTTCACCATGTTGGCCAGGCTGGTCTTGAACTCCTGACCTCAAGTGATCTGCCCACCTTGGCCTCCCAAAGTGCTGGGATTATAATCATAATAAATTATATATGTAAATACAAAATACATGCTAAATCTTAGCAATAAAATTGAATGGATTTTAAATTTTTGTTTTTCCAATAGTCTGCATTGACAGTGTATTACTAAATCAGATAAAATACTATATGAAAAAATGGTATTCTCTGGAATATACTTCACCTGAAAATCTCTTAATATGGAAAGGTTGCTGAAAATTTACTAAGTATTTGTACTCACATAACATTGTTTAGATGTCTTGGGAAATAGTTTTATTCCATAATTGTTAAAAGAGAGGAAACCCCAAATGGAAATATATTGAACATATTTTTGGCTAGGCAAAAGGTTGAGAGATGATCTTAATTTTCCTTTTCTTTACATTTTCATGAAGGCACGGAGTGTGAATGTGAAGACACAAGCTCTTTCTGGATACAGAGACCAATTTAGTTTGGAGATTACAGGTCCTATCATGCCTCATTCTCTGCATTCACTGACCATGCTGCTCAAATCTTCACAGAGTGGATCTTTCTCTGCAGTACTGTATCCACACGAGCCAACTGCTGTATTTAACATCTGCCTGCAAATGGACAAAGTACTTGATATGGTAAGTAGACACCTATGAGCAGACTGTTTTAGTTGTAGTTTCCTCAAACTAGCTGGAGGGAAATTGAGTCATTTATGCTGAGTCACTATTGTGTTTCAAGTAATTAAACTGTTACTTAATTATGAATTACTAGAGGAAGGAATAATGTCTGTAAGTTGTTTATGTGAGGTAGCTTTCATGAATTCAGTCCAAGTACAATTTTTTTTTTTTTTTGAGATGGAGTCTTGCTGTTGCCCGGGCTGGAGTGCAGCGGCGCGAGTCTCGGCTCACTGCAGCCTTAGCCTCCTGGGTTCAAACAGTTCTCCTGCCTCAGCCTCCCAAGTAGCTGAGATTACAGGCATGTGCCACCACATCTGGCTATTTTTTGTATCTTTATTAGAGACGGGGGTTTCACCATGTTGGCCAGGCTGGTCTTGAACTCCTGACTTCAGGTGATCTGCCCACCTTGGCCTCCCAAAATGTTGGGATTACAGGCTTGAGCCACGGCACCCGGCCTCAGTCCAAATAGTTTTAACAGTGACTGAAGAACTTCCCATTCCAAAAAGGGGCAGCTTTTTCATTTCCTCTTGCATCCAAAACTCAATAGTACCTGATTCCTTTATAGTTTAAGGAAACAATTCACTGTGGGTATTTAACCATATTTGCCTTTAATTTTGAACATACTTAAGGTTTTTAGAGTTAGAATTAAGACCTTTAAAATTGTCTCATGCATCTCAGTTGGCTAGACTTATAACCATTAATATTTTGGGATTTTGTCACTACAAAAATTCTTAGCATCAACTTCTATTAATAGGATGAATCACATTAATCAGCCATTTATTTGTCAGTCTCCATAGTAATTATTTAACTCTTCTGTGTTTAAAGACTAATGTGCTTTTTACTGACTTGTACACACATTTCCACAGGAGGTTGTTCATAAGGAGCTTACTAACTGTGGTTTGCACCCTAACACTCTGGAGCAACTTAGTCAAATACCGTTACTTGGGAAATCATCTTTACGGAATGTGGTGCTGAGAGACTACATTTATAATTGGAGATCCTGAACACCAAAGTAAGCCTAAAAGGAATCTTTGAGGAAAAAAGCCTTCTAGCAAGGAAATTCAAGATTCTTGAAGTTGAAGGAATATACTGAAATGTTTATAAACATAACTTTTACTACAGTAGCATCTAAGGTTTTAAATGTGTTTTACTATTTTCAGATTAGATTTTTAGATATAAAGATGAAAAACTCAGATAACTCAAATGAGATATCTATATCCCTACAACCTAATTGTATATTGAGCAGAAACTGAATTAATATGCTTCCTTGCAAATGGGAAATCACATAGCAGTTACCCCATGGCATTGTGACTAATGGCATCAGGGCAAAAATATGTTACTTTACGATTTACCTGTTAGCAGGTTCTTGTTTCATAAAGGTAGAAAATAAATACAGACAACATCTACTGAGCTAGTTGATTGGTGATGCTTCTACCTTAATATCTTTCCTACTGATTTATAATTCCTTTATTTTCACATATACTAAAACTTTTTAAATGCATGTTAATTCAGATAAAAAGGCATTTTGTATTCCACATAGAATAGTGTTAAGAATTGTGAAGTACACTGAGCTGTCACGGCAAAGTAGTATTTAATGTGCTTATAGGGGTGTGTGTGTGTGTGTGTGTGTGTGTGTGTGTGTGTGTGTGTGTGTGTGTGTGTGTGTGTGTGTGTGTGTGTGTGTGTGTGTGTGTGTGTGTGTGTGTAGGGGGGGACTGTATAATTCACATTTTTAAAATAAAAGTGCTTAAAAATCAAAAGCATTGGGTAAAGAAATAATAGTATCTAAGTATTTGTTCACTTTATAACCCAGAAAATAAAACACCACGTTTATTCCAGAGAAGTTTGTATTTGGGCCTTAAGCTTTTGAAAATAAAGTTTAGAGACATAGCATATGAATACCACTGTAATACACATGAAATATTCTATCAGACCCTAAAAATTAACATAAACTTTTAACTTTCTCATAGTCAACAAAATAGTGGCTGGTTGCCAATTTTATTAGATAAGTTGGTTACAGCATTTTAATTATCATTTTACGTCTATCTAGGTGTAGCTGAAATTCAAAATGCACATCAAAGTAAAACTATATCACAACTCAATGCCATACTAAATGTACTGGCCTCTGCAATAGAATTCTAGTCAGACTTCATTTTTTACTCCCTTCTTATGACCCAAGTGGCTTTAACAGGAATGCAGGACTTAGTGCTGATCATCACACAACATACCACTTTCTTTTTAGAACCTCTACAAAATTTTGAGGGGAGATGGTGGCATTAGCCCTGTGGAACAGATCTTGATCACCTCAATAACACTGGCCCATTATCTGTCCAGCAGAACCCATTGTGAAATAGTACAAGGTGCACAGCCCTTCACTGATTACAGGCAAGTGTTACAGTAGCCTAGCCATAAGGAAGGGGAGTTACATCATAGTACAAAATACAGTATAAAAGCGTTATTTAACATTCCACACTGAAGATTACTCTGATGCCTTCAAACAGTCGTTTGGATGTTAGCCACTTAAACAAATACATCACTAAGGTAAACAATATAAACATACCAAAACCCTGTATGGTTAAATACAATTTCCATGGTACAAAAATCAAAGCCTGGAGATGTTTTTACAGATTGCTTTTTACACAATGTCTTAAATTGCCAAATATTTACAACATTAAAGAGGAAATACATTGTGATGCAGAGTAAAATTCTGAAATGATTATTATAAAACCTCAATCTATCTACGTGAGGCACTCCTGAAGCAAGTGGCATTAGCCATGAGGTCCTTTGGTACAAGGCCCATTGCTTGAAGAACCACAGTAGCTGCTGTGGCTTTAGCATGCTTCTTATTAGGGCTGGCAAAGCTGGGCTGGTAAGCGCTTCCATTTATCAATACCTATTCAAGAAAAACATACAATTGGGTCTGGTAAGGGCTCCATTTCTCAATACCTATTCAAGAAAAACATACAATAAGAACAGCATCAAACTTTAATATCTATTAGCTTTGTATTTTTTCACTAAATGCTAGAAAAATAATTTACAAAAATATAAAACCCATACTATGTAAGTCAAATTATAATCTCAACCCGAAGAACCAAATCATTTGGGAAAGGGACTGCAAATTAGAGCAGGTCTCCAAATTGAGAAAAAGACTGACAAAAGTATTAAATTAATTCCCCACATTCAACTAGAAAATAACAATTGTATACTATATTTTACCCTTTTCCAATTTTTTAAAAAATAGGACATTGACAAGTCGTATTAAAGCACCCTTCAGTGTTTAAAAACCCCACCACTTAACTACAAATACAAACCCCCCACCCATGAACAGAATCTTAATCCTGTGATCATGTTTACCCCTCACCCTCTAAGTCATCACATTAATAAATATATATAATTAATGCAGAAATTCATATTTACCCTAAAGAGAAAATGTTTGCGATGATCAGGGCCACTATCATGGACCAATAGAAATTCAGGTGGTTGCCACCTTCTTTTATTACAGATCTCCATCAAAGCAGACACAGGATGTTTGCCTGCAGGGGGGAGAAATACCCAGTTTTAAATTATTTCCACCAACTTCTGCAACAAATAATGAATTCAAGGTGGGATTAGGGTAAGAGGAAATTCAAAAACGTGCTCTCACCTGACAGATCTTTCATTGCAGCAGAGAAGTTCCCAGACCTCTTTTGTGCTCTTTCTCCTACTGCAACAAGACCTTTAAAAAAAAATTGTTCACTAAATAAATTTCAAAGCACCACTTTAAAACAAAGATCCCTCTGTAGGAGTCTGAACCTCAAAATGTATGCCTTCAAATAAAATCAGCAGATTCCTAGTACACTCGATTTCTCTATCAATCTTCTCTTTCTTCTCTTTTACTGTTTTTCAGCATATAAATTTATATTTAATATTCATAGATCTTGGTATGAGAAATTGTAATAAATACCAAATGTAAACAGAAAACAAAAAGTTAAGTATGGCCAGGCACAGTGGCTCATGCCTGTAATCCCAGCACTTTGGGAGGCCGAGGCGGGTGGATCTCCTGAGGTCAAGAGTCTGAGACCAGCCTGGCCAACATGGTGAAACCCCGTCTCTACTAAAGAAACAAAAATTAGCCGGGCGTGGTGGTGCGCGCCTGTAATCCCAGCTACTCGGGAGGCTGGGGCAGGAGAATCGCTTGAACCTGGAAGCGAAGGTTGCAGTGAGTAAAGATCGTGCCACTGACAGCCTGGGCAACGAGCAAAACTCCATCTCAAAAAAAGAAAAAAAATAGCTTATTGCCAAGTGATTTCTGCAGATTTACTGTCTCTTAAAAAAATAAGCTTCAGTTAAGACTCTTCCAAAAAAGGTTAGGATTTTAAGCCACCAAAAAGGTGAAAACGGTTGTCTCCAAATAAAATAGGTCCCTTTTTTCCTAGCAAACTCTCCTCTCCCTTCCTAACAAATGGGAGATGTTCTCAAAATATGAACATAACCTTTCTACATAACCTCTCTCTCCATAGACTTATTACAAAGGGGATTAGCTACATTGCTAAACCCAAACACTGCTTTCCCAATTCATATACAGGTTGAGTATTCCTTATCCAAAATGCTTGGGACCAGAAGTGTGTCGGTTGATTCCAGGTTTTCAAATATTTGCATTGTATTTAGCGGTCAAGCATCCCAAATCTGAAGAGGCTGAAATCCAAAATGCACCAATGAGTATTTCCTTTGAGCATCATATCAGTATTCAAAAAGTTTTCTGTTTTAAAGCATTTCAGGTTTCCAGATGTGGGATGCTCATCCTGTATGTTACAGGAAATTTTTCAACCTTTGCTAAATAATTCCATGCTAATATAAGCTTTTCTAAACCTATCCTGGGAAATCTGTGGTTCTCTGAGAGCTTACAGTCAGGCCATGTCCCACAATTCCAAGGACAATGCTTCCTGAAATTGTACAATACTTAACATCAAAGTATTTGGTGCAGAGCTAGTTCATTTCCAAATTCATTAAGACAGTTTAACTATTGAAGTTAGCTTCAACTTACTGTTTGATTACAAAGATGAAAATAAATCCCAGTTTTACATTTGTCAGCTTTTATAAATGAGGTTTAAACAAGCTATACAAAAATCATACTGAGCTGGCAAGCCTCTCATGATTCCACTTACATTATTCCAAGGGAAGAAGTTATTTAAAAGACGCCAATTAGCTATCATCTGTGGGAATGATTAAATACTTAGCAACTACATACAAGCTACATAGAAGACACAGTGCTGCCCTGCCCAGGTATCTGAAGGTAAAAGGAAAATACAGTCAATGCTAACAGTTCCAAGATGCCTTAACACAAGGCAACAGGAAGAAGTAACATTATTGTCAGCAGCTGGTCTACTATACTCTAACCCAACTTAACTACTGAGCTTGGAAGAAAAAAGCAAACAGGGTTTATGAAATCTAGACTAAACCAGTATTGTAATAGGAAATAATGAAGATGTGCTAAAATATCTAACAAAAAATAAACTAAACTCTAGAAAAAAGGATGGTTCCTTGTCAAGAGAAAATAAAATGGAAATCCTGTTTTCTAAACATGAAATCCAGTTGAATTTGGAGGTGTAATAATAAAATTAGATATATACACATTTCCATATTTAGCAACTAGCATAACAAAAGGTGCCTTTTAAAAGTTCAAACTGGTGTCTCTATCCATAGTTATATAAAAATAAGCTGCTCTGTGAACCCCAAAAGGGGTTAATGTTTTTTCTGACAAATACCTGTATATATACAAGAAGTGCCTTCAGTTCAGTATCACTGGGTTCAAAAGGATATATTAAAGGTAATGTTAAAGGAGACGTTAATAAACATTCCAAAAAAGAACTTGTTACCTTTTCGGTCTGTCTTAAAATCAACTAGGATGGGTTCCTTATTGCCTTCTTTGTTTTTTCCTAATCCTTCTCCTTCTCTCCAGCCCATTTTTCTCATCAAAACGGCTCCCATTCCTCCAGTTACCGGGGCTGCTCTTAAGAACTGATCCTATCCAAAGAAAGAAAGGTAAAATGTCCCCATTTTACAGTTAGAACTTGGTGACAGATTCATTGTTTACTTTCTAAAAAGAGGAATCTTACTTTACTTCTAGATCTGTTATAGCAATTAAATGTAAATTCCTCTATACTTTATACATACTGTAGTGTGTATGTTCTGATTATTTGCACATTAACGTAATAGTATTTTGGAAGTCAAATAAGACAAGTAAATGGCAGTTTTGAAACAGTAGCCCTCGTGCCCCCCTCAAAAAAAAAAAATTAGAACACTCCTGTTTTCGTCCACTATTTAGGTTCACTGGTATCTCTTCTTAGCTTGCAAAATAAAAAGAAGGCAATGTTAAAACAATCAATGATATTAATTGTCCCAGGTGTACCTAGTTTATGAATAAAGCCCAGAAATCACTTAGAAATAGTTTAGACACTGAAGAAGCATACTGTTGTCATCCAAAGTTTTCTTCCCCATTCTACTATAAAGCAAGTATAAATATTTTACTTAGAAAATCCCTAAAGCAGAAAAAAAAAAAAAAACTCTTGAAATTTACACAGTAACAAATAGAAAACAATCACATAAAATATCCTGTAAGTATGCCAAAATGAATTTGAATTCTTTTAAAACCTAGCTTGATGTTAAAAGACTTTTAAAAAACTCCTTAAATGTTTACATACCTAGGCCTCGGTAGCAGCAGTGTTGTGAATAGTACGGCTGGCACTGACCGGGGCAAGAAGACAGCTACAAGGATTTGGCCCTGAAACAAGTTTCCATACAGAGGGGTGAAAGTTCACAGGTTATTCTGTGAACAGTCATCTCTCTTGTATCCAACCCACTGAACCATAATTTCCATCAAAGCAGCAAACCACTTAATGTCCTAAGATGCACAAGTATATATACATTAGCATGGTCAACAGTTATTTTTACAGGTTAAGAAATATTCAATGCCTCTTATTAAAGGGCATCCATGTACATATAGCAAACAGTATTAAGTTGTACTGTTGATCTTTATGGTCATTTTTTAAAAATTTGAAACATATCTCCAAATCATGCTTTATTTTCCCCTTGTTACTAAATTTTAGGTTTTTATGTTCTCTTACCAAATATATATATATATATATATATAAATATATAATATAGCAAAAGTCATTAACTTATCAACAGAGAGAGTAAAAAAACTTCAGTAGCTCAGGAAATAGTATGCACATCTCCTATATTGATAAGTTAATACTGAATGTAAAAAAGAAATGTTTGTATGCAGTAGTAAAACTGTATCTATCATCTTTTGTTTCCCAGCTTTGTAATTAAATGCTGGGGAGAAAACATGCCAATGACGTGTGACTAGACATTAAGTTCATCAAGGTGCTCTGATGGAAGGAGGCAGCTGTGGAGGTAAAAACATACCCCTGGTTCAGTTCCTTATTTGGTGCAGGCCATGCAGTGTAGATGTATAAAGAGAAAGCTGATGCTTGGATATTAACTGCCTTGATGCTACACACCTAGAATGTCTTTTACTTACTTCCAGGTTCATCCGTCCCTCTTTTCCAGGGAACACGCCTAAAAAAAAGGGCAACTGTGCAGAGTACAATATAAATCCCCAAATAACCCAGGTTTCCAATTTTGTTTCCATTCCCTAGTATCATCATCTGTTTCTTTACCCCAGTGTGAAAAAGCTGATTAATTTAATGAGACCACAATAACAAACTGTATTTATCAGGTCACATCCAAATCATTCCATTCTAGAAATAAAATTTCTTTTAAACGAACTACTTTAAATGTTTTACTGATTAATGAGACTACTGATAAAACTTTGCTTTTTTTGTAATCTAAAAATACACTGCAACAAACTAAAAAGAACACGGAGGATGTTGGTATTCCATGTGTTTTTTAACACATAAGGCAGATGCTGGACTATACTAAAGAAGAGCCAAAATGATCGTTTGACAGGTTTTCTAAACACAACTAAACATTTAATGAGTAGACAATATTTGTGATATTTAACATGGATCATACATCCTAAATTTTCAGCTGCCTAATGACTTCTACATGTTGTGGCCCATTTTTAATTTTCAAAAGTTTCTTTTTTAGTTGATACTAGCATCAAATATTCTTCAGTAATTCTATACAAATGAATCTTTTCCTTTAAGTGCTACTTTTATCTATAATTTAAAATTTGGTCTGAACATATCTTTATCTCATAATTTATCAAAATAATTTGCTTCCCAAAGTATATCTTACATAAAATATAAAGTTGAAGCCTTTTTTCAAGGTGCTACTAAACATTTTAAAGTTATTAAAGTCTGTTAACTGCCTACAAGACTGCAAATACCAGAAGAAATTATTTTAGGGGAAAACCAATTGAGTCAGTAAAAGATTCACTTTTTAAAAGTTATTTAAGTTATTAACACATTTATAAGTATACAAACATTATGGATCAGCACATCATTAGATAAAGACCAAAATTTTGTAATGGAAGCACATTCAGAAGTTTCTACCTAGCAGTGTACATGACTCTGTATTATGTGCCTATTTTAACACCCATAAGCTTTATTTCTAACTTCCTGAAATACTGGCTGAGTACTTAGCTTCAAGACTAAATAGTATTAAAGAATTAAAACTAAAGAAATAGATGTACATTTATAGTTCTTCCAAAGATGAAAGACATTTTTTCAAATATTATATAAATCACTTTCATAGTAACTATAATATAGAAGTCCAAGATTAATCCAATCTTTAAAATATTTTGCTATATACATTTTCACCCTTTATTCTAACACCAACCCTCAGCAAACTGCAGAAATTGTAATTTCTTAATGAATCTAACTGTGTACTCACTATACACATCAGTGCAACTACTTCCCAAAAAAAGGCAGGCATAATGAGTATACATGATGTTTCATATTAATTTGTTAGTAAGATCAACAAAGATAAAGCTATCAAAATTGAAATAAATGTTACAAGATTAAAATACACAAAGCAACCAATGTCTCATTTTTCAGAAATTCAGCTCATTCACTGGCACTCATAGCAACTCTCTATAGGTAACCATCACGTTACTGATTACCACTAGACACCTCAGAGACTTTGAAATTCCAAAGAGTTACTTGCCCATGATTACACAAGGAGTCAGGAGTACAACAGGATAAAGAAACCTTCCCAATCCATTAGACCACGCGGCCTCCCAGTTTCAGCACTGCTATGCTGCCAGTACTCCTGTAACAAATTTCCCATCACCCATCCAACCAAGCTTTGTCCCTTCACCACAACGCGTTTCTTCAGAATGCCCTTCTTAGCCACCTAAGACTCCCCCAATGATGAGGCAGCCGTAGGTGGAGTTCACAGGTCTCACTGCAGAATCTGAAACCAGATGCACCTACATCTTCGTAGCACGAGGCGTCCATTCTCTCCCTTGATTTTAGGTCTTACATATCTGTTTTGTCATGAAATTAGTGGTTCTCAAATTGAGCCTGTGGATCACCAGAGGCCACTAGGGCCTAAATGGTGGTCCACAGATTAATCTCCATCCCATCCCCTTCACCACAGCCCACCCCACTCCAGCCATCCTCCCTCAGGCTTCCAGTCCCATGGCAAGATCACCACATGCAGAGCTAATACTAGGGCCTCCCAACCACTTGCTGTAACCAGCAGCTGACAACCAAAAGGTCCTGGGGCTACAGGTCACAAGAGGAGTGAGGAACGGGGGCCAAGAGATCTTACAAGAAGGCACAGGCACTAATGAAGCGGGTGGGGTGCGAGGGCAAAGGAATAGAGGAATGGAAAATTAAGGTGGTAGAGGGCTCTTGGGGGCAGTGATCCACTAAAAATAAACCTGTAATAAAGTATCCCATGATGAAGAAAAATTTGAGAACCACTGCTTTGAAATGATTAGGTTAGTAGTCCAGCAGGAACTGTGGAATATTCTGAACAGCACCTGATACACTATTAGCGTTCAAAATAAAGTTAAATCACCCCTTCAAAAGCAGCAGTAACAATTTTTAAAATAACCTTATAAGTTAGTGGCTCTTGAGCCACATTTATACATTTGCCATTTTCTCATGAATCCAGTCCGTCTTCAGTGTCCGCCCTGGAGCATATACACATAGCAAATTTACTTGGAACTTTGGTTAGAGTCACTGGTCTTTTCATGCAGTTTTAATAAACAGTTTCCAAAAAATTTAAACTTTTTGTTCGACACTTTCATATGTGCATATACTGTGTACCTTTTTAATCCAGGCTTGGGCACCAGTATTGGCCAACTGTTCTTGTGTCAAAACCTGTACTCCTGTACTTCCTGTGAACTGGCCAGGAATAGAGTTCAGCTGAGCCCAGGCATCAATCTGAAGAAAAGAAGTAGTCTCAGTTAACTAAGTAAAATTACCTGATTAAAACATCACTGGTAATAATTCACTAAAAATGGCTGAAAAGCAGACTTAAATATTTAACTTTTAAAACATATTTAACATTAAATGTTTGCCTAAACTTTCTAAAGAAGCAGTTTGACAACATTTAGTGAATCCCATTAATAAGATTTTGAAATGTATCTAAAAGCACAGCTACTAAAAAATACAGCTGTTAATATTCTTCAAACTATCACACAGATACACTAAAAATGCAAAAAAGAGCTCATATGACAATGGGTCCCCACCCTCCCTTCCTATCTCATACAAATGTATTGTAATACATGTCATGACAGCCTGGATTCTTAATTACTTCCTTTGAGACATTTATACAGACTAAATTCATGACACAGGTTTAAAGAGTTTAAATGTAGGAAACTGTCCACTTGAATACATAAACGACTATTTTTTTTTGAGATGGAGTTTCTCTCTTGTTGCCCAGGCTGGAGTGCAATGGTGCGATGTCTGCTCACTGCAACCTCCTCCTCCCGAGTTCAAGCGATTCTCCTGCCTCAGCCTCCAGAGTAGCTGGGATTGATTACAAACATGCGCCACCGCGCCCGGCTAATTTTGTATTTTTAGTCGAGACAGGGTTTCTCCATGTTAGTCAGGCTGGTCTTGAACTCCTGACCTCAACTGATCCGCCCGCCTCGGCCTTTCAAAGTGCTGGGATAACAGGCGTGAGCCACTGCACCCGGCCGTAAAACAACTTTTTAAAGAAGCTTGTATACTTTTTTTCAGTCACCAACATTTGTTGTGATAAAGATCAGCTGTCATTCACACAAATTAGATTTACTAAACACCTTGCACTGTCAGCAATGTATTTCCTGTCTGAACATGTACTTACTGATTTACCATAAAACAGTAGAAATGAAATGGAGAGGCTGTCCATTGTTAAAAGCACAGACTCCAGATTCAGATTGCTTGGGTTTGAATCCCAGTTCCCCCACTAATTAGTTGTGTGACTATGGATATCACTTAATCACTCTTTTGTTTTTTTTAGACAGTCTCACTCTGTTGCCCAGGCTGGAGTACAGTGGCGCGATCCTGGCTCACTGCAACCTCTGCCTCCCAGGTTCAAGCATTTCTCCTGCCTCAGCCTCCTGAGTAGCTGGCATTACAGGCATGCAACACCAAACCCAGCTAATTTTTGTATTTTTAGTAGAGATGGGGTTTCATCACCTTGGCCAGGCTGGTCTTGAACTCCTGACTCCTTGCCCCCACCTCGGCCTCCCAAAGTGCTGGGATTACAGGCATCAGCGACCATGCCTGGCCTTAACCACCCTTTACTTCAGTTTTCTCGGCTGAAATATGGCAACTATTAATACCTACACATTTCATAGGGTTGTAGGCACTTAGTTGTTTTTATACACCAGATTGTAAACTCTGTGAGGACAGGGAAATTTTTCTATTTTGTTCTCTCAAGAAACAGTTCCTGCCACATAGTAAACAATAAACATTTATTGAATAAATGATCAGGCCTCGAATCACTTTCATTTAAAATAAGACATTGAAAATAAGGTAAAGGATGTTACAACTCAACCATCTAGTTAGCAAAATTCTTATTTAGACATTAAAACTGGTACATTGGTGTGAGTTGGCTGATGGTAAATAATAATTTTTTTTAAAAAACTGCTACATACCCTTTCCTGAGCTCTATTTAACATGCTCATGGCTTCAAGATCAAATGCATTCTCACTGAGTCTTTTCTGAGCAAGTGCCCGTTCACTCATTGCTGTAGAGATGTCCACAGGCTAAGAAAGAAAACAGAGATAATTATCTCAAATTACCATAGTCCCCTAAATTCTGAAAAGTACTCATATCTTTAGTTGCTACATATCAAAAACAAAATAATAGTCTTATAATACTAATAATCTTGGAAAACAGGGAGAAGACTCAGAAAGAGAAAGTAATCTTGGAAAACAGAAGAGGATTAAGATAAATTACAAAGTATCACACAGGTCGCAGAACTGAACCCAAAATCTGACTGAATTTAGTCAATTTTCTATTATATATATATATCAAACTATAATCATAGAAAGTTCCATTAAGAACTTAAAACTCGCTACTCTTCATGATTGAAAGCCATTTATAGTAAACTGCAAATTTTTTGAACTGTGGTAAGGTTATTACATTCCTTAGCAGTTTTCATTTTACTCATTAGCATAACCTTCAAGAGCAGTAAGCAAAATTACTGAACAAGCAAGCAGAAAACCACTATGATCACTCCTTTACTCATCAGCGTATCTTTAACATCTTCCAGTTGTGGACACTTTGGTCTTAAGAACCCAATTTCTTTAAACAATATATTCAGGATATAAATAAATGAACCATGTTTTCAGTTTATACACACTTATTACTTATATTAAGTATATTACACTATTTATAATTACAATATTTCTGTGGAAGTCCATAACATCAACTGAAACACTTTTGTTTCTTTTCAAAGCTCATATTCTACCTTTTAAAACCTTACGGCAAGTGGAAGAAACTTTTTTTTTCAAAGTAATCTTTGGAGCCAATTCTTAATTTGTCAGATTTGTGGAAGGTTTAACCACAGAATGAAAAACACATCAAGATAAGTATTTGTTATTTTTTTTGTTCTAAAATTAAAAGCTCGAGTTGATTTTTATCAACTCATTTCTTGGTTTTTGTCCTTCTTTTAACATTATTATTATTTCCTAGTTATCTCACACAAGAAAATTCATTTTTGTAAAATGCTTATCTGACATGGAAGATTTTGCTGTTTTCATATACAAAGAATAAGTAGACACTGCATGAACATAACAAATACGGGGAAGTCAGTAAATAGCTAACGGCTAAGGATTTTCTTTTTTACAAGTAGAGGCTAGCTGTAATTAAGACTATGTATCATGTATAAAAGACTTCTCTTAAGAATAAGACCTGTCTAGTAGAGAAGGCTGTATGACTATGAGAATAATTATAACTCATGCATAAGGATTCACAAATCTTTCTTACCTTCAGAACCCCTAATCCTCCATAATTCTTAGTTACCTTGCTAATAAACTAATATTCCTTTAGCTAACTCAAGGTTTTTCTTTAAGTATGGATTCTGATACAATGCCTTCTTAAAATGAAAACAAAATTAATCCTTTCTGTAATTAAGACTGTTTATGTTAATATATAAATCTTTCTAGAGATCTATAAACAGTCTAATCAACTGCAGAATGCATCTTTCAAATTGAATCTCTCAACTGTAATTTCGCTAAGTTGATTTAAGTAAATCATCACACAAATTAGAACAATTCTAAGACCTATTAGAAATATTAATCTAAGCAAAGTGAGATTGAAACACTAAGAAACTTAGTATGTCATCTTTCACTTAAGTCTGTTTGATTCCTGGGACTTTAATGAGAATGCAGATATTTCAGGTGAAAATTCATGTCCCCCTAGGCCTACCTTAAGATGTTTTGTCAGGTAGGATTATCAAGGTAATTTTTGAAGGCACACAAGATGCGACAAGTACTGTCTCATTAACCTTCTCACACTTACTTTGCTTTTCCTAGCAGTCTCTATAAATCTAAGTGTTAGGGTGCTTAGGCATAAATAATAGGCTTTTATTCTAACAAGGCTAAAATCTGAGGATACTGGGGAAAATGTGTCTACCCACTATCCCAACTCCTGATCCCTAATTTCCAACTATAAATTAGCTACTCATCTATTCAGATGGCTCTAAAATATAACTTCTAGAATAAAACTAATTCTTTCCAAGTGGAAAGCAAACTATTACACCTGCGAATGTTCTTCTCTCTTAGCCTTTATTAAACGTTTAACCTAAATGCCTCACCATTTATCCCCAGAATGAAACTCTTCAAATCTTAGTGTTTCATATTAAACTCATGATTCTGAAAGGAATTTTATTATAGCAACCTTGATATTTAAATAAAATTACAACTATGTTTTTCCTGAGGTAGTAAAACTTCATTTACTCTTCAACAGACTTACCAAGGGAGCTGCAAGTTCATGTCAAAAATGTATTACCAAATAGTAATTTGACTACTGGTTTCATTTTTTTTTTTTTTTTTTTTGAGATGGAGTTTCGCCCTTATTGCCCAAGCTGGAGTGCAATGGCACAGTCTTGGCTCACTGCAACCTCTCGCCTCCTGGGTTCAAGTGATTCTCCTGCCTCAGCCTCCTGAGTAGCTGGGATTACAGGCATGCGCTGCCACCCCCGGCTAATTTTGTATTTTTAGGAGAGACGCGGTTTCTCCATGTTGGTCAGGCTGGTCTTGAACTCCTGACCTCAGGTGATCCGCCCGCCTTGGCCTCCCAAATTTCTGGGATTACAGGCGTGAGCCACTGTGCCTGGCCATATTTTTATTTTTAATGCGAAAACATATACTCAAAGTAGAATGAATCAAGATTATCTTAACCTCATAAAGATCCTCAAAAGTTTACATCAAAAAGCCTGTTTCCAGCCTTTCAAGGTAACTCAAGTTATACAATGAGGCATAAAAAGCCAATACAATCCCCAAAGCAGCAATGTTTAAGGGTCAAACCCGATGTTACTTATCAGTATTGAAACACTCATAATACCACAGCTACCCTTTAGAGCAGCATTGCCCAGTACAACTTCTTACAGTGATCACTACTGAGCACTTGAAATGTAACTAGTGTGATTAAAAACCTGATTTTTCAGGGGCTGGTAACTGCTGTATTGGACAATAGAGCTTTAGAATCTTAACTGTCGTTTAATATTCAGAAACTGGAAATATAAGAAAGGCACCAAAATGATGGTAAAAGGCCCCTCCAAAAACTGGGAAAAAGAGAATCTTTAATCTGTAGAATACTATTACCAAGCTGTCACCAACAAGCCTTAGTTTCTACCAATACACTATAAGACTAGCATGTTACCTAGTGTATAAAAATAATTCTGTAGTAATATTCTAGGTATGATAATGGGGGAAATGTTTACTGACTTTTCACCTTTGCTCTAAAAGGTGAAATTTACATAAAAAGTGTCCTGAATTACAAATCTCAGGTAAATAAAAACTGCCCAAATTCTTCACTCTCTCTCCCTCAGCAAGAAAGCAGACAACTACTTCTTATAAAACCTACAAAGGTGTCTGAGGCATAATGAAATTACCATAATGCAACTGGCACCATATAACATGCATTTCATGACCTATATTAATACATTTAAGTGAGCCTTTTACATTTTTATTTCTCATTTAGGAAATTCTTCTAAATCCATTTACTCCTTTTGTTAACACAACTGTTGACATAAAAAGAACAATATTTTAAGAGACTTCTTAGAATATCAGTGAAAGGATATAAAAGAGCTAAAGATAATTGTTAGGATGGGGTGAGTCAGATAAGGAAAATACCTATAACCAGAAAATTATTTTCTATTATTGGTAATCACAGATATCTCAAAAGCAGGCATAAAAGGAAAACTTTAATTATAAGAAAATAGACCTAAGGTAAAAGCATCTGGCCTGTATATAAAACATGATTTTAGAATATTTAGCAAATATTAAAATATAAAGAGGTTAATGCATACAAGAGCAAAATGACAACTACAAAAATAAAAGCCACAGAATGTCCCAGTTATGTGTTTGGTTGGCTTTAAAAAGTGAATTACGAATCTTTTTATTGTATCATACAAAATTCTCTAGTGTATAATAGACTAAATGAAGTACAACGGGAAAACAAATAGATAACCTACTAAATGGTTCAGAGAAATTCAGCGTTAACCACATAAGAGAATCTAGGAAGGAAAGAATAACAAGGCTGTATATTACACATTCTAGCAGTGCCGGGACCTATGTGTTTAATTTCCAATTAAAATTTTCATTTTTCTCCAAGTTTTCCTATACATTTAGAGCTTATAAATTTAAAAAAATTGTAATTCCATTGGGATGTGGAAATATGATTTGATAAATACAAACCAGTAAACTGCTTAACATAAAGATGATCTTAACATCTAAGCATTCACTAGACCTTAACAATACTACCTCTGGACCCCTAAAACATTTGATTGATACTAAATCCATGAAAACTCCACACTAATAGTTGAGTAGTTACTACTCCACTTATGTCAAAGATTACATCCTAATCTTCTACTCAATAAACCTCTACTAACTTTATTACCAAGAATTAATGCCCCTGAGGACTATTTTTAAAATATTAGTTTTCCAACATTTTATTTCATTGTTTATAAATCAAATTCACACAAATACAGTCAAAGTTCTGTAGTCACTCCTTACTGAGGATGATGCTGGCTGGTTTCTGAGTATGAAGACGATGCTATGGCAGTACCGCACACAGTCTGATGAGTTGTTTTTCCATAAGAAATGAATTTATGCTGCTTCATCCACAATGTCTATCCATTCATACTCATGTCAAAGAGCATTCATATGCAAGACAATTGGTGGGATTAGGGATTACAGCAAAGCTAATTCAGCCCTCTTATGGAGATAAAATCTGTGATCTTTGCCTAAATGTTTTATGCTCAACAACAAAGAACCACAAACTCCATTTATATTTATTAAAATGAAAAAGGCATAGATAAAAATTACTATTCAGTTCAAAGGTTGACCATTTAAAAGAACTATCTCCTTTTACTCTAGAAGCCTTTATTTCAAACTCTAACAAGGAATCAAAAGGGTTAATGCTCCCACGAAGTGTTACCAAAAGTATTTCACAACATTGGTATATATAACACTAATTGTATAAATAATAAATTCATTACTTTTACCTTCTATATATACAATATAGTATATTTAGATGGTCACTAAATAACTGGAACTAAACATTTTAAATTGTGACTATTTCCTCTACACATTTTAACATTATTGCCAGGTAAAAGTGCAGATATGAAAGCAAAAGGCAATCCTGCCTCTTTGCCCTTGTATTTTGGGATTCTCTTCTTTAGAATTAATCTGTATGTTCTTTTGAGTCTAATCTTCTAAGCAGCTTAAAGAGGTTTTATATCAAATAGTTACATATATCGTCCCACAAGAGACATCATCTGCTTTATTCATTTAGCCCTTTGAAAAGAATTGTAAAATAATTTTACCTTCTAGGATTCTTCTTTGGTAAGAAAAAAAATTTTTTTAACAAAAAATAATGTCACCATTATTTGAGTACCTTTCTCTATCAACTTTTCCCACCAGATTTAAGAATAATTCTCCTCAACCTTTAATTAAAATCTGACAACTTTTGATGACAAACAAGGCTAAGGCACCACACTCAGTGTTAAGATTGAAAATGGCTGAGTACTAAATTTCAAATAAATAGACGCACACACACACTCTCTCTCTCTCAAAAAAGTGTAAGCATCAGGAGTTACTAAGCACTTTCCCCATGATTGAACCGAAGAAATTCAAAACAGTTATGCTCACTTATCTTCTCAGGAAGATCCCTTGGAATTCTGCAATATTTGTTAAGTCTTCAGTGGAAAATATTTGTCATACAGACTCTCTCCCTACCTATTTTTTTTTCCAACTCTTTTTTAAATGCTTAAACTGCAGGAAATTACTAAAAGCATACATATTAGGATTTCTAAGTAAGCCTGTTCAACCCTCTTATCATGGTTTCTATTCAGCTACTACAAGAAGATTAAGTCAGCTGCACATGTCAGTTAACCTTTCTCTCTTGAGATATGCAGGTAGCCTGATTGGGGGATTAACAACTCAAATGGTCTCACTAAAATATTATCCAAACCAACTATCTCCCTCTTAACTGGTGATGGCATAACTTGCTTCACTTGTTGAATCCCATGGGAATACAGATTATCACCAGTAACTGTAAGTTGCACTGGCTAGTTATCATGTCCAGCTTCATTGTACAGAACTTGTTCTCTCAAAATGCTGCAGGTCAAACAAACAAAAAAAAAGTGAAAATGTCAGCTGTGAATAGCTTGGGGAGAAAAGTACTGCTATCAAAAAGTTTCTGATTTGGGTTCTGTTCACTTTCTGATTTTATAAACAGGATTTATTTGTAGAATTGGAGGTGTTTACTGGAAGATGATGATATGGCCAAGCCAAGGAAGGGAACCTACAGTGAAGAGTACAGGTGTCTCTGATCTACATATCCAAGAACTGCAAGAAAAATGTCCAGATGGGCATCAGATACCTAGTCCAGTCCTTGGCAAAAGTCTGGGCTTTGGAAACCAAGGGCAAGAGGCGATGACAACTAATCTATAGTAATTAAAACTCCCACCCCCCTATTAAGACTCCACCCTCCCACATCCCCCAAGCGTGATTTTGCACAACAAG
The DNA here is from genome assembly GCF_000001405.40 of Homo sapiens. Lineage (NCBI taxonomy): Eukaryota > Metazoa > Chordata > Mammalia > Primates > Hominidae > Homo > Homo sapiens. The sequence goes on along the minus strand of NC_000021.9, from coordinate 33,560,667 downwards.
TTAAATAAAAGTAAACTGTTTATTAAAAGATACAGCAAAGGTACAGATACAGAGATACATACAAAGATACAGATATATATATATATTTACATATATATACAGTCTTGCTGTTTTCATGTGCACTATATTTAGCAGCACATTATTTAATCAGGCGGCATTTTAATGGGGTTGTTTTGACACTTGGCATTATTAAGATACAACTATAGCCCCGTGGAAATTTCAACGTTTGAATTCCACTTCTCCGACTTTTAATAGTAGCAAAGAGGGGAAGGAGAAGGGAATGGAGTACCAAGGCTGAGCATTAGGTTAAACACAAGAATTTAAAAGGGCCAAGGTAGCAAAGGGAAGGAAAAATAATTAAAATTAAAGGCTATCTGACAAACAACCCAGAGAAACAGTAAGAAACCATCATTAAGGGCAATGGGCTATGTACCCAAGATGCTCACATCAACCTACAATGACCTTTTCCAATCCAGTTCTTGTGTTGAACCTGAGGATCTGCCCTCTCCGATCAATCCCTCCACCCGATAAATTTGCTACCACCAAAATCTAGAGCTATAGAGCCTTGAAGCAAATCGGGAAGCTAAATAGTTGTACCTTGGACTACCTTCCCACAAGTGCAGGGAGGGCCCAATGTTGGGTAGGGATGTGATAACACTGTTCTCTGCAATTCGATGCTTTTCACTTTGTGGCTTGGTTCCACAAAGTGAATTGCATCGAGTTACTGTCAAATGAGAAGCTGCGGGTTGTTTCATCTGTCGTCTAACCCGGCCCTGCCGTTTAACCCGGCCCTAAGAAGAGTGAAACAGAATCCAAATCAGACATAACATAACAATGAAATGGCAGATTCAGGTATAAAAAAGGAAAAATACATAATATTCCTCCTACTTACCTCTGAGGGCAAATTGCTGCTGAAAACATTATCATCATCTTTGTTTTCTTCACCATTTTTCTCCACAGGAACCCATTCTCCATAAACACTATCCGCTTCTTTTTTCCGATGTTGAGATCCAGATGATACAGGGAATTCTTTTGTTAATGTTACCTGGCTTTTTGGTGGAGTTGGTTTTGCTGCAGCAATCTAAAAAATAAAGTGTTTCTTAATTAAAGCTCAATATGATATCTACATTAAATGGTTTGAGATTTTCTACATAATCTGAAGGAAATGATATTATCCATTATTTCTCACAGTATTTAAAACAAAAATTAATAAACTAAATTCGATTTGGGTTTTATTTAAATAGTTCCACAAGTTACACTGTTTTACCAATCCATAAGCACTAATACTCACATTCAGATTGAAAAAAATAGGTTTGGGTTCACTGAGTTTAAAGGGATGATGATAAAAAGGAGGTTCTTCTTCCTCTTCATCCGAAACATGAGGTTTATTCACTATTACATCATCATCTTCTTTACTCTGTGCGATCTGTTTACATTTCTTTAAAAGTAAAAACAAACAAAAGATAAATCTTACGCTTTATGTAGAACATGTAATTTCTTAGAATCAAAACCACATAATAGCAACTTTCCAAAGTTAAACAAGATTCATGATAGGTTATAGATACGTAACTTGGCATATTAACTACTATTTAAACACACTCTGGCTGGTCAGTCAGTCAACAACATTTATTGAGCACCTACTATGTGCAGAGAGAGCACTGTACTGGGCACTGTCTGGGGAATACAAAAAAAAAAAAAAAAAAAAAAAGTAGAAGACATGGTCCCTGCTCTCAAGGAGCTTACAATCTAGTACAAGAGAAGGAATACATATACATGAAATAATTGAACACTTTTACAGAGCAACACAATAACAAGTGCAAACTGATATAATACAAACTGAGTACATAAGTGCTAAAAGAACAAAGGCTTAAGAGAGAATAGTCAGGCAGAGTTAGAGAATCAAGGAATATTCCTTGAAGAGTTCTAAGCCAGATTTTCATAGTAAAGAACAAAGACTGGTAGGGAAAGGAGAAGTCATCCTAGTCAGGTGGTGGTAAAAAGGTGAGAAGAAACTTGGGACAAGAAGGCTGAAGATGGGGCCGAAAACAGCAAAATACTAACTGTCCTTAGCATTTTGGATAAGGAGCTTGGATTAGGTAAATAAGCAATAGAAGCGTTTACAAGGTCCTTAATTTTTTAAAAAAAGTTGTAATTCATATTGTAATAAATCTAAGTGAGGAAACAGATTCAGAAGCTTTACATTTTCCCAGATGTATGGCAAAACAAAAGATCTGAAATATTTGCAACAGGATTAGATAGCAACATGTCTCTCCATAAATGTTTTGTGGGTTGAGTTTCTTTAAGGAGAACTTAGGAAAATAAGGCATGATGGAGAGGGTGCAATTGATGAGGTCTGATACATAAAGCAAAGTCAATTCCTTCCTGAGATGCAAAGGAACAGACTCCATTACCTGGCTTTATAAAAAGGTCAAGAGTAAATTTGGGTACACCTGTCTCTATACAAGCAGTAGATTTAATGACATCTATTATCAATTGAAAATATTACAATAGGATAAAAAGCTCATTTCGCCAAAAACACAAGAGTATATTAAGCTTGTAACCAAGGGGAACAGAATATATTGACAGTGGCAGGCTGGCATAAGGCTAGCCAATAACAAGTTCCAATATATGAAACAGTGTGGTATTTCTGGATCCTAGCAGCAATATTTTAGCATCTCCCCCCATCCACCCACACCAAAAAAATAGTAATAAAACAAAGCCCCAAAAAAGCCTCAATTGAAAAGATCAAACTTTTAAAAACAAAAATAAGTGTGTTTAAAATATATATGTTACTGCCAAAACCCGAACCGCAGGAAGAACTGATAATGGCCGGCCATTATCGCCAATGGCTGGTACCAAACAGCCAAAACCCGAAATGTTGATGCGAAAGAAGTTCCTTTCAGGCAATGGCCAGCTATTCTTATTAATTTCCAAGCTCCGGTGGCAAAAGATCATTTCTGAAGATTGTCTGTGTCTTTGCGTATATGCAGTATACTCGTGGCGATCAGTGAACGCGTCGTGAATGGAAACGAAACTGTAGGCGAGCTTCTGCGTGTTGCTCACTCAACACCTCCTCCATTCAAACGAACCGTCCCACTCCTCAGTCAGTTTGGCTTCTAAAACTGGAAAGCAAAAGTAATGGGAAGTAACTTTTAGCTAGCGGAGCTTAGCCATCCCGGATAATGGCCTGCTAAACAGAGCTTCTGCCGCTGCCACATCTGTATTTCGGGTTTTGGCCACTCGGTGCCAGCCATTATCAGTTCTGCCCACAATTCGGGTTTTGGCACGCTCCAGAGTCAACATCACTGGAATAATCCATTTAAGAATGAAAACAAATTCTGTCTAGCTTACCTCAGTTAGTTCTTCTATAGTAGCTCCTCCTGACTTTTTAGCAACTTTCTCTTCTATAGTAGGTGGAGGTGCAGGCTTTAGGTTTGGTGGTAAAGGGACACCAGCCTTAGCACACATGGCAGCTGCATTAGCTTTGGCTATTTCAAGTAATTGAGCCTTATCTGTAAGAAGAAAAATACAAGCTGCAGTTTTCCTAAAAGACTGTACATTTTGTATTACCAAAAGTCTAACATACTAACAAAACTAAAGGCATCCTAGATCCATCGAAGAACTTGGGTATCTAACAAAAAAGAAAAAAAAAAAGGAAAAAACTATAGGCATCAATATTCTGCTCTAAGTTACAGCTATGATCAAACCACTGGCTCAAAGTTTTTCAGCAGTGGCCTCATTCAGGGAATTAAGTCCACATATTGAGCTTCCCATTAGAATATTACAATAGGTTACTACACAACTATAATGATCACCCTACTACACACACTCTAAGATATAAACCTGCCAAAGCCTATTTCATTTCACAAAATTATCATGACCTTACTCTCCTTCTGACACCTTAAATCACTCTTTGAGCCCCAGTTCAAGTGCCACCTCTTTTTTTTTTTTTTTTTGAGACAGTCTCACTCTGTCGCCCAGGCTGCAGTGCAGTGGCGCCATCTTGGCTCACTGCAACTTCCACCTCCCAGGTTCAAGTGATTCTCCTGTCTCAGCCTCCCGAGTAGCTGGGACTACAGGCGCGTGCCACCACACCCATCTAATTTTTTGTATTTTTAGTAGAGATGGGGTTTCTCCACATTGGCCAGGCTGGTCTCGAACTCCTGACCTCAGGTGATCCACCTGCCTCGGCCTCCCAAAGTGCTGGGATTACAGGTATGAGCCACCATGCCCAGCCGAAGTGCCACCTCTTCTAACAAGCTGTCATTAAGTCAGAATTAACATTCCTTTTCCCCTTTTCCCATTGTGTTCCTAAAGTACCTCACCTCTATCAGTATTATAGTAATCACATTCTGTCCTTTTTAGACAGTGTTACTATAAGAGAGACATATATGCATTTTACCCATGTCTCCTCCACCACTTGCAATCACTTGAGGAATTACATACTGTTCCTCTGCTGTGAATAAAAAAGAACTCAGAAAACTTCTGTTGAACTGAATGCAGATTCTCCCTTTTTACTCTTAACCTCTTCTTCTTTAGACAATCCTGGCCTAGAAATGTCCAGTATACTGGGATAAGGATAAATTATCCATATTTATTATAGGTAATCATTCATATCGATCAAGTTTTAATCACCTCTGCACACTAAAAATCAGGGGAAATTAGAACAGTTATCTTTAAAGTAAAGCAGAACAGGTTATTAAAAATCACACTGATCTAAAATATTTAACTTTATTTAGCTAGTATCACCTACCCAATTAAATAACCCCCACACGCAAAATTCCCCACTCACTTCCATTACCAACTATACCAATCAGAATTACCTTCATTTAACAGTCCTATAATGCCATTTTAAGATATGTTAACTTATTTAAAAAGGAACATTGTAATTTTAGGCTTAGTTGCAAGGATGTATGTTAGAACACATACAATAACAATCTGAGCATATACTTAGCTTGTTTTTAATTTAGCTAGAGTTCTACATCTGTTTCTGCTTTCAATTTTTAGCTATGGCAAGATAACTAAAACAAAATAAAACATTCAAATATGGAAACACCTTGGTTCTATTATACTCTGAAACAGGACTTTTTAACTCTAATTATAATACACTGATCCCAGTAGTTCCTAAATACAGTACCATGTAATAATAAAAACTTAAAGACAGAAACATTTATCCTAAACCAGTAACTAAGTATTTCACTTGACTCAAGGTCAGAAAAAAATTAAGGTTTAAAACATTTTCTACTACCATCCCATTAAACTTTAAAATGACTCACCCAAATCTGTCAGACGTTTGGGTGATCTGCCTCGTTCAGAAGACCTGGATCTTTTACGACGGATGGGAGATCTGCTAAACCTTCTTCTTAAGGGTGTTCTTGATCGCCTTAATCTGACTGGTGAGATACTGAAGCTTCGTCTTCTTACCACAGACCTTGATCTTCTCCGGCGGCTTGGGGTGCGGCTCCGACGGCTAGGGGTGCGGCTCCGGCGGCTGGGGGTGCGGCTGCGGCGGCTGGGGGTGCGGCTGCGGCGGCTGGGGGTGCGGCTGCGGCGGCTGGGGGTGCGGCTGCGGCGGCTTGGGGAAATGCTAAAGCTCCTTCTTCTACCCACAGATCTAGACCTTCGTCGACGACTTGGAGTATGACTCCGACTCCGACGACTTGGGGTTCGACTTCGAGCTCTAACTGTCTTTCGGTTATCCCTGGAGCTTGATCTTTTTCTTTTTCTTTCCCTAGACTTGGATCTGTGCTTTGGAGATCTTTTGCGCTTCTCTTTTGATACAGATCTTCTTCCTCTAGACTTTGATCTTGATCTGCTGCTTCTCCTCCTGCGTCTTGAACGTGACCGTGAACGTGTCTGAGAGCGATGAGACTTGGACTTAGATGATCTCTTTCTTGCCCTAGAACGAGATTCACTGGTACGCTTGCGTGATTTGTGTTCAGAAGATTTGGAACGCTTACTTCGAGATCTTAATGAAGAGTCTCTTTTCTTCTCTTTCTCCCCCTTATCACGGTTCTTATTTTTCTTGCTTTTTTCGTGAGTGTCCTTAACTTTTACAAAAATTTCATAATCATCTTTTTCCTCTGAAGAAGACTCTGAAGCTCTTTCTGGCATACTACTTACAACCGGGCTGGCAGCAGATCTGTCACGTCCAACATCACTTGCAAGTAAAGGTCCTTCAATGCCAGCTCTAAGGCTTGTAAGACGTTCCATGTCCTTAGGAAGTAACGGTCTCACTAAATCTGCTTCATTAATATCCTCAATATTGGCAGAAAATCCTGAATCAGGCAGTGTCTCTTTAGGAGGGGGAGGTACTTCTTTTTCTCCTCCACTACTTTCTTTAGGGCTGAGCAGAGCTGCTAATGTCTGGTCACTCTCTTTTACAGGTAATGGTTCTTCTGTATCCTTACTAACAAGGTTATTATTAGATGGTAAATCAAGATGAATATCTTTAGCAGGCAAAGGCCCTTCAATGTCAGCTTCACTACCACCACTAGGACTGGTGGAAATTACCATGTCATGTTCAGTATCTTGAGTAGTTAAAGATAAATCAACATCATATTTATTAACTAAACTGAGAGTAGATGCTGTGGTAAATTCAATACCCTTACTAGTTCCTGTTGCATCAGGTTCCAGAGCAAAAGGACCAGTAGAAGATAGAGTTTCTCCTGCATCAGCTTCACTAACACCAGGGTAGGTATCCAATACTGTGCGCTGTTTAGTCTCACTGGTGGGCAAAATTTTCTCTTCACCAATTTCCCCAACAGGACTAGTACCAGCAGCACACACTGTATTATGTTCCATCTCTTTAGCAATTAAATGATTATTTATATTAAGGTCTATATTTATACCATGTTCACTTTCGTAAAAGTCACCTTTCAGGTGTTCCTCAGCATGTGGTTCTTCACCTGAATGCAATGCAATCTCCTGCATGCCAATCTCTGGAGCAAGATTTTGATCACCAGAGGATAGATTAATTCCTTTCATAACATGTGATGACATGATACTAGATTCCAGTATCATTGGTGTGGACTCTATAGCCACCTCAGTTGGTATTACTTGAGTCTGCTCTGAGACTGTGACAGCAGGCTCTGAAACTGTCACAGTCGATTCCTGGACAGAAACAGATGGTTCTGAAACAATCATAGAAGGTTGAAGGACTGACACCGCTGGTTCCAGAACAGGCACAGAAGGCTCCAGCGCAGAAACAACTGGCACAGGAATGGTAACATAGTCTGGCTCAGCCACAACAGGAGGCTCCGGGACAGTCACAACCGAAGGCTCCAGGACAGTTACAGTCGAAGACTCCAGGACAGTCACAGTCGAAGACTCCAGGACGGTCACAGCCGAAGACTCCAGGACAGCCATAGCTGAAGACTCTGGGGCAGCCATGGCTGGCGGCTCCAGAATGCTCTCTGCCAGCACTGGAGTAGTTACTGCTGGAACCAACAAGGATGTAGATACTTCTGAGGCAACATGTCCTGAGGCTCTCATGGAATCAAATGTTTCTGCTGTCTCTGACATAACAGGAGGCTCTGATGCTAACACAGTTGGTTCAGCTGACATGGCGGGAGTTTCAGATACCATACAAGTCACTGGTCTCTCTGGAACAACTTCATGTTCTTCTGCTACTACTGCAGACTCTACAGGTGTTAACGTAATTGAAGATTCTGGCTCTGGTGGTGGTTCTGGAACAGTCACAGCAGCCTCTGATACTAAAACTGAGGGATCTGATGCTGACACTGAATAATCAGTAGGCACTGCTGAAGGCTCCGAAATCTCACTTTGACTCACAGGAGGCTCAGGCTGCGATACAGACTCTTCAGATGGTGATGATGGCACCTCTGTAGGCCAAGTATTTTCAGCTGTTAATGCTGACTGCTCAGTGGGCAATGCTGGACCCTCTGGTGGTTCCTCAGGAGGCAATGGTGGTGTCATTGGTGGCTCCTCAGGTGGCAACGGTGGCATTGTTGGGGGCTCTTCAGGAGGCAAAGGTGGCACCATATATGCCTCTGTATATGTGTCAGTGTAAGAATCGGTGTAAGAATCAGCAGCCATAGACATCATTGAACGATCAGCAGTATAAGATGACATCATAGATCGGTCAGCTGCAGAGTACGATGACATCATAGACCGGTCAGCAGCAGAGTATGACGACATCATAGACCGGTCAGCACCCATGGACATCATAGATCGATCAGCCATTGGGGACATCATGGAGCGTTCATAAGCTGACATCATGGAGCGTTCATAAGCTGACATCATAGAGCGCTCAGCCATAGGGGACATCATAGAGCGCTCGTAGGCTGACATCATAGAGCGCTCGTAGGCTGACATCATAGAGCGTTCAGCCATAGGGGACATCATAGACCGCTCATAAGACATCATAGAGCGTTCGTAAGATGACATCATGGAACGTTCTGCAGCATAGGACATCATCATAGAACGTCTAGATGCTAACATCAGGGGTCTAGGTGCTAACCTATATGGCCTGGGTGCTATTCTATAGGACCTGGGTGCTATCCTGTAGGGTCTAGGTGACATCCTATAGGGATCAGGAGTTAGTCTGTAGGGATCATGGCCTAATCTATAAGGGTCTTGTCCTAACCTGTAAGCATCATGACCTAATCTATAGGGGTCATGGCCCAACCTATAGGGATCCTGAGCTAACCTGTAAGGATCCTGAGCTAACCTATAGGGATCAGGAGATTTTGAACCCAACATAGCAGAATCTTGGGTACTAGACGCTAACATCTGGGCATCCATGGTACCAGACGCTAACATCTGAGCATCCATGGTGCCAGAAGCTAACATTTGAGAGTCCATAGTGCCAGATGCTAACATCTGGGAATCCATTGAGCTAGTTGCTAACATCTGGGAGTCCATGGTGCTGGTTGCTAACATCTGAGAATCCATGGTGCTGGTTGCTAACATCTGGGAGTCCATGGAGCTGGTTGCTAACATCTGGGAGTCCATGGAGCTGGTTGCTAACATCTGGGAGTCCATGGAGCTGGTTGCTAACATCTGGGAGTCCATGGAACTGGTTGCTAACATCTGGGAGTCCATAGTGCTAGTTGCTAACATCTGGGAGTCCATGGAGCTAGTTGCTAACATCTGGGAGTCCATGGAGCTAGTTGCTAACATCTGGGAGTCCATGGTGCTAGACGCTAACATCTGGGAGTCCATGGTGTTGGATGCTAGCATCTGGGAGTCCATGGTGTTGGACGCTAGCATTTGGGAGTCCATGGTGTTGGATGCTAATATATGGGTCTCCATGGTGTTAGAAGCTAATATATGGGATTCTGGGGCCATCAAGGGATCCACTCCTACTGTTACAGAAGTCTCCCCCACTAATGTAGTAGGCAGCTCCTGTGCTACCGTATTATAGGATTCCAGCGCTGTCGTCGAGGGCACCTCCAGGGACTGCGACACGGTCATCGTTGACAGCTCCGATGTTGTCACCACAGACTGAACAGAGATCTCCAGCGCCACAGTTGCCACAGGCTGCCCAGGCAACTCTGGCGCCCCAGGCTGCCCTGGCAACTCCAGCACCCCTGTTGCCAGAGGCTGCCCCAAAAGCTCCAGTGCTCCAGCTGCCCCAGACTGCCCCGAGAACTCCAGTGCCCCAGCTGCCATGAGCGGCCCAGGCAACTCTAGTGCCCCAGTTGCCACAGGCTGCCCCGACAACTCCAGTGCCCTAGTTGCCGAAGGCAGCCCTGGCAACTCTGGCACCCCAGTCACCGAAGGCTGCCCCGGCAACTCCAGCGCTGTCGTTGCCACTGGCTGTCCTGGCAACTCCAGCACCATCGTTGCCTCAGGCTGCCCCAGCAACCCTGTTGCCGTTGTCACCTCAGGATGCCCAGGATGTTCCACCGTTGTCATCCCCACAGGCTGCTCCAACTCTGTCGTCGTCACAGGTTGTTCGGTCAACTCCATTGCTACTGTTACCGCAGGCTGCTCTGGCAACTCTACTGCTGCTGTCACCAAAGGCAGCCCTGGCAACTCCTGTGCCATCACAGGTGGCTCTGGTACCTCCTGTGGTGGCTCCAACCCCATGGATGGTGCTGGAAGCCCTGGCAATTCCTGCGACAACTGTGGCACTGGTGTCACAGAGGGCCCTGGCAACTCAGGCACTGCTGTCGCAGGGGGCCCTGGCAACTCAGGCACTGGGGTAGAAAGGGGCCCTGGCAACTCTGGCACCGGGGTAGCAGAGGGCCCAGGTAACTCCAGCACTGGAGTCACAGGGGGCCCCTGCAACTCCGGCATGGAGGTCGCAGGTGGCCCCGGCAACTCCATCGCTGAGGCCACCGACGACTCCTGCAGCTCCAACGCTGTGGTCTTAGGCAGCTCCGGCAACTCCTGCGGTCTTGTCATGGATGAATCTGCAATCTCCGATGGTACGTCTACAGGCTGCTCTGGCAATCTTAGCGCTTCAATTGCAGATGACTCTGGAAAATCCATTGTTGTTGATGTGCTTGGCTCAGGGTACACCTCAGTAGGTGTCTCTGATGATACCACAAGGGTTTCTGAAGGCTCTAACACTTTTGCTACTGGGGGCTCTACCAACATGATCTTTGATGGCTCTGGAGATGTGCTCTCCACAGATTTCAGCACAGACTTCATCTGATACTCCACTGACATTGTTACAACTGGCTCAGATGACTTCAACACCAGTGTTGTAGTAGGCACTGGTGCTGCTGCAAAGGAATCCAGAATCTTTGTCATGGATGGTTCTGGCATTACTGCCACAGACTGCTCTGACTGCTCTGAGATTACTGATGTAGATACAACTGACAGTTCTGCAGTTTTTGTAGCTGGCTTCAGAGTTTCTAAGATGTGTGGCTCTGATACCTCCATTGATACTACAGGAGGTTCTAGCACAACTGCAGGGGATTCATTGGTCTCAGATGGGCCAAATGCTCTTGTAGGAAGCTCCAGCGCCACAGCTGAAGGTTCAGAATCAAACTTTAAAAAGGAATCAGATTCTAAATCTATGTTCCCATCATCATGAGATTTCGTCTTTGACTCAGATTCTTCTGGCTGTCTTTTATATTTTTTTTCCTTTTCTTTCTTCTTTTTCTTCTTTTTGTTTTTGTGCTTTTTATGCTTCTTTGACTTTTTAGTGGGAATTTCATCAGTAGGATCTGTTTGTACAGATACGCATCTACTTTTTCTGGAGCCCTCTTTCAAGTCTAAAAGTAATAGAAATTAATTTTGTCAGACATTCCCCAAAGTAGAGTTAGATTAAATCATATAAACCCATATTTACATTCCATGTTAAAACACCTTAGTACAGGCCAAGTACAGTGGCTCACGCCTGTAATCTTAGCACTCTGAGAGGCCAAGGCAGGTGGATCATGAGGTCAGGAGTTCAAAACCAGCCTGGCCAGCATGGTGAAACCCCATCTCTACTAAAAATACAAAAATTAGCCAGGCATGGTGACGCGCACCTGTAGTCCCAGCTATTTGGGAGGCTGAGGCGGATCACTTGAACCCAGTAGGTCGAGGTTTCAGTGAGCTGAAATTGCACCACTGTACTCCAGCCTAGGCAACAGAGCAAGACTCTGTCTCAAAAAAAAAAAAAAACCCCACAGTATAACACCTCACGTTAAATTAAAAGTTACCAAATAAACTATTTTTCATAAAACAGTTAACCTGGAGACTACTACTTTTCTGATAATTCTTTCCACAACTAATGCCTGGGTTAAAAATAAATTATTAAACACCAAAACTTACTTTGAATTACATTAAGACATGTTTCACTAAATTCTATTAAAATAATTATTCCCTCCAGCTCTCAAATCATAGCAAAATTACTTTTAAACTACTTTTGTCACTGAATATATTTCATGTTATTAGTTGCTACAGTTTCTATTAAAAATACCCACATAATATAATTTTTGCGATTATTAACCCTTGTTTATACAGGAAGCAACATGGCACTGGCTCTGGAACAGACTGCCACTTTTGAATCCTCAATCAGTTCATCACTTACTAGGTTAATGGTCTTGGCCAAATTACTGACACACTTGTGTCTTCTAGAGTTAGAGGATAAAGTGAGTTAAAACATGCAAAGTACATCAAATAATGCCTGGCACAGAATAAGCTTTCAACAAAGGTTAGTGATTGCTTCTACAGAGTATAAAAATATCTGAATAACAAATATAAAATATTCATAGAGAACTCAAATTTTACCTTATCATGCCTACGTTACATTCTAATAAAAATAATATTTTCCCCCAATACTATTCTGAAACCACTAAAATAACTTTTTAAATGTTTCTGTTTTAGAAAAGGATACTGATTTTAGAGAGGAAATTCTTAGTCCTTATAACTTAAGAAAGTTTGAATTTACATACCCTAAAGAGATAACATTTTCCCCCAATACTATTCTAAAACCACTAATAAATAACTTTTCAAATGTTTCTATTTTAGAAAAGAATACTGATTTTAGAGAGGAAATTCTTAGTCCTTAATTTACAACTTAAGAAGGTTTGAATTTACATACCCTAAAGAGATGGGAGTATTCAACTTTAACAACCAGATGGGATTTATTTACTCTAATGCCAATATCAAATTAGATAAATCTTAGGGACCCCCAAAAAAGCTCATCAGAAATCTGAGCCATTAAGACTACAGAAAAAAGGCCGGGCACTGTGGCTCACGCCTGTAATCCCAGCACTTTGGGAGGCCAAGACGTGTGGATCACGAGGCCAGGAGATCAAGACCATCCTGGCTAACACGGTAAAACCCCGTCTCTACTAAAAAAAAAAAAAATACAAAAAATTAGCCGGGCGTGGTGGTGTGCGCCTGTAGTCCCAGCTACTCCGGAGGCTGAGGCAGGACAATGGCGTGAACCCGGGAGGCGGAGCTTGCAGTCAGCTGAGATCACCCCACTGCACTCCAGCCTGGGCGTCAGAGCGAGACTCCGTCTCAAAAAAAAAAAAAAAAAAAAAAAAAAAGACTACAGAAGAAAATAAATCAACACTTGACATAGGCCAAAGCAAAACTTACCATTTTCTATTAATTGTTTGTTTCATAATACAAAATGTTAGATAAGTCATACTTCAATGAAGGTTGTTAGAGCCATGAATCTAAGCAAGTCTGTTTGAGAGTCATGAATCTAAGCACAGCTAAAGTTCCCCCCAAAAAAGAGGACAAACCAACCATATTACAAACTTGATTCCAGAACTAAATCAAGGTAATGACTGTTATTTTTGTGGCTAAATCCTTCATTTCTAAACATCAATTAATCAATTCCAAAAACGCTAAATATTCAAGCAATGATTCCTCTCCATCCACTGCAGTTTAAGTGGGATGGGTATTTTTACACAACTGTTTAATAAAAATCCATACTCAAATTCCTGATACTAAGAAACTTAATCAAGCCGGGCGCGGTGGCTCACGCCTGTAATCCCAGCACTTTGGGAGGCCAAGGTGTGCGGATCATGAGGTCAAGAGATCGAGACCAGACCACCCTGGCCAACACGGTGAAACCCCGTTTCTACTAAAAATACAAAAAAAAATTAGCCGGGCATGGTGGCAGGCGCCTGTAATCCCAGCTACTTGGGAGGCTGAGGCAGGAGAATCACTTGAACCTGGGAGGCGGAGGTTGCGGTGAGCCGAGATCACGCCATTGCACTCCAGGCTGGGCAAAAAGAGTGAAACTGTCTCAAAAAAAAGAAAAAAGAAAAGAAAAGAAAAAGAAACTGAATCAAATAAACTGAAACTAAGTCAAAAATAAAAATTATATTCTACCAGCAGAGTAAACAAGTACATCAATGTTTGTTTTCCAGTGGAAGTATGGAAGGAAAATTTAAACAAGAAAGTCTTCATTAAATCAATTAAACAAAAGCTTAAATTTACTGAAAAAAAAATTTTTTTTTGAGATGGAGTTTCATTCTTGTCGCCCAGGCTGGAGTGCAATGGCGCAATCTCAGCGCACTGCAACATTCGCCTCCTGGGTTCATGCGATTCTCCTGCCTCAGCTTCCCAAGTAGCTGGGATTACAGGCACCCACCACCACACCCGGCTAATTTTTGTATTTTCAGTAGAGATGGGGGTTTCTCCATGTTGACCAGGTTGGTCTGGAACTCCTGACCTCAGGTGATCCACCCACCTCAGCCTCCCAAAGTGCTGGGATTACAGGCGTGAGCCATCGCACCCAGCCTAAAGTTTTTAATTTAATAAATATCTTAAATACTGAAGTCAAAAACTAACATTAACCTTCAAATTTCAAAAAAATCTTAAAAGAAAATTTTTGAGACAGTTAATTATCTCCAACTTACCTGGCTTATATCGTAGTTCTGTATCTAAGACCCCAGAAAGTACTTCCTCTATCTTCTGCACTATTTCTTCATTTGGTAGACTCCTGGCAGAGGCAGCTGCATCACCCGCCTGGTTTCCTTCAATGGGTGTATTTGTTTCACCATTCAGCTGGCCTTCATTCCTTCCACTTGACATGAAAAGTTATCGAAATTCATTAATATTTTATCATACCATTAATAAAAAAATCCAATTAATTACAATAATCATATGTTGTACTGACTGTCAGATGTTTTACCTTTTTCCTATTTTAGATATTCACCACTAATAATGCTTCTTACCATGATCTACTTATATTTTGGACATTTCATTTTTATACAATTAAAGTTTTCAGAACTATGAAAATTAAGAAAACAGGTTTCTAAGTACACTCTTTGTTAAACAAAATAATTTCAGAAATCTAACTTTAGGCTTTTGGGATACCCACATATTTCTTTCAGGGGAGAAAAATTAATAAGAGCCCGGTCACAAATCAAAAGAAAAACATGTGGCCTAACATTATGGTAGAAACCATGGCTACATTAAAGCCACAGCTGTGCATAAATCACAATCACCATCAATAGTATCAAGGAACACAAAAGTTAGCCACAGGCACACTGAATAAAAAGGGTAACCTGTAACCTCTGTCCAGGCTTACATTGCTACTGAAATGCCACTGAACTTAAAAAGGAAAATAATTTATGTAATTTTTACACAATTATCAAGAACTCTGGTTTATAAAACTCACATAAAACAAGTGGCATTTATACCAACAGTAAAAGCATAGATGGCTTAACACATGTTCCATTCACAGGGCCAGAGAAATTTTTAAATAGGTAAGAACATATCATTCGCCCAGTAATTTTTACTATTTTTGTGTGAATTTGCAAAATTTTGAAAAATCAAATACTTTCAGCAACAGTTTGATTTTAACTTCAATTTTAGCTAAATGAAAACACATCAATTATGCTCCACTACCTGATAAAAGTCTGAATGGTCAAAAACCAAAAAAAATTCAGTAGTTACCTAATTATTATTAAGGAACATCTGGCTTTCTAATACAATGAATTGTATAATTATAGTTATAATAATTATCATTTATTGACTACTAGTGTCATACTGTTCTACATTAACTCATTTAATCCTAACAAAACTCTGAGATCACCACTATTATTCTTTTATAAATGAAGAAACTTAGCTGAAGGTCACACAGCTACTAAGAGGTGAAGCTGGTACTCAAACCAGAGGCCATATTCTTACACACCATCTATAACAGAAGTTCGATAACTTGTTTTAACTATCTAAATGTCAGCCTCATTACTCTAATTTACATAAAAGCAGATGAGAAAAAAAACAGCTCACTGAAATGGCAAATAATCAAAAACTTGTTTGCAGACTGATAACGCATTATGTGTTGAAGAGAAGCTGCATATTCCTCTAGTAATAAACTGCTTCGTCTAATATTATTTTTAGATATTCCTTCTGTAGCACTTTATTTTACAATTTTCCTAAGCATTTATACATAATTATGACAAATTTGAAAATCAGAAAAGTAATTATGGTTTTAAAAGTTAATCTACAAGGAAGTAATGATTTCATCTTAAAGCCAGCAATCGTTAACCGCATTTACTGAAAAGCAATGAAAATTTCAAACCACCTAAATATGCAACAGTATATTCCTACAATGGGATTCTATGCAGCCATGAAGAAGTCCAAAAGACTGAGACTGAGAGGGATAAACCTGTTCACAACGTATTAGCTGGAAAAATGATCAATACAAAACAAGATGATCACATATCACACAATACATGGGGGGGGAAATGAAATGACATGAGAATATCAATAACGTGAGTTTTTTCTTTTCTCCTTTTTCATGTCTTCTAAATTATAATAAAACGCTCATTTTCTAAAGGAAAGACTAGCTTTTAAAAGCTACAAAAACACACCTCGTTAAACTAAGCAAACAACTACTTATTGCAGCCAGAGATTTGTCAGGAAAATTATATTCTCTTAGCTCGGGTCTCTTCTCATCCAAAACACTACTAGCAATATCACAAAAATTTAAAAAGCAATGTGAGTGGATCTATTTCCACTTAAAAAACAACACATTCTGCAAAAGTGATAATTCTAGCAATAATACATCATTGCCCTAATAATCCTGTATTACTTTGGGCACTTACAACTGGTTTTCGGCCCATTTTCAAATTCACGTACTGCTCTTGCTCTCAACTTTTAAAATACAATTAAAAACACTTGAACTCGGAACACTTACGTTTCAAGATCTCTTTCCTACTTCTGTACTTTAAAGAAATGAGTATCTTATACAAAAGCAAATATCGAGAGACAACCGCTGAACATGACACACTATTTTCCTAAGTAAACAACCATTTCTTTAACAATCTCTTCGCCTTCAAATTTTGTGAAGCCAAGCGCAAATTATGTAAAGTCTACCAGCAATGACAAAAATAGCGTGTCAACTGGGGCAGGGGTAGCAAGAAAATAATAGACCTACACACAAAGTCCACTTTCACTTGCTGTAATTAATCGCAACCATTTCAAAGTCCCCTTCCATCTTTATCTCGAGTATTTTAACAAACTAGCAAGTGCATCAGTTTGAGTTCGTTTTAATTGAAACATTTAACTATCAGAACGGCTGACAGATACTACAGGACACTAGGCCCCGAATAATCTTATTAATAGATCCAGACCCCCAAGCGGTCTGAAGCTCGCAATAATAAAGAGGATTTAAGATTAACCAAGAAACGGCCGTTAGAGACCCTTTCCGGTCATAGGCACCGGCCGGCAAAATCCGCGGAGGCGAGAGGGGGAGGGGATACGCGGCGGCGGAGGAGGAGCTGAGGAAGGAACTAGGCCCGTCCCTGGCGGACAACCGGGCCTACGAGTAGCTAAACGGCAGGGGGGACCCAAACAGGGGAGAAGGGTGAACATCTTAACTCGGTTCTGAAACAGGGAGTCTTGGGTTACCTCGGAAAAGGCGAAGTTCCTCGAGGGAAAAGGAAGGGAGCGGCTGGGGGGGCGGTTGGGGGGGGCCCGGAAAATGGATCCCAGGCCCAGGCGGGGCCCTAGCGGGGCCTGAGCCGGGGAACGACTGCGTCTCCGAAGAAAGGTGCCAAAGAAGGCTAGGTGAGGGCCTAACGGTCCGTTGGGAGCAGAAGAATCTGGGAGGCGTTTACCTGGAAAGCTCCTGTTGAATTTCCCGGAATTTACTGACCACGAAAGACCTAAAAATCTGCTCGATGTTGGTCGCCATGGCGTCCGCTCCGTTCTCTCAACTCCTCCTCGCTAGTCCTCCAGGCTCCCAGCATGCCTCGGGAGGAGGCGCACGGGCCAATTCGGTCTCTCGCCTTCCTGATTGGCTCCAAAGGGAATGCCCGGTCCGGCCCGCTCCACCGAGGGACCAATCAGTGAGCACGGCCCTGCTCTCCTCTGCTGTTTCTGAGCGGCTGGGGTAGAGGTGCTGACGTTTGCGCCGCGCACGACTATGTCCGCCATGTTAGTGTCTGACGCAGGCGCCATTACAGGAGCCGTCTCTCTTGAGGCGACCGTGTCCGCATAAGTTGTCAGTCCCCAGCAGTGTTTGGGAGCCTTAACAGGCTTGCTAAGTGCCTGAGATTAAAGGCGAAGAGGAAGAAGAGCAAGAAGGGCAACCCGGTGTTTAACACACGGCTTTCAGGCGCTCTCAGGTGGCGCCAAGTTCAGTTTCGACAGGGATATGCATCCGGGAGAGAATTTTTCAGCCCCCGCCCCCACTGGCATGTGAGAGGAGGAACTCGCTGTTGCCCTGTGTCTTCCCCAGTGCGTTCTATAACCAGCCTCATTTTTTTTTTTAGCAATAGGCCGGATGTCCTAAGCGACCGGCATTCAAAGCCCGGTGCATTTTAGTCTCATCAGGAGTCAGGCGTGTCACGAGATTTTTCCGCGGTAGCTGCTCAGCTCTGACTCGTGAGCGGCGCACAATTGGCTAAGAATGGGTTTAGCATTTTGGCGCTCCCCCCCGGCGCTCCTGGAAACACTGCGTGGCACCCCGTACCACTGTCACATTATAAACGTGCTAAGGCTTGGGTGTCTCGGCTGGGGAGCAGTCAGGCAGCGCCCAGGGCGGGAGGGAATCAGACTAGATTCTCGCCGCGGAGACCCAGGGCCGCGCGGACCAATGGGGCAGGGAAGCCGTCGTAGGGCGGGGCAGTGAGGGGCGGTGCCGCGCTGGTCCCGCGCCGGTCCCGGTGGGCCGACTTCCGGCGAGCGGGCAAGCGGGAACCAGGTGGCCACCCGGTGTCGGTGCGTAAACCCCCTCCGCTTTTACACGGAGCGCGCTTAGGCTTTGGTTTGGGGATTTAAGATCGCGAACTGAGTGAAACCATAGAAACTGATTTGTAGAAATTTTCCTGTTGTTTGTAAATGCGGTGGGTGGGGGTTGGCCATGTGCTTT
Organism: Homo sapiens; assembly: GCF_000001405.40. Lineage (NCBI taxonomy): Eukaryota > Metazoa > Chordata > Mammalia > Primates > Hominidae > Homo > Homo sapiens. Next base: position 33,541,913 of record NC_000021.9, on the reverse strand, counting down.
TCACTTGCTACTGTTAGCTGGTTTCTATTTGCTCTTTTACTTTTCCTGTTTTCTAAGATGTCAAGGCCTTTTTGTGTCTTTATACATTTTTAGGACATAACCCTAAATTGGTGTACTTTCTCTTTATGCACCCGTTGTCTCTGGCAGATTACTTGGTTAATTTTGTAGTTGGTTTCTACTTTATTCTCCATATCCTCTGATACGGCTTTATTTGCCTGTCTTATTCTGCTTATGTTACCCATTCTGAGGAATGAGGCCCAAGGTTAGTGAAGTCCCCCAAGGTCTTCCTGCTAGTATGGGGCAGCGTCTCTACCCAGGCCAAGGCGCTGTGTGAGACTCAGGAGCCCAGGCGTCCTCACCACTGGGTAGTAAGGCTATTTTCAGTGATCCACTAGAGTAAACAGAATTTTCCCACACTACTGCTATATTCAAACTAAAGATGTAACATTTGCTCTAGATTTAAAGATCTGTTTATTTCTGGCCGGATGTGATGTAATCCCAGCACTTGGGAGGCCAAGGTGGGTTGACCATTGGAGGTCAGGAGTTCGAGACCAGCCTGGCCAACGTAGTGAAACCCCGTCGCTACTAAAAATACAAAAATTCGCCTGGCGTGGCGGCGCACGCCCGTAATCCCAGCTACTTGGGAGGCTGTGAGGCAAGAGAATCGCTTGAACCCGGGAGGCGGAGGTTGTAGTGAGCTGAGATCACACCACTGCCCTCCAGCCTGGGCGACAGAGAGAGACTGTCTAAACAAATAAATAAATAAATAAAATAAAAAATCTGTTTATTTCAGATACACATGGCAAGTAAAATGTGTTTTCCCGTTACACTAAAGTAGCTGTTCCTTCCGAGACTGTAATTTAACAGGGTTTTTTTTTTTCCTTTCTCAAATTTTCAATGATCATCGTTTCACTTGTTGAGAGAATCTGAAGCAAAATTGCTTCTGTTAGGCTCCACCCCCTCTTACCTGTGTGACCTCCAGCAAGTTATTTACCTATCTGGGCCTCCTTGTCTTATCTGCAAATTGGTGATAGTAATAGTATCTCCCTCATAGGATTCTTTCATGACAAGCATTTTAAATAGTACCCTGCCCAAGGTTAAGTGCTCAAAAAAATGTTAGTTTTGTATATTGTCAGCTTACATTTTTCTTAAAATATGTAATCCCAACATCATCAAAATAAGTTTTCAATTTTCTTTTTCCTGTTACCAGTTTGTCTTGTGGTAAGTAAATGTAACAAGTTAACATTTACTACTGCTGAGTGCCAGATTGTACTTATTTATAAATGTCATTTCAGTTAATCTCCTAGGTTACACTGCTGTTGTATCCATCCTTCTAAGTCTCAGGTGCCAGAACTAAAGTGAAATGAGTTGGAATTTGATTTTTGCCTTCTCTACCAATATTCTAGCATATTGCGCTATTTGAATTAGGAGTCAGCAAACTATGGCCCACATACCAAATCCTTCTGCTGCCTGCTTTTGTACAGCTCACCAAATATGAATGATTGAGAAAAAGAACAGGAAATAAATGAGGTTTTTGTGACATGTGAAAATTTTATGAAATTCAAATTATAGTATCCGTACATAAAGTTTTATTGAAAGCGAGTCACGTTTATTTGTTACAAACCTTTGATGGTTTCCTGCTACTTAAAGTACTGATAGGCAACAGTGATCTCTGACCCACTGCCTGTTTATGGGTCCATTAAATTTTTCTGGACATTGGCACATTGATTCATCTTCGTATTATCTTTGGTTGCTTTCCTGCTAAGGTGGCCGAGTCGAGTAGTTTTGACAGAACTATGTGGCCCTTTTTGTGTAAAGTTTGCTTACCCCAGTTTTCAGTATATCCTTTAATTTATGATAACCTAATTATCTGTAAGATTTCAAGGTTTAAAAATTGATATTTTATAATACATTTTGAGTCTAAAACAAGATTCATTTCATAACTAAGGCATGATGATTATTAAATCTTTTTGAAGTGAAGCCCAGAGAAGGGAGATTATCACATAAGGAGCTGAGAGTCATCGTTTGACTCCTTAACCTAGCTCTCTAGGCCAGCCTGCCTTCTTTTTGAAATACCTCCCTTATGCTTATGACGACAGTCATATTTCTCAAATTATGAATCCCAGTTTTTCAAAAATGAATCATTGGATGAAAATGTCATTTGTATGAGTACAAATGATTACTTAAATTATATTTACAAATCTGGATTTCTTTTTTTTTTTTGAGATGGTCTTGCTCTGTTTCCCAGGCTAGAGTGTAGTGACGTGATCCTGGCTCACTGCGATCTCCTCCTACCAGGTTCAAGCAATTCTCCTGCCTTGGCCTCCTGAGTACCTGGGATTACAGGCACCCGCCACCATGCCTGGCTAATTTTTGTATTTTAGTAGAGATGAGGTTTTGCCATGTTGGCCAAGGCTGGTCTCAAACTCCTGACCTCAAGTGATCCACCTGCCTCGGCCTCCCAAAATGCTGGGGGTACAGGCATGAGCCACTGTGCCCGTCCCTGGGTTTCTAAAATGTGCATCCTAAGATATAAACTGTGGTTTTCTTTCTGCAGGTTTCATTTTCCTTTGGAATTTCTGCTTTACAGACAGAACAATGGCAGCCCGAGTACTTATAATTGGCAGTGGAGGAAGGGAACATACGCTGGCCTGGAAACTTGCACAGTCTCATCATGTCAAACAAGTGTTGGTTGCCCCAGGAAACGCAGGCACTGCCTGCTCTGAAAAGATTTCAAATACCGGTAATCATGTTTTAAAGTGGGGAGTAATAGTTATTATTTGTTATTAATGGTATGCTGTCAACCATATCTGTACTTTATGTTAATAAAGATAGGCTGGGCACAGTGGCTAATGCCTGTAATCCCAGCACTTTGGGAGGCCGAGATATGCGGATCATGAGGTCAGGAGATGGAGACCATCCTGGCTAACATGGTGAAACCCCGTCTTTACTAAAAATACAAAAAATTAGCCGGGCGTGGTGGCGGGTGCCTGTAGTCCCAGCTACTCGGGAGGCTGAGGCAGGAGAATGGCTTGAACCCAGGGGGTGGAGCTTGTAGTAAGCTGACATCATGCCACTGCACTCCAGCCTGGGCGACAGAATGAGACTCCATCTCAAAATAAAATAAAATATAGACTACTATTCAGGGTTGAGTGCTTTCCTTGACCTTAAAATTTATTTGGTAATTTGAATGCTTGCCAATATGTTATAAACTTAAGGTAACCTATTGTTCAGAATATGGCATTTCCTTATCTTAAACTGTTTTAAACCTGATAAAACACATCCATTGGAAAAGTAGTAAGTGCCTAATACAGATTAAAGGCATTTTGTTGTGTATTTTTGTAAATGGAAAGTTTAGTATTGCTATTAAATACAACTTGCGGCCACGTGCAGTGGCTCACGCTTACAATCCCAGCACTTTGGGAAGCCAAGGCAGAAGGATCTCTTGAGCCCAGCAGTTTGAGACTAGCCAGGGCAATGTAGTGAGACCCGATCTCTACAAAAAAAAAATACAAAAATTAGCCAGGCATGGTGGTGCACATCTGTAGTGCCAGCTACTTGGGCAACAGAGTAAGATGAGAACCTGTCTCACAAAACAAAGTTTTTAACAGTTGTTACTCTAATAGATCTCAACCCTTATCTCTCTCTGACTTTTTTTTTTTTTTTTTTTTTGAGACAGAGTCTCACTCTCACCCATACTGGAGTGCAGTAGCGTGATCTCAGCTCACTGCAACCTCTGGCTCCTGAGTTAAAGCGATTCTTCTGCCTCAGCCTCCCGAGTAGCTGGTACTACAGGTGCATGCCGCCACACCCAGCTAATTTTTTGTTTTTTTAGTAGAGACCGGGTTTCACTATGTTGGTCAGGCTGGTCTCAAACTCCTGACCTCAGGTGATCTGCCCGCCTCAGCCTCCCAAAGTGCTGGGATTACAGGCATGAGCCACCGTGCCCAGCCTCCACCCTTATCTCTCAATTGGCAAAAATGAAAAAATGGTCAGTTCATATACTACATTAAGCTTGTCAGTGGCTTCAGAAACTCCTCAGTATTCTAATAATACTCAGAATAAAACTCAAATTCCTTACCATGCCTTTCAAAGCCCTTTGTGCAGTCTGTCTTCTGCCTGCTCTTCCAGCCTGATCTTTTATATCCCTTTTTCTCTTTTCACTATACCCTATCCATGCTGTCCTACCAATTTCCCAAGCAGAAGCTTGCTGCTTTGGACTTTATATTTGTTCCCACCCCTTACTATGACTGTCTCCTCATTATTCAGAGCTCCACTTAAATGTTAGCCTCCTTAATTATATCTCTCCTACAGTTTCTTACTAAAAGCAAGTGTCCATCCCCATTTCATTTGTTTATGATCATGAATGTCTGTGTTTATTTTTACTTCACTATTGTCTGTCTTCTATGTTCTTTTCCTCCACTAGAATATAATCTCTAGTAGAATGTAAGCTCCATGAGGGCAAGGAACTTGTCTGTCTTGTTTTGCATGGTGTGCACAGTGCTTAGTTCCCTATGTGGCACATAATATTTATGGAAAGAAGAGCATGGACCCAACAAGCCACAAACTGGGAGAAGATAGTGGCATGTATATAAGACCAAAAGGAATAATACAAATTAGCAAATACCTCCTTTTCTGGGATCTTAATTCTACGGGTGAGATATTTGTTTATTAGAGAACTAGGACAGTTTATCTGCGATTGAGGTCATACAGGCAAGCCCATCAAAATCTCTTAAGATCATCATGAGACTACTACAAGTAGTCTTGTAAGACTACTAAAGAGACCTCTTCCTCTTGTTGCCCTCTGCTATACTGATATAGTTGACGCTGCTCAGCCTAGTTGTGTTCAGAACCACTAACCCACAGTGCGTGGTACTCCATCCTAATCACATTCAGGCAGTTGCTGCAGATTGAGGACCCTACCTTTTCTGGACTTGGACCCTATACAGTAGTCACCAGCCTATCCACAATTTTACTTTCCACAGTTTCAGTTACCCACAGTCAGCTGTAGTCCAAAATATTAAATGGAAAATTTCAGAAATAATTCATAAATTTTACATTGCACACCAGTCTAGCATAGCATGATGAAATTTTGTGCCGTCCAACCTGAGACGTGAATCTTTTTGTCCAGCATATCCATGTTGTTACTTACTAGCCCTGTTGGTTATCAGATTGACTATCATATTATCTCAGTGCATGTGTTCAGGTAACCCTGTTTTACTTAATAATGGCCCCAAAGCTGATGCTGGCATATAGTTATAATTGTTCTATTTTAGTATTAGTGATAGTTAATCTCTTACTGTGCCTAATTTGTAAATTAAACTTTATCATAGGTGTTTATGTATAGGAAAAAACATACTATATATATAGCGTTCAGCACTGTGGTTTCAGGCATCCACTAGGGATCTTAGAATGTGTCCTCTAAGGATAAAGAGGGACAACTGTACATCACAAATATCACTTCTTGTACTCTGTACCAATGGCAGAGTGATTGCACACTTCAGCTGACTTAACGAATGGTGGTCCAGGCACAGTGAAGCAGGAGAGCCCCTATGGAGCCAAACCATGTTCAGTATGTGGTTGATCCTACCACTAGTTACTTAGAACTCCACAGAAGAAAATTTACCTGACTTGCAGGTTGGAGAAGACAGGTTCCTCTTAAAAGCGTCATTGAGTTCTTAACTTAAACAGCTCTGCCCCAAAGAGATCCCTCCTGACCCAACCCAAAATAGCCTCTCAATTCACTTCATATCAAATTTGCTTAATTTGTTCATATTTGCTGTTTTTTTGTTTGTATGTTTATTACCCAGCGTTCCTACAGCGTATTGTAAACATGTTAAGTATAGGGACCCTGCTTGTGTTGATAAATTTTTTTTTTTTTGAGACAGAGTTTCGTTCTTGTTATCTACCCAGGCTGGAGTGCAGTGGTGCGATCTTGGCTCACTGCAACCTCCGCCTCCCCAGTTCAAGCGATTCTCCTGTCTCAGCCTCCTGAGTAGTTGGGATTACAGGTGCATGCCCCCACACCCAGCTACTTTTTGTATTTTTAGTAGAGACGGGGTTTCATCATATTGTTCAGGCTGGTCTCGAACTCCTGACCTTAGGTGATCCACCCACCTCGGCCTCCCAAAGTGCTGGGATTACAGGCGTGAGCCACCGCGCCCCGCCGTGTTGACATCTTAATACCAGTGCTGAGGACAGTACTTAGCACATAGTGGATTTTCAGTACAATTGATTGATTGACATTAAAAGACCAATTTCTGAGTATATCTTACGTTTTTTGTTTAATATACAGTCAATATTAGTGACGTGAACAATATCATGGAGGTGATACTTTATGGCTCTTTGGGAAGTTTATTGGTGTTTTCATCTGTCTACAATGATAACGGAGAACTGAGCTCTGTTGGTTAGCCTAATGCACTCTCCTCTGAATTTCACATGTTGAAACTGTCATCTCTGCCAATATAAGAAAACCAACAGATAACAAGCATACTAAAGTATAGAACTTAGTTTTTTTAGTGAGACACTTAGTTTACTTAAGTGGAATGTTTTTGTAAATGCAGTGGTTTTTTTTTTTTTTTTTCTGTTTACAGCCATCTCAATCAGTGACCACACTGCCCTTGCTCAATTCTGCAAAGAGAAGAAAATTGAATTTGTAGTTGTTGGACCAGAAGCACCTCTGGCTGCTGGTAAAGTTTGTTTCTGTTTATTGTTACAGTATATTCAGTGCAAACAGAAGCTTAGGGATCATCTAATCCAATTCATTTTACAGATGAGAATTTGTAATATTATCTTGGAAAAAGAGCTTCCACTCTCGAAATTTATGGAGTCTAGATTTTTTTTCCCAAGCATCAGTTATATGATGAGTTAGAGATCAAATTTGCAGCCATGGAAAACATTTTATATGTCTTTATTCTGCTGTATTCTGGTGTGTGTTTAATAATCCATATATGCAAATATAACAACTTTTGATAGATTTGAATAACATGTTAATAGCATTTTATCTCTATCCAGTAGACAACATGAAAAAGTTAGTTATCCTCTGCCACCAGTCATCTGCCTTGTCTAGATGTAGATATAGTCTGATACTAATTCGTCTTCAGGCTGAAAAGCCCCTGGGGAGACCTTGGTTCACCTAAGGCTACTGTTTTCATCAATAGGGATTGTTGGGAACCTGAGGTCTGCAGGAGTGCAATGCTTTGGCCCAACAGCAGAAGCGGCTCAGTTAGAGTCCAGCAAAAGGTTTGCCAAAGAGTTTATGGACAGACATGGAATCCCAACCGCACAATGGAAGGCTTTCACCAAACCTGAAGAAGCCTGCAGCTTCATTTTGAGGTAGGTAAATGGTTGTCTGTGAAGGACAGTTGTTTAGTTTTGATATTTAAATACACAGGTCAGTGGCCAGGCACAGTAGCTCACCTGTAATCCCAGCACTTTGGGAGGCCAAGGCAGGTGAATCACTTGAGCTCAGGAGTTAGAGACCAGCCTGGGTACCATGGTAAAACCCTGTCTCTACAAAAAATACAGAAAAAAAAAAGCCGGGCATGATGGTGTGCACCTGTAGTCCCAGCTCCTCTAAAGGCCAAGGTGGGAGGATCACTTGAACCCAGGAGGCGGAGGCTGCACTGAGCCAAGATTGTGCCACTGCACTGCAGCCTGGGTGACAGAGTGAGACCCTGTCTCAAAAAAATTAAATAAATATACAGGTCACTTCTGTGTTGAAAATGTAATGCTAGGTCTTTAGGCTGTCTCAAGATGTAGTAAGATAATTAAGGAAAAAACTTTCTCAATAAATATTATGTGGGTTGTCGTTTTCCAGAACCAAAATAAAATGGGATCCTATGCATACAGAGTTTATATGATCTTGTGGCCTTGCAGGAAGATGACATTTTTAATAAAATCTGAGTAGTTCCTCAGGGGAAAAATACACTTGGTTCTGCAGTTGTGCGCTCTTCACAGCCATGTTTTTGGTTTTTGGTTCCCCGCCCCCCACCACCACCCCCCAACCTGAGACGGGGCCTCTCTCTGTCACCCAGGCTGGAGTGCAGTGGCGTGATCTTGGCTCACAGCAGCCTCTGCTTCCTGGACTCAAGTGATCCTCCCACCTCAGCCTCCCAAGTAGCTGGGACAATAGGCACACACCACTACTCCCAGCTAGTTTTTATATTTTTTGTAGAGACGGAGTTTTACCATGTTTCCCAGGCCGGTCTCAAACTCTTAAGCTCAAGAGATCCGCCTCTCTCTGCCTCCCAAAGTGCTGGGATTACAGGCATGAGCCGTAACACTAGGCCTCACGGTCAGATTGACAAACGCAGTGGCATCTTACAACATAAAGAACATTGATTTTTTTTGTCATAAATAATTAACCAGAGTGAGTAATCATCACTTGGTCATCTGCCACCACTATTGCCATTTTATTTTATTTATTTATTTATTTATTTTTATTTTTATTTATTTATTTATTTTTTTTTTTTTGAGTCTCGTTCTTTCACCCAGGCCGGACTGCAGTGGCGCTATCTCTATCTCGGCTCACTGCAAGCTCCGCCTCCCAGGTTCATGCCATTCTGCTGCTTCAGCCTCCCGAGTAGCTGGGAATACAGGCGCCCACCACCACTCCAGGCTAATTTTTTGTATTTTTAGAAGAGACGGGGTTTCACTGTGTTAGCCAGGATGGTCTCGATCTCCTGACCTCGTGATCCGCCCGCCTCGGCCTCCCAAAGTGCTGGGATTACAGGCGTGAGCCACCGCGCCTGGCCACTATTGCAATTTTAAATTTCAAAATTAAACATCCTTTGTTCTCTATTATGTGGAAAGCATTGAGCAATTAATGAGTGTTAGTAGACACATGCATTTGCCCTTTTTTTGTTGGCACTTCTGCTTCCTGGTTATGTTTTCCTTTCAGTTGTGTCAGTTTCATTTTTTTTTCATTCATATCCTAAAGAGTTTCTTAAACACTGAATATTATTATTTCCTAGCAGCCAGATGCCTTGAGCAAGTAACAGTTTTGTTACTTACTTTGGGTAAGTCTCCTTCCAGACCCCCAGGCCCACTTGATAATTTCATATGTGTACTCCCAGAAATGGTCTGTGTATGCTTACTGTTGTTATACAGCCGCATTTTCTACCTGAATGAGAGTACTATTTGCTACTTTGTATCTTAGAGATTATGCCATATCTACTCTATACATCTACTTATTCTTCCAAAGATATTGCCTATGTAATCTCATGATAAATGAAAAAAGCAAAATTGTAGGTACTGTATGATTGGAACTACAAAGGAATACGTAGGGGAAAAAATCCTGGTGGGAAGTACATCAAAATGTGTTGGAATGATAATTAATTTTTTTCTTTCTGCTTTTCAGTCATTGCTATAGCATATCGTTACAAAATCCCACAGCATTTTAAAATCTTGAGTTGTAATGGTTTATTGGATGTTGACGATTACTCTGTCTTTACAGTGCAGACTTCCCTGCTTTGGTTGTGAAGGCCAGTGGTCTTGCAGCTGGAAAAGGGGTGATTGTTGCAAAGAGCAAAGAAGAGGCCTGCAAAGCTGTACAAGAGATCATGCAGGTAGGCTGGGTCTTCTGAAAAAATTTACTTTTCTATTCATACTGAATAAATACCGTTTTAAGTTTAAAAAATGTTCCTCACAATAAGGAAAATCTATTTTGCAAACATATGGGTAAGTTATTTTTTATAATCCCATGTATTATAATCCATCTCTATAAAATAGTTATGGATTTACACTGTAAATTAAACCATGATTGTATTATTTTGAAGTAAATTGTAACATCCTTTGTTGTCTGCCACTGAAAGAAAATCCTCAGACTCTAGAACATATAAATAAATTATCAAGCCATCCATGAGGACAAAAGTATTTGTCCCACATGTCCCGGGTCTAAGAGAAGTAAATTAATGAATGAATATGCCTTGTCTTTCGTGATCGATCTTTGTTGTTGTGGGTTTTCTGTCCTTGTAGAAGTCTACTTTCACAAGCATGCTTTAGTATAGTTATTACAGCCAAACATGTATAATTATAATCGGAAGTAAGGATTAAGTGGCGATAATGAAAACATCTGTTTTTCCCATACCTTATTTGAAACTGGATCACCAAATCTTCAGGAGAATATTAGAGGTGTGTTTATTCCGTCTGTACCAGTGTTAGCTACACTATTGCCACATTAAAAATAGGAAACATTTATATGTTCCCTTTGAGTCTTTCTGAAAGGGAAAGAAAAATTACAGTACTCACTGGTTCATAATACAAATGCTGGATAATGCTAAAAGTCAACTAAGTATCAAAAACTTACCAAGCCTCTTTTTTTAAAAAAAAAAAAAAAAAAAATCTTACAATCAGGAGAAAGCCTTTGGGGCAGCTGGAGAAACAATTGTCATTGAAGAACTTCTTGACGGAGAAGAGGTGTCGGTATGTATATTCATCTTTTTGGCTTTTGTAGTGTATAAGAAGCTGTCATCTGACCTGTGTACCCCAGAAAAGACTTGATATACTCTGGTTGCTTCATCTAAAAACATAAACCCAGCAGTTACAAAGGAATTTGTATACTTTTATTGTTGGGGGTGCAAATGAAAAAATAATCGATCCTCTGTTAGTCATCCCTAGTGTGTTAGTGGGGGCACTTGGACTTACACACTATTGAGGTTCTGGATTAATTCAAGCATTCATGCTTTTTCTTTCATATACAGTTTATTGCACAATAAATAAAGTCACCTTAAACCAAGTTTTAATGCCTGGAAGCTTAAAGTGGGGGAAAGGTTGAAATCTTTTACTTTGAGAGTAGCTTGATTTTTTCTGACTTCCCTCAAAAATTACAAATCCTTCAGAAGTTGAGTACATTATGATTCTTGATGTATGTAGCTTAATGTTATTGACGTTTCGGTTCATTTCTCTGCAAAAAAAAAAACAAACTTTTCCTCAAAGAAGAATTAAGGGACATATAGTTTGCCTCACTAAATTTTTTTTTTTAGTTTTTGACAGTTAACATAAATGGACTATTTTGTTTTCTTTATAGTGTCTGTGTTTCACTGATGGCAAGACTGTGGCCCCCATGCCCCCAGCACAGGACCATAAGCGATTACTGGAGGGAGATGGTGGCCCTAACACAGGGGGAATGGGAGCCTATTGTCCAGCCCCTCAGGTACTTCCCGAAGACTCTGCTGAAGTCTTGTAGTAGTTTGGTTTTCTCAGAGAACTCTTAGATGATACTTTCTATTTTGTTTTGTTTTCTGTTTGTTTGTTGCTATGAATTATGTTACTAATCAGCAATTAAATGAGGAGTATCTTTTCTGGTCTCTAAAACTAACTTTTCCTAAAAGCCTTTTTTGAAGAACTAAAATAAGCCAATCTAAAGTATAGTATGGGTTGAATAGATCCTCCTATTCCCTCCTCTCTGCAGCCAATTTTTAACACATGGGAGCCTGTCGTGGTCTTGGATTCATCTTTGGATATCCGTGGTTCAGCACAAAAGTGTTGTCTGTGTGTATCTGTGTGTGTGTGTGATATGAATTGAGAACCAAGTCACATCAGAATTTCTAGTGTGCGTGTGATATGAATTGAGAACCAAGTCAGATCAGAATTTCTTGTGTGTGTGTGATATGAATTGAGAACCAAGTCAGATCAGAATTTGTTCTGATCTTTCTACTTCATAACAGACAACACGTTTCCAAACAATTTCGGCACAGTTTTTGTTTTTGTTGTTGTTTTTTGAGACGGAGTCTCGCTCTGTTACCAGGCTGGGGTGCAGTGGCACGATCTTGGCTCACTACATCCTCCACCTCCTGGGTTCAAGTGATTCTCCTGCCTCAGCCTCACAAGTAGCTGGGACTACAGGCACAGGCCACCACGCCAGGCTAATTTTTGTATTTTTAGTAGAGATGGGGTTTCACCATGTTGGCCAGTATGGTCTGGATCTCTTGACCCGTGATCTGCCCACCTCGGCCTCCCAAAGTGCTGGGATTACAGGCGTGAGCTACCATGCCTGGCCTTCTGCACAGTTTTTTTTAGGAATTTGTGCTGTTGGCATATAAGTAGGTTAACAATCCGAAAACTCACCTATTCTTTTCATTGAAGATAGTCATAATGTTTGTGCTAATGTAGTGCCCCTTTACATATTTTTCTTGCTTAAAAGATTAAAAATAGGCCAGGCGCAGTGGCTCATGCCTGTAATCCCAGCACTTTGGGAGGCCGAGGCAGGTGGATAACCTGAGGTCGGGAGTTTGAGACCAGCCTGGCCAACATGGAGAAACCCCGTCTCTACTGAAAATACAAAAATTAGCTGGGCGCGATGGCACATGCCTGTAGTCCCAGTCCCAGCTACTTGGGAAGCTAAGGTAAGAGAATCACTTGAACCCGGGAGGCGGAGGTTGTGGTGAGCCAAGATTGCGCCATTGCACTCCAGCCTGGACAACAAAAGTGAAACTTCACCTCAAAAAAAAAAAAAAAAAAAGATTAAACATAAACTTCATTTTTTTTAAAAGACTTCATAAGTGTAGGCCAGGCACAGTGGTTCACACCTGTAATCCAAACACTTGTATTAAAACTACCATTTGGTAATAGTGTATTCTAAGAACTATATCTGGGTCTAATTTTTACAATTAAATTCATAAACCCAGAATCTTACATATATAGACTTATGAAATATGCAGCGTATACTGGGAAGAGTACAAAGAAGCCTTAGGGTAGGAGAGAACTTGTTTCATTTCTATTACGTTTCGGGAAGTTATTTTTGGCTAGTTCTTTTAAGAGTGTATTTTTTGAAAATCATAAAGCTAAAATACCTACTTGACAGAGTCATTGTGAGGATTGAGAAAGTTTAAATCTTTCAAGTTCAAAGTGTTCAGCATGTTTCAGGTAGTAAAAAAATGAGTTATCCTCATCATCCCCTTCTGTTGTCCCATGTAATACTACTTAGACTTTTTAAGTTACCTGTTACATTTAACTGTTTCTGCACGTTCTCCAGGTTTCTAATGATCTATTACTAAAAATTAAAGATACTGTTCTTCAGAGGACAGTGGATGGCATGCAGCAAGAGGGTACTCCATATACAGGTAGGCCCACCCACATTACTATGGAAGCCACCTATAGAGTAACTTTCTACTTTTGATAAAACTTATTTTCCATTCCCTTTTTTTTTTTTTTTTACCACTTTTTAATGGACCATTTTTTAAATGTTTATGATTTTTCCAAAACTTTGATTATTAGAAGTTTATGTAGTAGATTTTATATTTGTAATACAGTGTCTTCATCATAGATTTTCTTTCTCTCTTTTTTTTTTTTTTCTTTTTTAATGAAGGTATTCTCTATGCTGGAATAATGCTGACCAAGAATGGCCCAAAAGTTCTAGAGTTTAATTGCCGTTTTGGTGATCCAGAGTGCCAAGTGGGTAAAAATATCAAAGTATTACTTGGTAGAAGATATGTGGTATTTTAATCTTGGAATTTATCAGCCTGGAAGTAATTACCTTTGGGAAATTCATGCAAGTTCTGCTAGTACACCAGTGAATAAAATGTTTAAGGAAAACTAAAATTTATCCCACCTGCCATGTGGATTATGTTTTTCCAGGTAATCCTCCCACTTCTTAAAAGTGATCTTTATGAAGTGATTCAGTCCACCTTAGATGGACTGCTCTGCACATCTCTGCCTGTTTGGCTAGAAAACCACACCGCCCTAACTGTTGTCATGGCAAGTAAAGGTTATCCTGGAGACTACACCAAGGGTGTAGAGATAACAGGTGAGTGTCAGGGAGCAAGAGGTTGGAGTACAACGTGACAAGTGCCAGCACCACAGCAGACCCCCCTCTCACACTAAGGCTTGCTCTCGATAAGAGTGTGAAGCCATCAGAAACCTTTCAGAGGGTCTTAACCATGTTGCTTATTGGATATGTGTGTTCAAATATCCGCAATTACTGTATTCAGAGAACCGTTGATTTCCCTTCCTGTGCAAGGAAGACATAAGTGGCAGAACCACATCTCCCGAGTGTCACCCAGTGCAGCCTTCCACTTCCACCTGCCTAGAGCCAGGGTAATAATGAGATTCTCTGAGAGTCAGAGGAACATTAGTACAAAGTATATCAATAAGATATATTTTAGAGGTGAGGACTCTGAATTATCACAAATGCATACAGTTTTGTGTGGTTTGACCCCCAGTTTACAGTGCACCCCATAGTCACTTGGATGGCAAAATTCAAACAGTTTCAAAGTTTATCCTTCTCTTTTTTTTCTCTCTCTCTTTATATAAAGTAGGTGAAACATCTCGTTAAATGATGTTAAATCTAAGTTCCAGTGCCGTAAGTCCAAAGGCAGACCTCTGTGACCCCTAGCAGCCTATAGTTTGGCCACTCTCCGTGCTCCAGTAGTGTATTTGGGGGGTTTCCTTTTTTTTTCGAGATAGACTCTAGCTCTGTCACCCAGGCTGGATTGCAGTGGCACGATCTCGGCTCACTGTAACCTCCTCCTGGGTTCAAGCGATTCTTCTGACTCAGCCTCCCAAGTAACTGGATTACAGGTGTATGCTACCAGGCCCAGCTAATTTCTGTATTTTTAGTAGAGATGGGGTTTCACCATGTTGGCCCGGCTGGTCTCGAACTCCTGACCTCAAGTGATCCGCCTACCTCATCCTCCTCAAGTATTGGGATTACAGGTCTGAGCCACCATGCCCAGCCTCCAGTAGTGTATTTAATTCAACAACCCCATAAACTGTCTTGCCCAGACACCAAGTCCATTGCCTTATGAATCCCACGCATGGCAGCTAGGCAGGCAGTTAAGAATTGATTCCTTTTGAATATGGACAAAGAAAGAAATGGGCCAGAACCAAGATCCCTTGCATTGGTAAAATTTCCCTAAGATTGAAGTAACAAGTGTATAATAGTTCTGCCAGAGCAATATTGAGTTTTACCAGTACTGGCAGGCAGAGTAGCCATTCAGAATCACTAAATGGCTTTGTGTTGTAAAAACACTCAGGGAAGATGTATATTAACAAACTACCAAATAGGATGCTAACAAAAGAAATAGAGACGGAAAAAGAAGACCACCAGGAGATGAAAGAATGGTTTTCTAAAAATTAAGAAAAAGTGTTATCTTTACATAAACTGTCCCCTTTGGTCACTTTAGAATTTAGAATATATAGTCTAATAATGTTTTAACTATAAAGCTGTATCTGAGAGTTTAAAAATAATTCAAAATACAGTGAAGGGGCAGGAATTTGGGGCTGACCCCAAAACTTAATTTAAGCCAAGTTTGTCTTAAAATCATACAAGTGTTATAATAGTGAAAAGATTACTTATGTTTTGCATTGTACTGATCATATTGGTTATACTGAAAAGAAAGAAACTTAAGTCTCATGATCTGGTTAAAAAAAAAAAATCGAAAAAGAAAAAAAGAAGCAGCTTTAATTGAATAACTGTGATGAAAAGAAGTTCCTTTACAGGCCAGGCACGGTGGCTCACACCTGTAATCCTAACACTTGGGGAGGCCGAAGCGGGCAGATCACTTGAGGTCAGGAGTTCGAGACCAGCCTGGCCAACATGGTGAAACCCCGTCTCCACTAAAAATACAAAAACAATTAGCCAAATGTGGTGGTGCATGCCTATAATCCTAGCTACTCAGGAGGCTGAGGTGGCAGGATGGCTTGAACCCAGGAGGTAGAGGTTGCAGTGAGCCGAGGTCGCACAACTGCACACTCCAGCCTAGGTGACAGAGCAAGACTCTGTCCCAAAAAGAAAAGGAAGTTCCCGGCTGGGCGCAGTGGCTCATGACTAATCCCAGCACTTTGGGAGGCCCAGGCAGGCAGATCGCAAGGTCAGGAGATCGAGACCATCCTGGCTAACACGGTGAAACCCTGTCTCTACTAAAAATACAAAAAATTAGCCGGGCATGGTGGTGGGCACCTGTAGTCCCAGCTACTCAGGAGGCTGAGGCAGGAGAATGGCGTGAACCTGGGAGGAGGAGCTTGCAGTGAGCCAAGATTGCACCACTGCACACCAGCCTGGGCGACAGAGCGAGACTCTGTCTCAAAAAAAAAAAAAAAAAAGGAAGTTCCCTTACTCTTAAGGAAAAGATTAATGTGATCAGATGCAGGATTTTTGTTTCTTTCCTCATTAAACAATTGCTTTTATAATGAGATTTACGATAACACAAGAATTTAGGTTGTCATCCTAAAATAGCAGACAGTTCTTAGGAGAAAGGTCTAATTACTATTACATTGCATTAAAACCTATCTGGGAGGCCAAGGCGGGCAGATCAGGAGGTCAAGACCATCCTGGCCAACATTTTCAAACCCCGTCTCTACTAAAAATACAAAAATTAGCTGGGTGTGGTGGCACATTCCTGTAGTCCCAGCTACTCCTGAGGTTGAGGCAAGAGAATTGCTTGAACCCAGGAGGCAGAGGTTGCAGTGAGCGGAGATCACACCACTACTAGCTTGGCAACAGAGTGAGACTCCGTCTCAAAAAATAAAAGAAGACCTGTCTGATAGGGAAGGTTCTTTTAAGTGAGAGAAAGATCTTTAATTTTTATGTATTTATTTATTTGGAGACAGGGTCTCTGTTGCTGGGTTTGGAGCAGTGGTGCGATCACACCTCACTGCAGCCTCAAACTCCCAAATTCAAGTGATCCTCCCACCTCAGCTGGTGTGTGCCGCCACACTTGGCTATTATTATTTATTTATTTATTTATTTATGTAGAGGCGAGGTCTTGCTCTGTTGCCCAGGCTGGTCTCGAACTCATGGACTCAAGCAGTCCTTGCCTCAGCCTCCCAAAGTGCTGGAATTATAAGCATGAGCCACCGCACCTAGCCAAGTTAAAAAAAAAAAAAAAGAAACTTGTGGAAATCGTAAATCACTTCACGGTGTGAAATACTGTTGCTATTTGAAATCATATGTCAAATATGCTCTCTTCTAGGGTTTCCTGAGGCTCAAGCTCTAGGACTGGAGGTGTTCCATGCAGGCACTGCCCTCAAAAATGGCAAAGTAGTAACTCATGGGGGTAGAGTTCTTGCAGTCACAGCCATCCGGGAAAATCTCATATCAGCCCTTGAGGAAGCCAAGAAAGGACTAGCTGCTATAAAGTTTGAGGGAGCAATTTATAGGAAAGACGTCGGCTTTCGTGCCATAGCTTTCCTCCAGCAGCCCAGGTAAAACTCTAAGCAAGTTAGCTGTAGTGCCATTTCAGAAACTGGCCTAAATGGCTATGTAGAACATTTCATTAACCCTATAAGTCATTCAGTATTCTTTTCTCTCTGTGGGAGTGATACAGTCTTGGTTTGTATTTTGTTTGAATCAAAACTGGTTATAGCAATACTCAAATGGAAAAAACTTCATGATAGCGTAAGTTTGGAAAGTTTAGCAAAATCACAGTGGTACTGATTTTTATTTGTTTTCTATTTTTTTTATTTTATATTTTTAATTTTTTTAACAGGGTCTTCCTCTCTCGCCCAAGTTCTCATGCCTCAGCCTCCCAAATAGCTGGGACTACAGGCACAGGCCACCACACCTGGCTAATTTTTTTGTATTTTTTGTGGAGATGGGGTTTCACCATGTTGCCAAGGCCAGTCTGAAATCCTGGGCTCAAGTGATCCTCCTGCTTTGGCCTCCCAAAATGCTGGGATTATAGGCATGAGCCGCTGCACTTGGCCTGATACTGATTTTTATTCCTTGCGTTATCACATAGTGTTGTATTTGAAACATAGTTCATGGTTTTATCAAAGAACTGAAGATGAGAATACTGGTCATCTAACTTTGTAATTTGATTTGATTATACTGTAAAGTTTGACAGTCTCATTTTATCACTGCGTTTGTATCTATTACTAAAATGTATTTTTTGACCTCTTACTGATTCATTGTTGGTATGTACAAACTGTTGACTTGTAAAATCAATAAAGTCTTAGTTGGAAATGTGGGTGTTTTGATTTCTTTTTTTTTTTTTTTTTTTTTTTGAGACAGAATTTTGCTCTTGTCGCCCAGGCTGGAGTGCAGTGGCATGATCTCGCCTCACTGCAACCTCCACCTCCCGGGTTCAAGTGATTCCCCTTCCTCAGCCTCCTGAGTAGCTGGGATTACAGGTGCCTGCCACCGTGCCCAGCTAATTTTTGTGTTTTTGGTAGACATGGGGTTTCACCATGTTGGCCGGGCTGGTCTCGAACTCCTGACCTCAGGTGATCTGCCTGCCTCAGCCTCACCAAGTACTGGGATTACAGGCGTGAGCCACCGTGCCCGGCCTGATTTCTTAAAAATATATCACATTTGCTATTGTTCGTGAAGTTCATTTACGGATAATGAATAAATTTTAAGAC
Source organism: Homo sapiens (assembly GCF_000001405.40). Lineage (NCBI taxonomy): Eukaryota > Metazoa > Chordata > Mammalia > Primates > Hominidae > Homo > Homo sapiens. The sequence goes on along the minus strand of NC_000021.9, from coordinate 33,523,610 downwards.
AAAATTTTTTTACCAACGTAATTCAAGCTATACTGTTACCAAGAGGCAGGTTTTTTTAAAGTTTAAACACAGATTTTCCAAGAATCAAGAACATCAAAATACCAGGCTAAAAATTTATTTTTCATTTAAAAATGACTAGATTCCATTGAAATGACCTATTTCAAGGGACTGCAATCTCAATTCTAGTCTGAATTATTTAAGTTATAAAGATGAAAAAATGGAAATGCCACAGTGTTAGTTGCTACTGGAGAAAAGGTTTTTTAACATCAGTCTTTGTTTTCTATCTGAGAGTGACCCAGAGCTGCTGGCTTTATTTGAGTTAACTGCCAATGCACTCAACTGTATTCTGGCAGCTTTTTTGTTTTTTGTTTTTGTATGCTTTTTTTAAAGACACTTCTATAAAAACACATATTTCTTCATGTATCACTGCATCCCAGCAGGCCAGAGTTCTCATTTTTGCAAGTCAAGACTACAAAATCTGCAGTGTCATTCAAAAATTTGATCTCTAAATGTACTGCTCCGACTTGTGGGTCCTATACAGAAGGAAATGATGCACTGAGTATCTTTACCTGGTTTTGCTTTTGTCATAGTGTTTACTGTCCTCAGCTATTAGGAAACAGATACAGTTATATATTACTGAAATTAAGAACTCAGTTTAATTATTTAGGGATACTTGTGTACGGTTTTTACAAATCTAATTTTCACTTTTTTGACTTGATTAGGCATTCCTCTCTTGTTCATACCAAAATTGAACTGAGAAAAGTTGCAGCAAAATGTCAGTATATCTACTTTTAAACAGATGGTTGCCAGGGTCTGGGGTAGTGGGGAATGGGGAGTTATTTAACTGGGACAGACGTTCAGTTTTACAAGATAAAGGATTATGGAGATGGATGATGGTGCCGGGTGCACAGCATTATAATTGTATTCAATACTATTGAACTGTTCACTTAAAAATGGTTAAGATGCTGAATTTTATGTTGTGTATATTCTACCTTAATAAAAAATCATTTAAAAGAATCAGTATATTTAGCAGCCTGTGAGAAGTACTTGTAGAAGAAATAGGTGATTGAGTTAGAATAGCGGTTCTCAGGGATGATGTAATCAAGTCAACTGGGGAGATGGTTCAAACTCATTTCAATTCCCAGAGCCTGCCCTAGACCAGTTAAATCAGAATCTGTATAGATGTGGCCCAGGCACTGACTTTAAAAAAATTTAAGCACTTTAGGGTATGTGAAAATCACTTGGGATATCTTCTGCTTTAAATAATATTTTAAGATTAAAATAATTTTCCCTGACGTTTAGGTGATGACTTGTTTTTAATTCTTTAGGAGTTTGACTTACAAGGAATCTGGAGTAGATATCGCAGCTGGAAATATGCTGGTCAAGAAAATTCAGCCTTTAGCAAAAGCCACTTCCAGATCAGGTCAGTGATCCTATACTTTGCTAATTCATTAACTTTGATATACATTGTGAATGGATTTGGGTTTTATATTTAACAGGAATATTTTCCAAAGCAATGCTTGGTTACTGTAAGTTTTGCCCTGCTTAAGCCAAACCCAGTCTTCTGCTTTCTTTTCTTTAATATTAAAGTATTTCTCATCTGTCATGTTAAACTCAAAAGGATATGTATGCTCCTTTACTTTTTTTTTTTTTTTTTTTGAGACAAGAGTCTTGCCCAGGCTGGAGTGCAATGGCACCATCTCGGCTCACTGCAACCTCTGCATCCTGATTTCAAGCGATTCTCCTGCCTCAGTCTCCCAAGTAATTGGGATTATAGGCACCCACCATCATGCCTGGCTAATTTTTGTATTTTTGTAGAGACATGATTTCACCATGTTGGCCAAGCTGGTCTTGAACTCCTGACCTCAGGCAATCTGCCCACCTCAGCCTCCCAAAGTGCTGGGATTATAGGCATGAGCCACCATGTCTGGCTGGTCCTTTAGTATTTAATTACTTCCTTTTTTTTTTTTTTTTTTTTTGAGACAAAGTCTGGCTCTGTCGCCCAGGCTGGAGTGCAGTGGTGCCATTTCGGCTAGCTGCAAGCTCTGCCTCCTGCATTCACGCCATTCTCCTGCCTCAGCCTCCCGAGTAGCTGGGACTACAGGTGCCCGCCACCACGCCCAGCTAATTTTTTTGTATTTTTAGTAGAGACGGGGTTTCACTGTGTTAACCAGGATGGTCTCGATCTCCTGACCTTGTGATCCACCCGCCTCGGCCTCCCAAAGTGCTGGGATTACAGGGGTGAGCCACCACGCCCAGCCTTAATTACTTTCTTAATCAATTCTTTGAGCACATGGTGCAATCTCTCATACTCAGGAAGGGCATCTCTTGTTTCAGCCATTCTTATGAACAAGTGGTATGTATATACATGTTTAACCTATTAACATGTTACATGTTAATCTATTAAATGATTACATTCTCCCAGTTGATTTGATTATGTCATCTCTGAGAACAGCTGTTCCAATCATCTATTTCTTCCAGAAGTACATCTCACAGGCCGCTAAATATACTGGTTTTTTTAAACTAGTAGACATTTAAATAATTACATGTTTAATCTATTAAAATGTAGCAAGTAATTAATTTCCTCTCCAACAGGCTGTAAAGTTGATCTTGGAGGTTTTGCTGGTCTTTTTGATTTAAAAGCAGCTGGTTTCAAAGATCCCCTTCTGGCCTCTGGAACAGATGGCGTTGGAACTAAACTAAAGGTAATCAGACACCTTTGTGAATAAAGGCCTTTTAGGAAAGATGAGGAAATTTATATCAAATATGTATTTTTCTTCTCTTGACATATATGAGCTAAAAAGGACCATGCCAAATAACCATGTAAAATGGCTAAAATATCTGCACATTTCTAATAACAAATTATTATTTAGATTATATTTGGATGGAAGGGTACTTTAGAGGATAAAAGGGGATGCTTTTAGACCAAGTAGCTTGTCAGAATTTCGTGTTCTTTTGTTTTTAGGTGTTAAGAGCAGCTAATCAAATGGATAAGATACAATTTTGAACTTATTCCCTAATGTGGATGTTTATATTGTTCTTACATAGATTGCCCAGCTATGCAATAAACATGATACCATTGGTCAAGATTTGGTAGCAATGTGTGTTAATGATATTCTGGCACAAGGAGCAGAGCCCCTCTTCTTCCTTGATTACTTTTCCTGTGGAAAACTTGACCTCAGTGTAACTGAAGCTGTTGTTGCTGGAATTGCTAAAGCTTGTGGAAAAGCTGGATGTGCTCTCCTTGGTATGATCAGCCATTTTAATCAATAACATGTCATTCTTCTTTTTGTGTTTTAGCCCTATGTAAAAATGTGATCAGTGCCAATGTAGCTAGCAAGAGAGACTGTATATCACAAGATGCATATATGTGATATGCACAAATGAAATATAGGTAAAACTACCTGAATTAAATTTAGAGCCTGCTACCTTCAAAGCCCTCCTCAGGGGTTTGTCCTCTAGACCCGTACTCCCAAACTGTCAGGCAGGCCTTATCTTTCTTCCCAATTTTTGGCCACCTTTTAACATCCCCATCAGTCTCAGTAGCCTCCTCAACAAACAGGTCTAGGAGTTATTTCCTCCTTATTGACCCCACGGTACAGGCAGATGGGTTCCTGGCATTCCGGATCTTAACTAAAGCCAAATTTTCCCATAGAGTGACATAAATAATAATATACGCCCAAGTTTTATAGAAGTATCTTTATACATGAAATGTTTGAGCAAAATGAATCTGTAGGTTGATCAAGGAACAAAATAACCTCTTTTTTTAATTTAAAAAAAAAAAAAAGGGAATCTCTCTCTGTCACCCAGGTTGGAGTGCAGTGGTTCAATCACAGCTCACTGCAGCCTTGACCTCCTGGGTTCAAGGGATCCTCCTGCTTCAGCCTCCCAAGTAGTTGGGAACTACAGGCATGTGTCACCAACCCAGCTAATTTTTGTACTTTTTGTAGAGATAGGGTTTTGCCATGTTGCCCAGGCTGGTCTTGAATTGCTGGGCTCAAGCTATCTTCCCATCACAGCCTCCCAAAGACACTGCCTCTTTTTTTTTTTTTTTTTTTAAACAGAGTCTTGCTCTGTCACGCAGTCTGGAGTGCAGTGGCGCAATCTTGGCTCACTGCAAGCTCTGCCTCCTGGGTTCACACCATTCTCCTGCCTCAGCCTCCCGAGTAGCTGGGACTACAGGTGCCCGCCACCACACCCGGCTAATTTTTTCTATTTTTCAGTAGAGATGGGGTTTCACCGTGTTAGCCAGGATGGTCTCAATCTCCTGATCTCGTGATCTGCCTGCCTCGGCCTCCCAAAGTGCTGGGATTACAGGCATGAGCCACCGTGCCCGGCCAGAAACTGCCTCTTTTATATGACCATTTAAACCAGAAATTGTGCCATCTTGCATCTGCACATGTGTGCATCTAATCTCAGCTGGTCTACCCAGGACCCCTTGAGCACCAACCCTAGTCCTCCACATGACCCTTTTCCACGCTGACAAGATGAAAGAAACAACCAAATTGCAGGCACAATTGCGTAATGATGGAAAAGAAACAGAAAGAAGGTGGTTCAGCTACAGCAGATGATAAAAACTTCAGTTCTCCTTAAGAAGTTAAGGGTAAACAATATCTCTGGTATTGAAGGGGTGAGTATGTTTACAAATGAAGACCAGAGATCCACTTTAACAACCTAAAATGCTGGTAGCATTTCTCTGGGGCAGTGAACACTTTCACCATTACAGGCCATGCTGAGACAACGCAGCTGATAGAAATGCTACCAGCATCTTAAACCAGCTTGGTGCAGACAATCTGACTAGTTTAAGGAGACCGACTGAAGCTCTGCCCAAATAGTCTGTGGATGGAAAAGCACTGCTTGCTAATGGAGGGGATGGTGATGAAGTTCTAGATCTTGTAAGGAGTTTTGATGAGGCTATTAAGAATGAGGCAAACTGAATTGAGTCAACTTCTGAAGAAGAAAAAATATGAAGTAACTAGGAGCTGCTATTTTACATTATGACTGCTTTCTGAAATTGTTTATGGATCTGATAAAATTTAGATCTCTAATATTTTAAGCCCCATTCCTGTTGGACACTGCAGCTCTTTTCAGTTTTTGCTTATACACAATTTCTTCTTTTTTTTTTTTCTTTTTGAGATGGAGTCTTGCTCTGTGACCCAGGCTGGAGTGCAGTGGCACAATCTCGGCTCGCTGCAACCCCCACCTCCCAGGTTCAAGCAATTCTCCTGCCTCATCCTCCCAAGTAGCTGGGATTACAGGCATAAGCCACCACACCTGGTTAATTTTTGTGTTTTTAGTAGAGACAGAGTTTCGCCATGTTGGCCGGGATAGTCTCGAACTCCTGACCTGATCCACCTGCCTCGGCCTCCCAAAGTGCTGGGATTACAGGCGTGAGCCACGATGCCCAGCCCACAATTTATTCTTTGTAGCTAATTAAGCTAAAGAAGCCTGGGAATAAAGTTTGAAACAAACAAAAATTGCCTTTCAACCACCGTTTAGAACACAGTTTCTTATTTGGAGTCTGCCTATACCTTATATCTTGACATGATATAATTGTAAGTAAAATGCTATACTTTTTAAGCTAGGGTATTTGGAATTGGGCAGTCCCAGTTAAGTCACTTCTTTAAGGCTGTATCATCACCTGAAAAATGGACTGATTATAAAGATCAAATACATATGAAAGCAGTTTTGAAACTAAACAGCTATAGAAATGATGTTATATTCAACTGAGCATTCATTCTGTGCAAGCAGTGGTGTTTGGCGGCTGCATATATACTTGTAGAGGTGCTACCTAATCTCACCCTTTGTGGAAACAAGTGCTATTTCTCCTGAAATCATGCTTGGTGGAAAGTTCTGTTAGACAGCTGGTAGAGTACATTTTCTTAAATATTTGCAGGACATAGCCATGTGTTAGTTGTTCATGTTAAGAGTAGCCTGTGCCACTGTTTCCTAGACAGATTTATAAATACTCTGATTTCTTTGTTCTTGTCTTATCCCACCAGGAGGTGAAACAGCAGAAATGCCTGACATGTATCCCCCTGGAGAGTATGACCTAGCTGGGTTTGCCGTTGGTGCCATGGAGCGAGATCAGAAACTCCCTCACCTGGAAAGAATCACTGAGGGTGATGTTGTTGTTGGAATAGCTTCATCTGGTCTTCATAGCAATGGATTTAGCCTTGTGAGGAAAATCGTGGCAAAATCTTCCCTCCAGTACTCCTCTCCAGCACCTGATGGTTGTGGTGACCAGACTTTAGGTAAACTCCCTCATGTTTAAACTGTCCTGCTTGGAAATGCCTGAGCAAGCATTTAGTGGTTTTAGTCTCTGATTACTTAGAGCTAAAAGGGAATGAATTACCTTGGTTTGCTACTTGGTCATTATTGTAGAGCTGGTGTCATTCTCCAGGTTGATTTTTATGTTTTGGTTTTCTATTCATAGGCTAAGTTTTTGTCTTCTCTCTTCAACATGCAGGGGACTTACTTCTCACGCCTACCAGAATCTACAGCCATTCACTGTTACCTGTCCTACGTTCAGGACATGTCAAAGCCTTTGCCCATATTACTGGTGGAGGATTACTAGAGAACATCCCCAGAGTCCTCCCTGAGAAACTTGGGGTAGATTTAGGTAAGATCACTAAAACGAACTTCTGTTCAGAAAATTGCTGAGGAAAAAAATGCATTGTGCGAGAAAACTATGGGTAGTTAATGTACACATGATTACACATGGAAAATTCTTAATCATTGGGGGTTTTGGGAGGGAAAAACTCGACCCTTTTCTATCTCTTTTTGCTTCATTATCTGTATTTATAAGACATAAAATATTGTCATGTAATTGGCTTACATAAAGTTGAAGTACTCGATAAGTAGGTCCTCCAAGGGGATTGGTAACTTCAAGCTCTATTAAGATGGAGCCCTACACACCAGGAAAGGAAATGTTAGCTATTAAGTAATCCATATTCGAGATAAAAGGACCTAAACCAAGGCATAGAGAAGGGAGGCACATTGGAGAATCATTTTATGCTTAGAAGTAAAAAGAAGTCTCAGGTTTCTAGTTAAGCAGGTGAGTAGGCGGTAACATCATTAACATAGGAAGAAGAGTAAGTTTGGAATAGAAGGTTTTTAAATCTTCAGTGTGTTTATTCCAAGGTGACTGTGAGCAGAAGTTGAAGTCATGCTGAAGATAAATTGGGTGATTATTTGCACGTAGTAATAGTTATAGCCAAGAGAATGAGGGAGACCAAAAGGTTGTTTCTCAAAGTAGAGTGACTGAAAAGAACAGTCCAAAGTAGTGGGTAAACCATGTAAAAGTATTATCATCAAACCAACATGGGATTTTTTTCTTTTCTTTTTTTTTTTTTTTTTTTTTTAGACAGAGTCTCACTCTGTAGCCCAGGCTGGAGTATAGTGGCGCAATCTCAGCTCACTGCAAACTCTGCCTCCTGGGTTCAAGCGATTATCCTGCCTCAGCCTCCCAAGTAGCTAGGATTACAGGCACCCGCCACCATGCCCGGCTAATTTTTGTATTTTTAGTAGAGACAGGGTTTCACCTTGTTGGCCAGGCTGGTTTCGAATTCCTGACCTCAAGTGATCCGCCCGCCTCAGCCTCCCAAAGTACTGGGATTACAGGCATGAGCCACCGCGCCCGGCCCCAAGGTAGGATTTTAACGTGACACTGGTCCGCAGTGTCAGGTACAGCACAAAGATCTAGAATAAGCACTAGAAAAAGACCAGTGTATTTTAGAGTTAGGTCAAAAGTCAGTTTGCTGGACATAGATACCACCCACTAGATTGTTGTGGCAGAGTTGTGGAGACAGTGGGTAGAGATTTCTGTTTGAAGAAACATACTGGTAAAAGGGAAGTGGAATAATTTTATGCATGCAGCAAAAGTGAGGGACAGAGTCCTCCCTCCCTGTGTTCTTTTTTGTTTTTTGTTTTTCGTTTTTTTTTTTTTTTTTTTTTTTGAGTTGGAGTCTTGCTCTGTCGCCAGGCTGGAGTCGCCAGACTGGAGTGCAGTGGCGCAATCGCAGCTCACTGCAACCTCCGCCTCCTGGATTCAACTGATTCTCCTGCCTCAGCCTCCCAAGTAGCTGGGACTACAGGTGCCCGCCACCATGCCCGGCTAATTTTTGTATTTTTAGTAGACACGGGGTTTCACCGTGTTGGCCAGGATGGTCTCAATCTCTTGACCTCATGATCCACCCGCCTTGGCCTCCCAAAGTGCTGGGATTACAGGCATGAGCCACTGTGCCCAGCCCCTCCCTTCCTTGTTTTTGTAAAATAAAGTCAGAGAAACTTTTCCAGCTATAGTCAACTAATACACATTGATTTGAAGGAGTAGAAACTGAGGGAGTTTACATAAAATAACTTCTCTGTGAAGTATTAGTGAGATGATCAGGCCTGGGGTGGGAGCTTGAAGAGAGGAGTGGATAAAGCAGTCAAGGTCAAACAGGAGTGAGACAGTGAGCAGGACTGAAGGCACAGGTGAAGGTGAAGCTGCTCATGTAGTTTTTCTCCCAGAGCAAAAGCATGTATATAGCTTTGAAGCAAGAACAGAAAAAAAATAGATTAGTTAGGTTGATCCAGCTGAACTAAGCAGGTATTGGGGTCATTCATTGGGGAGAAGCAGTCAGAGTGATAGAGGTGAGTAGATATGGTGAGCTAACCCAAGAGTCAGAGCGTATGTGAAGCTCGGAGAGAACTGAAGAGTCAGAGGTAGGTTGTGTGGAAGTGAGGAAATCGGCAAGGGAAGCTGGGAGAGTGGTCAGATGGGATTTCAGCCTAGTCAGGGAAGCAAAACAGACAGGCCAGGCTAGGCTGAGTGGGAGTCTCTTCCAGGTCCATGGACTGAGCATATTAAGGAGTTGAAGGATTCATAGGAGGGTGAAACTAGTGGTTCAAGACATTCCTTGGGTAGAAATGCTTTCTGGTGAGCATATATAAGAACCTTAATAAGTAGTTCATTCATCATCCTTTTCAAATAGTTAAAAAACAGTGGCCTGCTGATGAATGGGGAAAGGAGGCAGGACTGATTTGTGCATTTGCCAGTTTTTGTGGTATAAATACTCCCATCATAGCTGCTTTAAAAATGGCTGTTTAACAGTCTCTACAAGCTGGCTCTAGCACACCACTAGTTAAAAACAACATAGTAGTCACCTCATTAAGAAACTGAAAGTGATATAGCCATATTCCTGAAAGCAGTTATAGTTTGAGTTACACAAATGTCTGTATTCCAATAAAAGCCATTGCACAATTCCTTGCATCAGCCTCTAAAGTTTCTTCCAGGAATCATACTTTGACAACAGATTTAAGTAAGGACTTCTGGGGGTTTTTTTGTTTGTTTTTTATTGAGACAGAGTATCACTCTGTCGCCCCAACTGGAGTTCCGTGGTGCGATCACAGCTCACTATTGCCCCAACGTCCTGGGTTCAAGTGATTCTCCGACCTCAGCCTCCTAAGTAGCTGGGACCACAGGTAACACGCCACCACACTTAGCTATTTTTTGTATTTTTAGTAGAGACGGGGTTTCACCACATTGCCCAGGCTGATCTTAAACTCCTTGGCTCAGAGCAATCTGCCCATCTCAGCCTCCCAAAGCGCTGGGATTACTGGCATGAGCTACCACACCTGGCCAGGACTTTTCAACATTAAAATTACAACTTACATTATTCATGAAGTACTTGTTCATTTATAGAAGCTAGACTCTTAGTCTGCCAGTGTTTTTTCCTATAAATATTTTGTAAAACTTCACTAAAACAAGATCATAATTTGGTAATCTGCTACTTGCCCTGCCATTAAATATGTCATCACTATCTCCTTGTCTTAGTAGCATCATTTTTGATAACAAGTATTCCATTTTACAGATGTACCACTATTTAGTTTTAAGTTGCTATTTACTTTTAACTATTGAGAGCATAGTGAACAATGTAGTTACTAAATCTGAGGTCAACTATTAAGAATGGACATTTCCCAGCTACTATAAATGGAATTGAATCTAAGAGTCATAGACATGTGATTCATTTTTATTTTTATTTATTTTTATTTTTTTAGACAGAGTCTCACCCTGTCGCCCAGGCTGGAGTACAGTAGTGCGATCTCAGCTCACTGCAACCTCCACCTCCCGGGTTCAAGTGATTCTCCTGCCTCAGCCTCCCGAGTAGCTGGGATTACAGATGTGCGTCTCCACGCCCAGCTAATTTTTGTATTTTCAGTAGAGATGGGGTTTCATCATGTTGGCCAGGCTGGTGTCGAACTCCTGACTTCGTGATCTGCGGGCCTCGGCCTCCTAAAGTGCTGAGATTACAGGCCTGAGCCACTGCACCCGCCTCATTTTTAAAATTGTATCAACTTCAGGCTGGGCATGGTGGCTCACCCCTGTAATTCCAGCACTTCGGGAGGCTGAGGTGGATGGATCCCCTGAGGTCAGGAGTTCAAGACCAGCCTGGCCAGCATGATGAAACCCTGTCTCTACTAAAAATACACACACACACACACACACACACACACACACAGAGACACACACACACACACACAAATAACCAAGTGTGGTAGCACATGCCTATAATCCCAGCTACTCGGGAGGCTGAGGCATGAGAATAGCTTGAACCCAGGAGGCGGAGGTTGCAGTGAGTCGAGATCACGCCATTGCACTCCAGCCTAAACGACAGAGAGATACTCTGTCTCAAAAAAAAAAAAATTGTATCAACTCCAAAGTATTAAAAAACTGATTATCAGCTGAGCATGATGGCTCATGCCTATAATCCCAGCGCTTTGGGAGGCTGAGGCAGAAGAAGCCCAGGAGGTCAAAACTAGACTGGGCAACATGGTAAGACCCTGTCTCTCCAAAAAAAAAATTTTTTAAATAGCCAGGCATGGTGTCGCATGCCTGTAGTCCCAGCTACTCAGGAGGATGAAGTGAGAAGATCACTTGAGCCTGGGACATCAAGGCTACAGTGAGCCGTGTTCATGCCACTGCACTCCAGCCTGGGCAACAGAGCCAGATCCTGTCTCAAAGAAAAAAAAAATTATCCAATAAATAAATCAAATAAATAGGCAGAACTGATAGTAAACCTTATTATTTAATAAAAAGCTGAGTTCACATTGGCTTCCCTTTCTTAAGAGCATCATAAATAATTTAATTCAGTATAGTTTTTTTAAAAAATCAGATCCCATAATCGTAGATTCCAAAGAACTATCCAGATTCTTTTTAAATTCAGAAATGTTGTGTGTGTGTATATAGACCTTTACCTAAAAATTTTTATTAGAGATTTTTGTTGTATTATTTGTGATAAGAGAGAATGTATTCTTTTTTTTTTTTTTTTTTTTTTCAATTTGAGTCGGAGTCTCACTCTGTCCACCAGGCTAGAGTGCAGTGGTACCATCTCGGCCCACTGCAACCTCCACCTCCCAGGTTTAAGTGATTCTCCTGCCTCAGCCTCCCGAGTAGCTGGGACTACAGGTGTGCGCCACCACGCCCAGCTAATTATTGTATTTTTAGTAGAGAATGGGTTTCACCATCTTGGCCAGGGTGGTCTCGATCTCCTGACCTCGTGATCCGCCCACCTCAGCCTCTCAAAGTGTTGGGATTACAGGCATGTAATCCAAAGTGTTGGGATTCTCACGCCCGGCCGAGAGAATGTATTCTTATAGCAGACCTAGGAAGTCTAAATTTTAAAAAGAATGAGAGGGAGAGGGTGTTGATCCGCCTTCCATTAACATAACTTTTCTTGAGGAGTGTATGCATTTTCTCTAAATATGTAGATAAGCCATCTAGTTTTGCATTGTACTTTGGGTGCATTTTGGTCATCACAAAGACTCAGCCAAACATTCACAAAAGGATGGTATACTGGCCTTTGCTGGAATTCAGCTACTAGCTCATCTGATCCATTAGGGAATGTCTAAGGGTCTAGTTAGTTAATGTAGCACAAAACCTCACTCATTTGTGAGTACTGGCCAAGTGTGTCAACAAAAAAATGTTCTTAATGTCTAAGGTACAAATGGATCCCCAAATAAAAAGTTCTCAGAGGCCAATTTATAGTTTTACCCTACATAAAATAGCAGAGCCTGATTATAATTTCCACATCTTTGAATATGTGCATACTTTTGTACTTTGTGTGAGAAGGTAGGAAAATCAAACAATTCGTGTCTATTTTTTTCAGATGCCCAGACCTGGAGGATCCCCAGGGTCTTCTCATGGTTGCAGCAGGAAGGACACCTCTCTGAGGAAGAGATGGCCAGAACATTTAACTGTGGGGTTGGCGCTGTCCTTGTGGTATCAAAGGAGCAGACAGAGCAGATTCTGAGGGATATCCAGCAGCACAAGGAAGAAGCCTGGGTGATTGGCAGTGTGGTTGCACGAGCTGAAGGTACTTGCTCCTTACTCATTTTTAGATATATAATTTTAGCTGTATAATTTTAGCTATACCTCAGCCTTGCCTCACAAGCTTTCTGCCCACCTTTTAGTGCAGCCATCGCTATGGCAACTATCTTTACACAGATGTAACATGACAGCACCCACCCCAGCGATACCACGTATCTCTTCATTTCTGCCTCAGAACTAAGCATTCATGCATGCACAGCCACACCCCACAGGATCGCTTCCCAAAGTAATCTCCCTACACACAAGACCTCATGGCTCTGCTGTCACTCAGCTCGATTCAAGGAATAGCGAGCAAGCACCCTGACAAGTACTGTATCAGTCAGGACTCTGCGAGAAGTGCTAGAACTTGGCAGAGGGGCAGAAAATCCACTCAGATTCACTAACAAAGACGTCACATGCTTGCTTTGGCAGGACACATACTAAAATTGGAACGATACAGAGAAGATTCACAAAAATAAAAAATAGAAAAAAAAAATGTCAGACCTTGTTGACTTTACCTGTATCTGCCTTTCTTTCCTCTATTGTGTAGGATTCATTTTCAAGCGGGTTCTCCAAATGCCGGAAAGATAACATCCTTCAGCTCACATTACAATAAGAAAGAGAGACCCAGCCGGGCGTGGTGGCTCACGCCTGTAATCCCAGCACTTTGGGAGGCCGAAGCGGGTGGATCACGAGGTCAGGAGATCAAGACCATCCTGGCTAACTCAGTGAAACCCCGTCTCTACTAATAAATACAAAACATTAGCCGGGCGTGGTGGCGGGCGCCTGTAGTCCCAGCTACTCGGGAGGCTGAGGCAGGAGAATGGCGTGAACCTAGGAGGCGGAACTTGCAGTGAGCCGAGATCGCGCCACTGCACTCCAGCCTGGGCAACAGAGCGAGACTCCATCTCAAAAAGAAAAAAAAGAGAGACCCTCTTTTTCTTAACATCGCATATCAAGCCTTTAAATGGCTTTGCTAGGTCACATGCTTATCCCCGAGACCAGGAGATCATGGCACTACTGTGGGTGGTCTCGCTAGGAAGATTTGGGGAGTAGGGGCAGAATACTGGCAGGCAGTCATATATATCCACCGTGCACTTCAAGATAGTGATGTGATCTGCAGCTTTTAGTTGAAGTAATTACATATGTTCACCTTTTGGAAGTTTTTATGAAAGAGTAGTGTTAAGTGATACAAATGTGTTGTTCATTTTAGTCCTTGCATTATCTTATTTTCAGGATAAAACATACCCTAAAGTTTTCATAAAATATTTTTCTTTCCATTATTCTTGTTAATTCACAATTGTTCTTTACTTATTTATGGATATGTTTGAAATGAAGGTTCCCCACGTGTGAAAGTCAAGAATCTGATTGAAAGCATGCAAATAAATGGGTCAGTGTTGAAGAATGGCTCCCTGACAAATCATTTCTCTTTTGAAAAAAAAAAGGCCAGAGTGGCTGTCTTAATATCTGGAACAGGTGAGATGTGGCTTCCCCTTCACTGTAGAGCTGTTGACTGCCCTTCCTTTCCTCCCCGCACTCTTGTGAGATTGTAAGGTTACTCTCGGCAGAGTCTAGGGACTGGGGGGAATCATGAGGGTTGTCTTTGTCTTTTCAGCATTCTTAGTCTTTCCACTTTTCTTAGGAATTTGAGACAGCTCCCAAAGAAAAAAGTAAAGGATGTCAGAAAGCTGGTTAAAGAGAAACCAGAAAAGATAGAAGCTACAGCTCATTTTGTATCATAGCTTTGTTGTTGAAAAGTCTGAAAACAGTTGAGGAATTTTTATTGTTATCTTATTAATTAGAAGAAGTTTATGTTTAACCTTTATGGATAGAGGGGTAAAGTAATAAGAGTATTGTATTCTCTCAGATGGATGTAGCCTGATTTTTTTCCCTCTATTGTAAGTAACACTGCTATGAACATTCTTGCAAATATTCAGTATGTTCTTAAATGCATATGTGATTTTTTTTTATTTGATGGCCAAGATCATAGTGATTCTTTTTGAGACAGTCTTGCTATGTTGCCCAGGCTAGAGTACAGTAGCTATTCACAGATGCAGTCATAGTACACTGCAGCTTCCAGCTCTGGCCTCAAGCAATCCTTCCGCCTTATTAGCCCCCCGAGTAGCTGGGACTGCAGGCATGCAGCACCACAACCAGCTCTGATACTTCTTCAGGATTCATTCCCAGAAGTTTAATTGCTTTACAGGTCGATCTTAAGGTTTTAATGTACTTTAGGCCCAAGTTGATAATAAAGCAAAGAAGCTATTGTAAGATGCAGCCATAAAAAAGAATAAAACCACATCATTTGCAGCAATATGGATGGAACTGGAGGCCATTATCCTGAGTGAACTGCCTCAGAAACAGAAAACCAGATATTGCATGTTCTCACTTATGAGTGGGAGCTAAACAGTGGGTACATGTGGACATAAAGATGGAAACAATAGGGCCGGGTGCTGTGGCTCACGCCTGTAATCCTAGCACTTTGGGAGGCTGAGGCGGGCGGATCACAAGGTCAAGAGATCGAGACCATCCTGGCCAACATGGTGAAACCCTGTCTCCACTAAAAATACAAAAATTAGCTGGGCATGGTGGCACACGTCTGTAGTCCAGCTACTCTGGAGGCTGAGACAGGAGAATTGCTTGAACCCTGGAGACAGAGGTTGCAATGAGCTGAGATTGCACCACTGTACTCCAGCCTGGAGACAGAGCAAGACTCCATCTCAAAAAAAAAAAAAAAAAAAAAGATGGAAACAATAGATACAAAACAGGGAAGTGTGGGAGAAGAGGTGAGGGTTGAAAATTTTTCTATCAGGTATAATGTTCACTATGTAGGTAATAGGTACACTAGAAGCCCAGTCCCCACCATTATACAACATTCCCATGTAATAAACAAGCGTGTGTACCCCCGAATCTAAAATTTTTTTTTTTTAAAGAAACTATTGTAAGAGTCATAGCATAGTGGTTTGTTCTTGAGAGGGTCAGTTTTTCTTGCTTAATTAAGCAGCTTATTTCTCATCAGTCAGTTTTAACATAATGTTATACTGTTTCTACTACAATGCTAGATCACAAGATACAGAATTTGTGGGAGCAATTACATATCCTAGGAGCAATTACATATCCTAAACCACGTCGTTTGCAGCAATATGGATGGAACTGGAGGCTATCCAGGAATATCTGTGCTTTTCACAATCTATTAATCCATTATCCCAAGAGGAAGGGAGTTTTTTTAATTTTTAATTTGTATGGGTACATGGTAGGTATATATATTTATAGGGTACATGAGATCTTTTGATACAGCCATACAACCTGTAATAATCACATCCCTGTAAATGGGGTATTCATCACCTCAAGCATTTATTCTTTGTGTTACAAACAATCCAGTTATTTTATTTCAGTTTTTTTTTGTTTTGTTTTTGTTTTTGTTTTTGAGATAGAGTCTCACTCTGTCGCCCAGGCTGGAGTGCAGTGGCGCAGACTCGGCTCACTGCAAACTCCGCCTCCCAGTTTCAAGTGATTCTTCTGTCTCAGCCTCCTGAGTAGCTGGGATTACAGGCACCTGCCACTATGCCTGGCTAATTTTTTGTATTTTTAGTAGAGATGGGGTTTCATCATGTTGGCCAGGCTGGTCAGGCTGGTCTTGAACTCTTGACCTCAGTATGATCCGCCTGCCTTGGCCTCCCAAAGTGCTGGGATTATAGGTGTGAGCCACCACATCCAGCCTCTTCCAGTTATTTTAAAATGTGTAATAAATTATTGTTGACTATAGTCACCCTGTTATGCTATCAAACACTAGATTTTGTTCATTCTAACTATATTTTTGTACCCATTAGCATCCCCTCTCCCCGTCTCTCCCACTACCCTTCCTAGCCTCTGGTAACCATCATTGCACTATCATCATGAGTTCAACTGTTTTAATTTTTAGCTCCCACAAATAAGTGAGAACATGTGAGGTTTGTCTTTCTGTGCCTGACTTATTTCACTTAACTTAATGACCTCCCGTTCCATCCATGTTGTTGCAAATGACAGGATCTCATCTTTTTTATGGCTGAATAGTACTCCATTGTGTGATGTACCACATTTTCTTTATCCATTTGTCTGCTGATAAACATTTAGGTTGCTTCCAAATCTTGGCTAGGGAGAATAAACATGAAACTGCAGGTATCTCTTTGATACACTGATTTTCTTTCTTTTGGGTATATACCTAGCAATGGGATTGCTGGATGATATGGTAGCTCTTTTTTTTAATTTTTGAGGACCCTTCAAACTGTTCTCCATAATAATTGTACTAATTTACCTTCCCAATAGTGTGTGACGGTTCCCTTTTCTCCACATCTTCGCCAGCGTGTTATTGCCTGTGTTTTGGATAAAAGCCATTTTAACCGGGGCGAGACAATATGTCATAGTTTTGATTTGCATTTCTCTGATGATAATGATGTTGAGCACCTTTTTATATACCTGTTTGCAATTTGTGTGTTTTCTTTTAAGAAATGTCTATTCAGATCTTTTGCCCATTTTTAATCAGAGTATTAGATTTTTCCCTAATGAATTGTTTAAGCTCCTTATATATTCTGGTTATTAATCCCTTGTCAGATGGGTAGTTTGCACATATTTTCTACCATTCTGTGGGTTGTCTCCTTACTTTGTTGATTGTTTCCATTGCTATACAGAAGCTTTTTCCATATTTACTTTAGTTGCCTGTGCCAAGAGAAAGGGAATTTAGAAGCCTCACATATCACCAGTCTTTTCCAAGACATTTATTCAGAAAATTTGACTGTCCCCTATTCAAAATGGCACATCTCTTTTTTTAAAAAGTGTGAGGTTGGGCGCGGTGGCTCATGCCTGTAATCCCAAATTTGGGAGGCCGAGGTGGGCGGATCACCTGATGTCAGGAGTTCCAGACGAGCCTGGCCAACGTGGTGAAACCCCATCTCTACTAAAAATACAAAAATTAGCCAGGTGTGGTGGTGGGCTCCTGTAATCCCAGCTACTCAGGAGGCTGAGGCAGGATAATTGCTTGAACCCGGGAGGTGGAGGTTGCAGTGAACCCAGATCGTGGCACTGCACTCCTAGCCTGGGCGACAGAGTGAGACTCCCTCTCAAAAAAAAAAAAAGAAGTAGTAGTATGAGCTCACTGCTGTTTTTCTCCCTTCTCAGGATCGAACCTGCAAGCACTTATAGACAGTACTCGGGAACCAAATAGCTCTGCACAAATTGATATTGTTATCTCCAACAAAGCCGCAGTAGCTGGGTTAGATAAAGCGGAAAGAGCTGGTATTCCCACTAGAGTAAGTTACTTGGGAAAATATCTTTGCTGTGGGCCATATTTAAGCTCGTAATCTGCCCTCACAGGACCCTGGTCTATGGGCACTTGTTCTTGGGACTTCGCCATTTTGGGTGGGTGCTGGGCTTGCCTTCTTCATCCTGTCCCTTTCTTAATAATCTCTCTATCAGGTATATCTTTACAAGGAAGTGAAGTATGGTCTGTGTAAAGGTTGAGTTTTTAATTATTTTTGGTAATTCATTGAAAAGGGTTGTGCTTATCTTTTTCTATTACAGGTAATTAATCATAAACTGTATAAAAATCGTGTAGAATTTGACAGTGCAATTGACCTAGTCCTTGAAGAGTTCTCCATAGACATAGTCTGTCTTGCAGGATTCATGAGAATTCTTTCTGGCCCCTTTGTCCAAAAGTGGAATGGTAAGCAAAAATTATTTGACATCACATTGGGAAATCAATTGAAAATGGTCTCCAGAACAGATAACTTGCCAAACAATCCCAGTAGTGAACACCCATCCCAGAAATCCAACTCCTGTTTGACTGTGATATTTTATTAATACTTTAACACAGGTCACAGTTTAATTTCCTTTGTTTTACACTAAAGAATGACCCAATGATGATTTATTAACCTGCTCTCTATCCATTTACTTTGGCTTGCTGTAATTAATCACTTTTTCTAATGTAGCTTAGTTTTGTTTCACATTACTGCAAAGATAATATTTCATCTTTTGAATAAATATTCAGAAGACCTTCCTTTATTTGTTTGGAAGCAAAAGAGAGTGATTCCGTATATCCCAAAATGAAGAGTCCATCCTCTCTTAGGAAGCATAGACCATTGCCAGGAGTTGGCAAGGAGGAGGTTATTGCCAGAAAACACATACTATCTATGTTACTGCCTTCTTCCCAAAAGCCTTGACTGCATCCTGTTTGTGTATGTGTGCACACAGTTGGTCAATAAATGCATTTTCCCTCCAAAGAGTTTATGTATTCTTAGGTGAATGTAGTTAGAGCACTTGTGGTGTGATATAAAATAGACAATGCCTTTGGTGACATGAGCCACACAGAACTAATCTAGCATCTGTCTGGTGGACAGGTCACTTTGTGGTTAGAAGTCAAGCACATAGATGCTATGTAAGAACCTCTTGCTTATTTTTAATAGTACGTGCCAGCAACAAGCTGGTATTCAGCTTGAACTCCCCACCTTCCTGTCACCATGAATGTCTGTTCAGAGCACCCCAGCATGCCTTTAACTGTGCAAGGCGGGTACTTGCTGCTTCCAGGGCCTTCTTGGATGAGAACTTACTTTTACCTCATTTCTGTGTTTGGCAAAGAAAACATCCATCCCAGAAATCCAACTCCTGTTTGACTTCGGATCTAGATAGGAAAACGTATTCCTTTAACAGAATACCCAGGATTTTTAAATTCTGACCACTATGCTTTTTTTAATTTTTAGGAAAAATGCTCAATATCCACCCATCCTTGCTCCCTTCTTTTAAGGGTTCAAATGCCCATGAGCAAGCCCTGGAAACCGGAGTCACAGTTACTGGGTGCACTGTACACTTTGTAGCTGTGAGTATGTCTTTTTCTACCAACATAATATTAGTAGTCAGATGTAAATGACACTGGCTAGAAGGTAATGTTCAAAACTTTTGCTTACTTTTCCAGGAAGATGTGGATGCTGGACAGATTATTTTGCAAGAAGCTGTTCCCGTGAAGAGGGGTGATACTGTCGCAACTCTTTCTGAAAGAGTAAAATTAGCAGAACATAAAATATTTCCTGCAGCCCTTCAGCTGGTGGCCAGTGGAACTGTACAGCTTGGAGAAAATGGCAAGATCTGTTGGGTTAAAGAGGAATGAAGCCTTTTAATTCAGAAATGGGGCCAGTTTAGAAAGAATTATTTGCTGTTTGCATGGTGGTTTTTTATCATGGACTTGGCCCAAAAGAAAAACTGCTAAAAGACAAAAAAGACCTCACCCTTACTTCATCTATTTTTTTAATAAATAGAGACTCACTAAAAACAAGACTAGTTAGTGCAGCATATCTGAGACATACAGTTTTCTTGGTCTTTTTTATGCTCTTTTTCTAACCGTCACCCCCTCTTTTTTTTTTTGGTATTGCCTGACAACATGATGAATCACCTCCATGTTTATAAGTTTTATGTTTTCAGCTGGGCACAGTGGCTCACGCCTGTAATCCCAGCACTTTGGGAGGCCGAGGCAGGCGGATCATGAGGTCAGGAGATCGAGACTATCCTGGCTAACACAGTGAAATCCCATCTCTACTAAAAATACAAAAAATAGTTAGCTGGGTGTGGTGGTACGCACCTGTAATCCCAGCTACTCGGGTGGCTGAGGCAGGAGAATCGCTTGAACCCAGGAAGTGGAGGTTGCAGTGAGCCAAGATCATGCCACTGCACTCCAGCCTGGGCAACAGAGCGAGACTTGTCTCAAAAAATAATAATGGGCTGGGTGCGGTGGCTCACACCTGTAATCCCAGTACTTTGGGAGGCTGAGGCGGGCAGATCACGAGGTCAGGAGATCGAGACCATCCTGGCTAACACGGTGAAACCCCGTCTCTACTAAAAATACAAAAAAAAAAAAAAAAAAAAATTATCCTGGGTGTGGTGGCGGGCGCCTGTGGTCCCAGCTACTTGGGAGGCTGAGGCAGGAGAATGGCGTGAACCCGGGAGGCAGAGCTTGCAGTGAGCTGAGATCATGCCACCGCACTCCAGCCCGGGCGACAGAGCGAGACTCCATCTCAATAAATAAATAAATAAATAAATAAATAAATAAATAAGTTATGGGTTTTCTGATCTTTGATCATATGCTTTTGAAGCCATGACTGCTGGATGTATCTGAGTTAAAATGAGGAAAAGAAACATGAGGACAAACCCAAGTGTATCACCTGGGTTCCGTTTATAATCTTGGTTATAGATTCCGGTGTGTAAAAGTTGCCCAGCCTCCTTCTGATCAGTGTCAAGTGACTATCTCTTCCCCAAGTCTAACAAGGCAGTATCTCTTCCTTATATTGTATAGCTGATTTGAGACTTTTCCGACCATCGTGATCATAATCTGGTGTGTTAAGATTTCTGGATAGCTCCCATTTCTGAAGGATAGTATCCTTTATGCTTTGAAGTATCATTAAACGTTCCTCTAATTATTGACAGTTTCTGTAATCCCCAGATTTTAGCTTCAGTAAAGTTTAATTATCCTGTGGTTTATAAAGATCCATACTTCTCTGCAAGTCACTAGAGGATTAGGGGGAGAGTTGGTGGCTTTTAGATTCAAGCATAAAACTTTAGGCACATTTCTCATCCACTGTGTCTCTCTATTCCCTTGTCAATTAAAGTAGGCAAATATCATTCATATAGTTGTTTTGATGAGACAGTCTCACTCAGTCACCCAGGCTGGGGTGCAGTGGCAAGATCTCAGCTCACTGCAACCTCTGCCTCCCGGGTTCAAGTGATTCTCCTGCCTCAGCCTCCTGAGTAGCTAGGATTACAGGCATGCACTACGACACCCGGCTCATTTTGTATTTGTGGTAGAGACGGGGTTTCACCATGCTGGCCAGGCTGGTTTCCAACTCCTGACTTCATTTGATCTGCCTGCTTTGGCCCTCATAGTGCTGGGATTACAGGCGTGAGCCACCGCACCCGGCCCTCCTTTGGCCTTTTTAAAACCAAAATTGTCTTTACCTCCCAAAGTGTTTTTCAGCAATTCTAATGCATACATTTGCCTCCTCCACTGTTTAAAAGAGACCATCTCTGACAGCCATTCTTTCACAAGCCATGTAAATTTTACATTTACCACAGTGTTAGATCATTTTCCTTTATCTGGAGCCAAATGTTAATTAACAGTTAAAAACTGATTCATAAGTGGAGACAATGCAAATGTTCATCAGCAAATGAACTGATAAATATATGGATAAATATATCCATACATTGAATACTATTCAATTATAAAAAGGAATGAAATACTAACACATGCTACAGTGTGGGTGAACCTTGAAGTATTATGCTAAGTGAAAGAATTCAGGGCCAGGTGCAGTGGCTCAGCTCTGTAATCCCAGCACTTTGGGAGGCCGAGGCAGGCGGATCACGAGGTCAAGAGATCAAGACCATCCTGGCCAACATGGTGGAACCCTGTCTCTAATAAAAATACAGAAATTAGCTGGGCGTGGTGGTGTGCACCTGTAGTCCTAGCTACTAGGGAGGTTGAGGCAGGAGAATTGCTTGAATCCGGGAGGCGGAGGTTGCAGTGAGCTAACGCCCCTGCACTCCAGCCTGCCAATAGAGCGAGACTCCGTCTCAAAAAAAAAAAAAAAAAAGAATTCAGTCATAAATGACCACATGCGGCCAGGCATGGTGGCTCACACCTGTAATTCCAGCACGGGGGGCCCAGGTAGGAGGATCAGTTGAGCCCAGGAGTTCAAGACCAGCCTGGACAACATAGTGAGACCCCCATCACTACAAATAAAACAAAAATTAGGCATGGTGGCACACACCTGTAGTCCCAGCTACTTGGGAGGCTGAGGTAGGAGGATTCCTTGAGCTCAGGAGGTCGAAGTTTCAGTGAGCTGTGATCGCACAACTGTACTCCAGCCTGAGTAAGACGTTTTCTCAACAACAACAACAACACCAAAAAAAAAGACTGGCTGGTCTCGGTGGCTCATGCCTGTAATCCTAGCACTTTGGGAGGCTGAGGCAGGCAGATAACCAGGTCATGAGATCGAGACCATCCTGGCCAACATGGTGAGACCCCATTTCTACTAAAAATAAAAATAAGCGGTTGGGTGCTGGTGGCTCACGCCTGTAATCCCAGCACTTTGGGAGGCCGAGGCGGGCGGATCACGTGGTCAGGAGATCGAGATTTCCTTATTAAATGTTTCATGGCAACATGGTGAAACCCCGTCTCTACTAAAAAAGTACAAAAAATTAGCCAGGCGTGGTGGCGGGCGCCTGTAGTCCCAGCTACTCGGGAGGCTGAGGCAGGAGAATGGCGTGAACCCGGGAGGCAGAGTTTGCAGTGAGCCAAGATCGCATCACTGCACTCCAGCCTGGGTGACAGAGCGAGACTCCGTCTCAAAAAAGAAAAAAGAAGAAAAAATAAAAATAAAAAATAAGCTGGGCGTGGTGGTGCGCGCCTGTAGTCCCAACTACTCAGGAGGCTGAGGCAGGAGAATTGCTTGAACCTAGGAGGCGGAGGTGGCAGTGAGCCAAGATCGTGCCACTGCACTCCAGCCTGGTGACAGAGTGAGACTCTGTCTCAAAAAAAAAAGACCACATATTATACAGTTCTATTTATATGAAATGTCCAGGCTGGGTGCAGTACCATACACCTGTAATCCCAGCACTTTGGGAGGCCGAGGAGGGAAGATTGCTTGAGTCCAGGAGTTCCAGACCAGCTTAGGCAACATAGCAAGAAACCATTTCTACAAAGAATAAAATATAAAAATTAGCCAGGTGTGGCTATGTGCGGTGGCTCAGGCCTATATTCCAGCACTTTGGGAGGATGAGGCAGGGGGGTCACTTGAGGTCAGGAGTTCGAGACCTGCCAGGCCAACATGGTGAAATGCCATCTCTACTAAAAATACAAAAATTAGCCGGGCATGGTGGCCCTTGCCCGTAATCCCAGCTACTCTGGAAGCTGAAGCAGGAGAACCACTTGAACCTGGAAGGTGGAGGTTGCATTGAGCTGGGATTACACCACTGCACTCCAGCCTGGGTGACGGAGTGAGACCTTGTCTCAAAAATAATAAGAAGTAGAAGAAAGAAAGGGCCGGGCGCGGTGGCTCACGCCTGTAATCCCAACACTTTGGGAGGCCGAGGTGGGTGGACCACTTGAGGTCAGGAGTTTGAGACCAGCCTGGCCAACATGCTGAAACCCCATCTCTACTAAAAATACAAAAATTAGCCAGGCATGGAGCATGTGCCTGTAGTCCCAGCTCCTCGGGAGGCTGAAGCCTGCAGGAGGACTGCTTGAGCCCTGGAGGCGGAGGTTGCAGTGAGCCGAGATCACGCCACTGCACTCCAGCCTGGGCGACAGAGGGGAACTTCGTCTCAAAAAAAAAAAAAAAAATTAGCCAGGTGTGGTGGCACACACATGTAGTCCCAGCTACTTGGGAGGCTGAGGTGGGAGGATCACTTGAGCCTAGGAGGTTGAGTGCAATCGAGCTGAGATCATGCCACTACACTCCAGCCTGGGCAACAAAGTGAGACCCTGTCTCTAAAACTAATAATAATAACTGAGGCCGAGCACGGTGGCTCACGCCTGTAATCTCAGCACTTTGGGAGGTCGAGGCAGGCGGATCACTTGAGGTCAGGAGTTCAAGACCTGCCTGGCCAAAATGGTGAAATCCCGTCTCTATTAAAAATACAAAAATTAGCTGGGCATGGTGGCAGGTGCCTCTAATCCCAGCTACTTGGGAGAGTGAAGCAGGAGAATCGTTGGAACCTGGGAGGTGGAGGTTGCAGTGAGACGAGATGGCACCATTGCACTTCAGCCTGAGTGGCAGAGCAAGACTCTGTCTCAAAAAAAAAAAAAAAAAAATCCTAATAATAATGAATAACATTTAATAAGGAAATGTCCAGAATAGGCAAATCCAGAAGACAGAAAATAGATTAGTTGTTGCCTAAGGTGGATAGAGGTATTTGGGGTGACAAAAAAAGGGTACAGGGGTTTTTGTTTGAGTGATGAAAATGTTCTAGAATTGATTGCAGTGATAGTTGCACAACCACAAGAATGTACTGAAAGCCATTGAATGTACATGTCAAATTCATGATTGCATGGCATATGAATTATATCTCTAAAACTGTTTCCCAAAAGGAGAGACCCAACTTGTCTGTCACTCAAAAAAAACAAATCAATTTTTTTTCTTTTTCAGATGGAGTTTCACTCTGTTACCCAGGCTGGAGTGGAGTAGCGCGATCTCAGCTTACTGCAACCTCTGCCTCCCGGGTTCAAGGGATTCTCCTGCTTCAGCCTCCTGAATAGCTGAGATTATAGGTGTTTACCACCATGCCCAGCTAATTTTTGTACTTTTAGTAGAGACGGGGTTTCACTATGCTGGCCAGGCTGGTCTGGAACTCCCCACCTCAAGCAATCTGCCCACCTCGGCCTCCCAAAGTGTTGGGATTATAGGCATGAGCCACCGCGCCTGGCCTAAAAAAAAAAAAAAAAATCTTTTTTTATAAAAAATTTGATTCATAGTTTTTTTAAATACAACGAGTACATTGAACATGCTTCACATTCAGAACATGAAGTCTTTTAAATGAATATAGGTAGAACTTCCAACTTCCAGGCTTTGTAACAGAAATCATATTAAAGACTCAGTAGCAAGCCTAATCCTCAAATCCCCCATCTGTTAACCTGATAATCCTCATGTGTAAACTTATTTAAGAAGCTAACTCCTGAGCCACCTGTATTCTGAGCATTGCAATAAAGATGTGAAGATTTTAATATTACAAGTTGATTTTGCTTTATAAAATGAAAGTTTCATGAATTGAAATATCTGTGGACACTGAAACCTCAACAACAATTTTTTTTTTTTTTTTGAGTCAGAGTCTCACTCTGTCACCAAGGCTGGAGTGCAGTGGTGCAATCTCGGCTCACTGCAAACTCTGCCTCCCCGATTCAAGCAATTCTCTGCCTCAGCCTCCCAAGTAGCTGGGATTACAGGAACCCGCTACCACGCCCGGCTAATTTTTGTATTTTTAGTAGAGATGGGGTTTCACCATCTTGGCCAGGCTGGTCTCTAACTCCTGACCTCGTGATCCACCTGCCTCGGCCTCCCAAATTGCTGGGATTACAGGCGTGAGCCACCACACCCAGGCTTTTTTTTGTTTTGTTTTGTTTTGTTTTTTGTTTTGTTGAGACGGAGTCTAGCTCTGTCGCCCAGACTGGAGTGCAGTGGCAAGATCTCAGCTCACTGCAACCTATGCCTCCCGGGTTCAAGTGATTCTCCTGCCTCAGCCTCCCAGGTAGCTGGGATTACAGGCACGCGCCACCACGCCCAGCTAATTTTTGTATTTTTAGTAGAGATGGGGTTTCTCCATGTTGGTCAGGCTGGTCTCGAACTCCCGACCTCAGGTGATCTGCCGGCCTTGGCCTCCCAAAGTTCTGGGATTACAAACAGCCACCATGCCCGGACTCCCAGCTAATTTTTATATTTTCAGTAGAGACAGGGTTTCACCATGTTGGCCAGTCTGGTCTCGAACTCCTGACCTCAGGTGATCCGCCCACTTCAGCCTCCCAAAGTGCTGGGATTACAGGCATGAGCCACCGCACCTGGCCCCAAACAGCATTTTAAATTTCCGACATCACCAAACTCCAGAAAGTCACAGGAAAAAAAAATAGTTGTTATAACAATATCACTCAACTCCTTGAATGCTTCAGTTATATGCACCAGGAAAATCTACCACTGAAAATCATTTCAAATGAAATATTCAGCTGAGGAGTCTATTAGATCCTCCTTCACTTTTGTTGAAAACCAAGTATTGGAAACCACGCAACTTTTTTTTTTTTTTTTTTTTTTTGAGAGGGAGTCTCACTCTGTTGCCCAGGCTCTAGTGCAGTGGCGTGATCTTGGCTCACTGCAACCTCCGCCTCCTGGGTTCAAGTGATTCTCCTGCCTCAGTCTGCCGAGTAGCTGAGATTACAGGCGACTGCCACCACTCCCAGCTAATTTTTGTATTTTTTAATAAAGACGGGGGTTTCACCATTTTGGTCAGGCTGGTCTCGAACTCCTGACCTCAAATGATCCGCTCGTCTCGGCCTCCCAAAGTGCTGGGTTTACAGGTGTGAGCCACCACGCCCGGCCTTTTTTTTTTTTAGACAGAGTCTTGCTCTGTCACCCATGCTGAAGTGCGCTGGCATGATCACGGCACACTGCAGGCTTGACCTTCTGGGCTCAAGTGATTCTCACACCTCAGCCTCCTGATTAGCTGGGACTACAGTCTCATGCCACCATGCCTGGCTAATTTTTGTATTTTGTAGAGTTAGGGTCTCATTGTGTTGTCCAGGCTGCTCTCGAACTTCTACACTCAAGCAATCCTCCCCCTTTAACCTCCCAAAGTTCTGAGATTAGAGGGGTGAACCATTACACCTGGCCAAACCATCCAATCTGTAAAGGATTAATTTTCCTTCTTCAGCACCCACAGTAAATCAACCTTTTCAGTTGCACCTTTGCTGCCTGGAAGGTGTTAACAGTCTGGGGTAAATGAGGGGTGTGCCTTTCTTTTGCAAATTGAGGGAGGGATGATACTTAGAGGGGAGGTGGGACTTCTTTGTACACCTTGAGGGATTCCTGTATTCAACACTGTGACACCACTGTGGGGTCAGTCATTAGCTTCGAGGAGGAGGTTTAGGCATTGGCGTTGGCATTGGCAAGGGAGAGTAGATAATGAACATAATGTAGAGGTGTGGAATCTGAGAGCACCAATTGCATGAGAAGGGCGGAGCCAGCCAAGGACACTGGGTATGAGTAGGCTGTGCAGTAGGGGGACCCAGGAGAGAGAGAGAGGGACGCTGTGAAGCTTGAAGAAAGGTGTCTCAAAGAGCGGAGAACGAGCTTCTGGTGCCTTTCTCTTAGAGGCCAACTACAGCAAGAAGAGAGAAAAGTCAGTGCCACCCGCACAAGCACCCTTCAGCAAATCCGAAATCCCAGGATCAGAAACTCCTTTCTTCGGATGGGGAGACTCTGCCCCACATCCCACCCCCAGCACATCTCACCCAAATCCAAATCTCCAAGTTGGCAGAATGACTTCGAAAGAGGAAAGCAGGAGGCAGCAGCCCACAGCTGGTCCTGCAGGGCAGGGGTGTGTTCAGCAAGAGGAAAATGAGGGGGAAAGCTTCCACCTGCTTTCAGAGTTTTCCATCTGGGAGGAAACATTTTGGGTAACACAAATCCCTGGGACCTACTGAAGGGATGTATAAGGATCAAAGACACCTGCTGTGTTGGTCTGGTGGGGCTGATGTGACAAAGCACCACAGACTGGGTCTTCAACTACGGGAGACCATTATTCTCCCACAGTCGTGGAGACTGGAAGTCCAAGGTCAAGGTGTCTGCAGAGTGGGTTTCTCCTGAGGCCTCTCCTTGGCCGGCAGATGGCTGCCTTCTTTCTGTGTCCTCACAGGGACGTTGCTCAGTGTGTGCACAACCCTGATGTCTCTCTGGGGCCAAATTTCCTCCTTTTATAAGGATGTCAGTCAGATTGGATTATCACCCACTTTAACAGCCTCATTTTAACTTAATCACCTCTTTAAATAACTTATCTCCAAATGCAGTCACATTCTAAAGTACTGGGGGTTAGGGCTTCAACATGGGGGGCACAATTTAGCCCAAAGAGTGGAGAAGTGACCAGGTCATCTGGAGGGAGACAACTGTACATAGCGTCTCCTTATTGTAATTACTGGCCGGGCGCGGTGGCTTACACCTATAAGGGGTACATAGGTGCACTTATGTCATGGGGGGTTGGTGTACAGATTACTTCATCATGCAGGTATTTAGCCCAGTACCCAATAGCTCTCTGTTTTCCTCCGCTCCCTCCTCCCACCCTCCCACCTCAAGCAGACCCCAGTGTCTGTTGTTTCCTTGTGTTCCTAAGTTCTCATCATGTAGCTCCCATTTATAAGTGAGAACATGCAGTGTTTGGTTTTCTGTTTCTGCGTTAGTTTGCTGAGAATAATGGCCTCCAGCTCCATCCATGTTCCCGCAAAAGACATGATCTCATTCTCTTTTATGACTGCACTGTTTCTTTCTTTCGTTTTTCTTTCTTTTTTTTAAGAGACAGGGTCTCACCTATCACCCAGGCGGGAATAACAGTGGCACGATTATAGCTCACTGAAGCCTCAAACTCCTGGGCTCAAGCGATCCTCCTACCTCCTGAGTAGCTGAGACCACAGGTATGTGCCACGGCACTGGTCTATAGCATGGAATCTTTCATAATTTATTTCTCTCTCTGTAATTTGACTTTATTCTTCCTATTATGAACAGTGGTTCAAAATGAAAATCTTGGGACACTCCCCCGTCTACCCGAAGATTTTCAGAGGTAATCAAGATTCCAAAGTTTGTGTGGGCTAGGTGCAGTGGCTCACACCTGTAATCCCAGCACTTTGGGAGCCCTAGGTGGATCATTTGAGGTCAGGGGTTCGAGACCAGCCTGACCAACAAGGCAGAACCCTGTCTCTACTAAAAATACAAAATTAGCTGGGTGTGGTGGTGCGCGCCTGTAATCCCAGCTACTCGCGAGGCTGGGGCAGGAGAATTGCTTGAACCTGGGAGGTGGAGGTTGCAGTGAGCTGAGATCGTGCCACTGCATTCCAGCCTGGGCGACAGAGCAAGACTCCGTCTCAAAAAAAAAAAAAAAAAGTTTGTGTGAATCATTCTTAGGCTGAATATAACCTTTAAAACATTTTTTAAATTAATTAATGTATCGTTTGGTTGCAATCTCTGAGGATGAGTATGGCCTTTTTTTTTTTTTTTTTTTTGAGACGGAGTCTTGCACTGTTGCCCAGGCTGGATTGCAGTGGCGCGATCTCGGCTCACTGCAAGCTCTGCTTCTGGGTTCATGCCATTCTCCTGCCTCAGCCTCCAGAGTACCTGGGACTACAGTTGCCCGGTGCCATGCCTGGCTAATTTTTTGTGCTTTTAGTAGAGACAGGGTTTCACTGTGTTAGCCAGGATGGTCTCGATCTCCTGACCTCGTGATCTGCCCACCTCGGCCTCCCAAAGTGCTGGGATTACAGGCGTGAGCCACCGTGCCCAGCCAGAGTATGGCCTTTTATATGGTCAATTTATTGAGAACATTCTGTCATTTCTATCTTGTTTTATGTATTTTTATAATTTTAATGGATTGAAGGGGAAAATTCTTATTTTTTTACTAATGAAATTTTCCCCTGTACCTAGAGAAGGGACTTGCTTTGTGGGCTGAATACACTGATAAACCACTGGTATTGGGAAGGAGGATGGACAGTCCCCGCCCCTTCCCCAGCCTTCGCTGGGCACTCAGTTGAAGATTTCAAAAGGTCCTTGAGCAGCTGGGGAAGCAAGGCTAACTTCAACATTTCTGTTTTCTGCGTGAAGTGTTGACACTTGGAGTGTATTTTAATTTTACTTTTTTTTTAAATAAATAGAGATGGGGTCTCCCTATGTTGCCCAGGTTGGTTCAAATCCCTAGGCTCAAGTGATCCTCCCACCTGGGCCTCCCAGAGGGCTGGGATTACAGGCATGAGCCACTGTGCCTGGCCTTGGAGTGCATTTAGAAGCAAGGCTGGGAGAAGGATGAGATTGAGAGATATAAGGCACCTTACTGGGCCTGGAAGCAGAAGAGGGGGATGGCTACTGGCAACTTTTAGGAAGTTTTGCTTGGTGGCTTTTTTTTTTTTTGAGACAGTGTCTCGCACTGTCACCTGGGCTGGAGTGCAGTGGCGCAATCTCAGCTCACTGCAACCTCCACCTCCAGGGTTCAAACGATTCTCCTGCCTCAGCCTCCCGAGTAGCTGGGATTACAGGCATGCGCCACCACGCCCATCTAATTTTTTGTATTTTTAGAGAGATGGGGGTTTTCCGTGTTGGTCAGGCTGGTCTCAAACTCCCGACCTCAGGTTATCCACCTGCCTCAGCCTCCCAAAGTGCTGAGATTACAGGCGTGAGCACTGCGTCTGGCCTTATTTTTCTTTTTAAAAATTTTTTAGTGGCCAGGTCTTTTTTTTTTTAGACGGAGTCTGGCTCTGTCGCCCAGGCTGGAGTGCAGTGGCACGATCTAGGCTCACTGCAAGCTCCGCCTCCCGGGTTCACGCCATTCTCCTGCCTCAGACTCCCGAGCAGGTGGGACTACAGGCGCCCGCCACCACACCTGGCTAATTTTTTGTATTTTTAGTAGAGACGGGGTTTCACCGTGTTAGCCAGGATGGTCTCGATCTCCTGACCTCGTGATCCGCCCGCCTCGGCCTCCCAAAGTGCTGGGATTACAGGCGTGAGCACCGCGCCCGGCCAGAAATCCTATTTTCTTTCACATGAGTTATTTTGTTGATTGTTTGCTTATAACTAAAGCCCTCAGAATCAGAGTTTATACTGTATCTTTTTCTGTGTTCCTACATAGATGGCAATAAATGATTCTAATGTTTATGATGTAGAAGCTGAGGAGGCTAATACCTATTTCTGGCTCCTTTTAGGAGACACAGTCATAACAAAAAATATTGCTTAATGTGCGAGGCACAGTGCCAAGTGGTTTACATACATTGTGTAATTCTCCCCCTAAAAAAGTCAATGAAGTTGATACAATTATTATTTCATTATATGTAAAATAGGGAAAATAACAGCATTTATCTCAGAGGGCTGTTGTAAAGATTAAATGAATGCCTGTAATCCCAGCACTTTGAAAGGCCGAGGCAGGCAGATCACCTTAGCTCAGGGGTTCGAGACCAGCCTGGCCAACATGGTGAAACCTGGTCTCCACTAAAAATACAAAAAAATTAGCTGGGCATGGTGGTGCGCGCCTGTAATTCCAGCTACTCGGGAGGCTGAGGCAGGAGAATAGCTTAAACCCGGGAGGTGGAGGTTGCAGCGAGCCGAGATCGCGCCACCACACTCCAGCCTGGGCGACAGAGCGAGACTCTGTCTCAAAAAAAAAAAAAAAAAAGTAAATGAGAATATACATAAAGCACTTAGCACAATGGCATACTATTTACTATAGTTTACTATTTATTGCAACTCTCATTTTGCAGGTATCTTGCCTAAGGTGCAAGCAGAAGAAACAGGATTTTCAACCCAGATCTGAAAACTCCCAAGCCTCTGCCTTTTTCTTTTTATCCTTTTTCTTTTTCCTTGTTAAAAAACTTGCTTCCTGTACAGAGAGGGGAAATGCTCAGTCCCCACGTCAGTGGTTGAACTCCAAGCCAGAAGATCCCTATTTTGATTTTGTCCTCTGGCCTGTCGCCAGCCCCTCAACAGTACTTGAATTAATAAAAGGGCAGGTTTTAAGCCTCATGTATCTGCGCAGGTGACTCCTTCTGTGACCCCGAATAAACCTGTTCCGGTCCCGTTCCGGGGAAACAGCCTTGCCTTCCCCTGCCCCCAGAAAGTTACCCTCGCCCTCCGAGCCACAACTCCCCACGCCGCCAACTCGGTCTTTACATCATTTTCGACGCCCCCTAAGTCCCTCCCGAGAGGCGCAGGCGCACATCGCCCCTTCTAGCGAACTACATCTCCCACAATCCCAATCGGCCGGACCACCTCCGCTCGGGGCGGGGACGGAGGTGGAGCTGGTGGTCCCCGGTCGGGACGAAGGCTCCCGAGGTGCCCTGCCTGGGTCCTCCGGGGTAAAGTTCGTTTGGCGGAAGATTGTCCGTTTTCCTGGTAAGGTCACCTGTCCCAATCAGGTACGATTCTGCCTTCCGTACCCCCGAGCCCCTCAGTGTAAAGTGGCAAATGGTCTAGCCCGGCGGAGGCACCAGCTGGAGGCGGTGGGAGGGACACCCGCAGTGAAGGGCGGACCGCGCACGCATGCGCAGAGGCGCGGCAGGGGGGCGGGAGCCGCGGAACCCCTACCCCAGGTCTGCGCAGGTGAGGAGGGGGCGGGGCAGGACCGACCTCCCTTGCCATGATAACCACCTTCGCAGCCGGCTCCCAGACCGTTGGCACCGATTGCCTAGAAAATAGGGGGTCTCAGGAGCTCCGTTTTAGCGTTTATATATCCCAATTCCAATTAAGCCACTTCCAGTATTTTTTGGCCATTGTCAGTGTACAAGTCTTCCTCCTCTTCGAGACCATGTTATTGCAATAGCAGCAAACGTGTTGGGAGGCCTCACAATTCATCATGGTTTTTCTGGCCTCTGGCAGATAGCTCCTTCCTAGCGAGCTGTGGAGCTTAAAGTCTTTTGGACACTTGATTCTATTCAATCCAGTATCAGACCAGGTACGTACCTTGTCCATAAGTCGTCTTATGAGAAGACTTCTTGAGATGATGCAGACTCTCGTGCAGTTTATAATCGGCTGGAGGTATAGACAGTTAAGCAAGCCTCCTTTTTTACTGTGCCCACCCCTAACCATTTTGCTTACACCTTGTTATGGGACTTGGTTAAATTGCTTAACCTTCCGGACCTACGTTTTCTCATTAAATGAGAAGATTGGATTAGATGATCTCTAAGAACTTTCCACTTGTAAAATATACGGTTAGTTAGTGAGGGGTAGAATCCAGATTCTATCTATCTATATTTTTTTGAGACAGAGTCTCACTCTGTTGCCCAGGCTGGAGTGCAGTGGCACGATCTCGGTTCACTGCAACCTCCACCTCCCGGGTTCAAGCGATTCTCTTGCCTCAGCCTCCCGAGTAGCTGGGACTGCAACCTCCAGTTAATTTTTGTATTTTTAGTAGAGACAGGGTTTTGCCATGTTAGCCAGGCTGATCTCGAACTCCTGACCTCAGGTGATCCACCCACCTCGGCCTCCTAAAGTACTGGGATTACAGGCGTGTGCCACCGTGCCTGGCCCCACAATATGTTAACACTAAACTTCATCAGCTTCCACTTTTCTGCCCACATCAGTGAAATATAGCTATAAGAATGCAGCTGGTGGGGCTGGGTGCGGTGGCTCACGCCTGTAATCCCAGCACTTTGGGAGGTCGAGGCGGGCAGATCACAGGGTCAGGAGATCGAGACCATCCTGGCTAACACGGTGAAACGCCGTCTCTACTAAAAATACAAAAATTAGCCAGGAGTGGTGTCGTGCACCTGTAATCCCAGCTACTTGGGAGGCTGAGGCAGGAGAATCGCTTGAACCCGGGAGGCAGAGGTTGCAGTGAGCCGAGATCATGCCATTGCACTCCAGCCTGGGTGAGACTCTGTCTCAAAAAAAAAAAAAAGAAAAGAAAAGAAAAGAAAAAAGAATGTGGCTGGGCACAGTGGCTCACCCCTATAATCCCAGCACTTTGGGAGGCAGAAACTGGCAGATCGTTTGAGCTCAGGAGTTGGAGACCAGGGTGGGCAACATGACGAAACCCCATCCCTACAAAAATACAGAAATTAGCCAGGTGTGGTGGTGCACGCCTGTAGTCCTAGCAACATGAGAGGCAGAGGTGGGAGGATCACTTCAGCCCAGGAGGTTGATGCTGCAGTGAGCCACGATTGTGCCACTGCACTCCAGCATGGGCAACAGAGCAAGACCCTGTCTCAGACAAAAAAAAAAAAAAAAAAGGCTGAGCGCAGTGGCTCATACCTGTAATCCCAGCACTTTGGGAGGCCGAGGCGGGCAGATAACCATGTCAGGATATCCAGACCAGCCTGGGCGATATGGTGAAACCCCTTCTCTACTAAAAATACAAAAAAATTAGCTAGGCGTGGCTCTGGAGGTGGAGGCACCACTGCACTCCAGCCTGGGTGACAGAGCGAGACTCTGTCTCAAAAAAAAAAAAAAAAGGAAAAAGTTGACAGCAGCATTCAAAAGAACTGCCCCTTGTTGTACTTATAAATTCATGCTGTATCTTTTACCTTATTGCTGAAAATAAGAAATTAACTGATAATACAACTTTGTTCAACCTATATTTGTTGTCGTTTTATAGGTCATTGCTAGGAAGAACTCTGGGTACAATAATGAATACAATGTATGTGATGATGGCTCAGATCTTAAGATCTCACCTGATAAAGGCTACAGTGATTCCTAATCGAGTGAAAATGCTTCCATATTTTGGTATCATTAGAAATAGAATGATGTCAACCCATAAATCCAAAAAGAAGATCAGAGAATATTATAGACTGCTGAACGTGGAGGAAGGATGCTCTGCAGATGAAGTCAGGGAATCTTTTCATAAGCTTGCCAAGCAATATCATCCTGACAGTGGCTCTAATACTGCTGATTCTGCAACATTTATAAGGATTGAAAAAGCTTATAGAAAGGTGCTCTCCCATGTGATAGAACAAACAAATGCCAGTCAGAGTAAAGGTGAAGAAGAAGAAGATGTAGAAAAATTCAAATATAAAACACCCCAACACCGACATTATTTAAGTTTTGAAGGTATTGGTTTTGGGACTCCAACTCAACGAGAGAAGCATTATAGGCAATTTAGGGCAGACCGTGCTGCTGAACAAGTGATGGAATATCAAAAGCAGAAACTACAAAGCCAGTATTTTCCTGATAGTGTAATTGTTAAAAATATAAGACAGAGCAAACAGCAAAAGATAA
The DNA here is from genome assembly GCF_000001405.40 of Homo sapiens. Classification (NCBI taxonomy): domain Eukaryota; kingdom Metazoa; phylum Chordata; class Mammalia; order Primates; family Hominidae; genus Homo; species Homo sapiens. Next base: position 33,488,804 of record NC_000021.9, on the reverse strand, counting down.
CGCAAGCTATAGAACGTTTAGTGGAGGACCTCATTCAAGAATCCATGGCAAAAGGAGACTTTGACAATCTCAGTGGGAAAGGAAAACCTCTGAAAAAGTTTTCTGACTGTTCTTACATTGATCCCATGACTCACAACCTGAACCGAATACTGATCGATAATGGATACCAACCAGAATGGATCCTTAAGCAAAAGGAAATAAGCGATACTATTGAGCAACTCAGAGAGGCAATTTTAGTGTCTAGGAAAAAACTTGGGAATCCAATGACACCAACTGAAAAGAAACAGTGGAACCATGTTTGTGAGCAGTTTCAAGAAAACATCAGAAAATTAAACAAGCGAATTAATGATTTTAATTTAATTGTTCCCATCCTGACCAGGCAAAAAGTCCATTTTGATGCTCAGAAAGAAATTGTCAGAGCCCAGAAAATATACGAGACCCTTATAAAAACAAAAGAAGTCACAGATAGAAACCCAAATAACCTTGATCAAGGAGAAGGAGAGAAAACACCTGAAATCAAGAAAGGTTTTTTAAACTGGATGAATCTGTGGAAATTTATTAAAATACGATCATTTTGATGTTTACTATCATAAATCATTCTTAGTTCCACTGACACTTTACATGGAAAATGAGATTTATTGCTATAATACAAGAATTTAAGAATTGTGCCATTGTACTTATCACAAAACTAATCACATAGCCAATGATGTGTGAGTGAGAAACCTATCAGGTTTGTCCTGAGGATATAGCAAGAAAAGAAAATAACTGAAACTCCTTTTTTTTTGAGACGGCGTCTCGCTCTGTCACCCAGGCTGGAGTGCAATGGCACAATCTAGGCTCACTGCAACCTCTGCTTCCCAGGTTCAAGTGATTATCCTGCCTCAGACTCCCGAATAGCTGGGATTATAGGCACACACCACCATACCCGGCTATTTTTGTATTTTGTTTTCTTTTTTTTTGAGACAGAGTCTCACTCTGTCGCCCAGGCTGGAGTGCAGTGGCGCGATCTCGGCTCACTGCAAGCTCCACCTCCTGGGTTCACGCCATTCTCCAGCCTCAGCCTCCTGAGTAGCTGGGATTACAGGCGCCTGCCACCACGCCCAGCTAATTTTTTGTATTTTTAGTAGAGACGGGGTTTCACTGTGTTAGCCAGGATGGTCTTGATCTCCTGACCTCGTGATCCGCCCGCCTCGGCCTCCCAAAGTGCTGGGATTACAGGTGTGAGCCACCGCGCCTGGCCTATTTTTGTATTTTTTGTAGAGACGGGGTTTCACCATGTTGGCCAGGATGGTCTCAAACCCCTGACCTCATGATCCACCTGCCTTGGCCTCCCAAAGTGCTGGGATTACGGGCTTGAGCCACCATGCCCGGCCTAATTTTTATATTTTTAATAGAGATGGGGTTTCACCATGTTGGCCAGGATGGTCTCGATCTCTTGACCTCATGATCCGCCCCCCTTGGCCTCCCAAAGTGCTGGGATTACAGGCGTGAGCCACCATGCCTGGCCAAAAATAACTGAAACTTCTAAAGAAAATAATTTAGTTCATTCTAGTGTTAAAATGTTGGTCATCCAGTGAAATGAGCTAGGATCAGGTTTCTGACTTAGGAATCATACATGAATTCCAAAAGTTTTGGTGCAGTTTTGAGCTGTAATAACTAACTTAAAAGCAGTGACTGTTGCCATTTTCAAACATAGGTACTTAAACAACAGGGAAACCGAAAAATATGTTATCAAAAGTCACAAAACTGAAGTGTTATGAAATTTAACCAATTAAACCTCCAGATGACTTTTTTTTTTAAACGAGCTTGCTGGATTTATATTCCTGAACTTATTAAGGCTCAAAACCGTTCCAAGACTTTTGGGACACCCTCCATATGGGTGGAAATATTAAGATCAGAAAATTAGCCTACTGGAATTACTGTACTTTTCTTTTTATGAGGGCCTTCTCTGTGGGTACTGAATGAAAAACACACCAAACATCCAGATTCTACTTTTTCCTGTCTAACTTGATGGTTTATTGGCTGCAGAAATCAGTGAAGCTAGTTGATTTAGCAATTCTAGAAAAAAACTCCAGTGTCCGCTTTTTTTTTTTTTTTTGAGATGGAGTTTCACTCTTGTTGCCCAGGCTGGAGTGCAATGGTGCAATCTTGGCTCACTGCAACCTCCGCCTCCTGGGTTCAAGTGATTCTCCTACCTCAGCCTCCCAAGTAGCTGGGATTAGAGGTGCCCGTCACCACGCCCAGCCAATTTTTATTTTTTTTAGTAGAGATGGGGTTTCACCATTTTGGCCAGGCTGGTCTCGAACTCCTGACTTCAGGTGATCCACCTGCCTTAACCTCCCAAAGTGCTGGGATTACAGGCGCGAGCCACTGTGCCTGGTCCAGTGGCCACTTTGTTTTTTTGAAATGGAGTTTTGCTGTTGTTGCCCAGGCTGGAGTGCAGTGTTTCCTTCTTTAATCCAGAGTGCTGTGTTACAGAAGTGGTTCAGAAGTGAGGGACTCACCACCTGCATTTTGGAAGAAAGTGTTATTTTGTAAAATGTGTGATAGTTAAAACAACAAACAAAACTACACCTTCAAAAAGAAATTTTTGGCCTTTAGCTTAGATGCTGCAGCATTAATTGGCATAATATGTGATTATAATTTATTGAATGATTTGTCATTTGGTTTCTACAATGATAGTATCACTGTAAATAAAATTGTGAACAGTATGGAATGTTGCTTAATAAGAGCTATAGTTCCAAAAACATTTTAGAAGGCAGTAATTTTGTGACTCTTGTTAAAAGTGGGAATTCGAGGCCGGGCGCGGTGGCTCATGCCTGTAATCCCAGCACTTGGGGAGGCCCAGGCGGGCGGATCATGAGGTCAGGAGATTGAGACCATCCTGGCTAACACGGTGAAACCCTGTCTCTACTAAAAATACAAAAAAATTTAGCTGAGCATGGCGGTGTGCGCCTGTAGTCCCAGCTGCTGGGGAGGCTGAGGCAGCAGAATGGCACGAACCCAGGAGGTGGAGCTTGCAGTGAGCCGAGATCGCGCCACTGCACTCCAGCCTGGGTGACAGAGCAAGACTCCGTCTTAAAAAAAAAAAAAAAGTGGGAATTAGACGTAAGAGGCTTAACTGCATTACAGCAACATAGATGAACAAAACCATTTTCCATATTGGTCAATGAGAAGGTAAGGTTACCAGAAAATGTCAGTAAATTTTTAATTTCAGCACAGTGCACTTTATGTTTGTAAATGTTGTCTATGTTAATAAAGTTACTATAATAATTATTCAATGTCCCTTTGTTATAATGGTAATAATATTTTGGGCTAGGCATCTAATTTTTTTTTTTTTGTAATGGAGTTTTGCTCTTGTTGCCCAGGCTGGAGTGCAATGGCGCAATCTCGGCTCACTGCAAACTTTGCCTAGTGGGTTCAAGAGATTCTCCTGCCCCAGCCTCCCAAGTAGCTGGGATTACAGGCATGTGCCACCACGTCCGGCTAATTTTGTATTTTTAGTAGAGACAGGGTTTCTCCATGTTGGTCAGGCTCGTCTCAAACTCCTGACCTCAGGTGATCCACCCGCCTCAGCCTCCCAAAGTGCTGAGATTACAGGCATGAGCCACCGCCCCCAGCCCTGAATGCATTTTTTTAAAAAAATCTTTTTGATTGGCCAGGCACGGTGGTTCATGCCTGTAATCCCAACATTTTGAGAGACCAAGGCAGGAGGATTGCTTGAGCCCAGGAGTTTGAGACCAGCCAGAGAAACATGGTGAAACTCTGTCTCTACCAAAAACAACAACAACAACAACAACAAATCAGGTGTGGTAGCACATTCCTGTAGTCCCAGCTACTTGGGAGCCTGAGGTGGGAGGATCGCTTGAGCCCAGGAGGTCAAGGCTGCAGTGAGCCATGATCACACCACTGCACTCCAGCCTGGGCAAGAGTAAGACCCTCTCTCAAAAAAAATGAAAAACAAATCTTCCAGGCTGGAGTGCAGTGGCACGATCTTGGCTCACTGTAACCTCTGTACCCCGGGTTCAAACGATTCTCCTGCCTCAGCTTCCTGAGTAGCTGGGACTACAACCACCTGCCACCACACCTGGCTAATTTTTGTATTTTTAGTAGAGACAGAATTTCACCATGTTGGTCAGGCTGGTCTCGAACTCCTGACGTCGTGGTCCGCCCTCCTCGTCCTCCCAAAGTGTTGGGATTATAGGGGTGAGCCACCGCGCCCAGCTCAGGTAATGTTTTTATAGCAGTGTGAAAATGGACTAATATAGTACCCTGGCATAAGAGTTTTGAGGAGACATAATCATTCAGACCATAACACCCATGATAACTCTGATCCTCCAGTTCCATGAGCCACAGAATCCTACTCATTATTTAAGCCAGTTTGAGATGTTCTTTTCTGTTACTTATAACTGAAAGAGACCAACTGACAAATGTATACACTGTCTTCAGAGTCTAGATGTGGAAAGAAGTATTTCCTCTTCTGCTGGAGTCAAATTATCTTCCAGGCCTTGGTTTTTTGTTTCCCATCTAAAGATCAGTCTTTTCTCCTAAATGACTGACACTGAATAGCCATCCTTTCAGGAGAGAGTCCATTTCAGACCCACAGGAAGTATGACCTTAGTCTCAAGACACCTTTATCAAAATACAACAGTTCTAATAGCTGCCTAAGACTTATTCAGATGAATCTTTTTGTTATACAACCACATAAGCATATGGAGAAAGAGAATATTTTGGGAAGTACCTGTTTATGCAACATGTTTTAGCCTTTCAGATAGTTCCTGTGGTACACATTTGGCTTGTACACTCAAAAGATGGACGTGAATACCACTCTATCAGAGTAAGTTCATGAAGCAGCCCTGAGAGAGAATAAACTAGAACCCATGGGGCGTAGCGTGAAGGACAGCCTGGATTGTTCCTTTCTCTTAATAGGCTTGTACCAACTGGACTGCATTTTCTGTCTAGTTTTAGGTGAAGTAGATCTTTCAGAACCTGTCCTGGCCCAAACCTGAAAATGGTCCTGAAGTCACAATGTCTCCAGAATCTAGGAGTGCCTCTCTGAAGTGCTTGGGTAACAGGAATTTAACAAAACATATGCTTCAGTAGCTACATGGTAGAATACCAATTGAATTAGAAAATGTGTGGTTTTTTTTTTTTTTTTTTGAGACTTAGTCTCACTCTGTCGCCCAGGCTGGAGTGCAGTGGTGCAATCTCGGCTCACTGCAAGCTCTGACTCCCAGATTCAAGCGATTCTCCTGCTTCAGCCTCTTGAGTAGCTGCGATTACAGGTGAGCGCCACCATGCCTGGCTAATTTTTGTATTTTTAGTAGAGACGGGGTTTCACCATGTTTGCCAGGCTGGTCTCGAATGCCTGACCTCATGGTCTGTCCGCCTCGGCCTCCCAAAGTGCTGGGATTACAGGCTTGAGCCACCGCACCCGGCCATGTGTGGTTTTTTTTTTTAAAGGCTGATTTACAATTCTACTAAATACTTAAATCAGTACATTTGGAATTGACAGCGAAATGTTGACATCAGCAACTTAATCCCCGTATCTTTCAAATGCCTTTTTTTTTTTTTTTTTTGAGACGGAGTCTTGTTCTGTCGCCCAGGCTGGAGTGCAGTGGCGTGATCTTGGCTCACTGCAACCTCTGCCTCTCGGATTCAAGTGATTCTCCTGCCTCAGCCTCCTGAGTAGTTGGGATTACAGGCATGTATCACCATGCCCAGCTAATTGTTTTTTCTTTTTAGTTGAGACGGAATTTTACCATGTTGACCAGGCTGATCTGGAACTCCTGACCTCAGGTGATCCAACCGCCTCTGGTTCCCAAAGTGCTGGGATTACAGGTGTGAGGCACTGTGCTCGGCCAAATGCCCATATTTTTGAAAGCATAACTAAATACATGTTTGACTCTTTGTGGAATAGAGGTTTATAGACTGAGAGAAGCAAATTGTGCTATGGTTTGAATGTGTCCCCAAAAAGTTCATGTGTTTGAAACTTAATTACTATTGTAATCGTGTTGAGAGGTAGAACCTTGAAGATGTGATTGGGTCATGAGGGCTCCACCCTCACGAATGGATTAATGCTGTTATTGTGGGAGTGGGTTAGTTATCTTGGGATTGGGCTCTTGGTAAAAGGATAGCGTCAGCCTGATTTTCTCCTTCTGTCTTGTATGCTCGTTGGCCCCTGTCTGTCTTGTTTTCTACCATGGGATGACACAGCATGAAAATCCTTACAAGATGCCAGCACCATGCTCTTGGAGTTCCCGGCTTCCAGAACTGTGGACCAAATAAAACACTATTGTTTATAAATTGCCTGTTCTGTGTTATTCTGTTATAGCAGTAGAAAAGGACTTCAGACAAGCTGCATTAACATAAGTCTCCACTACTAAAAAAGCAACTTAAAGCATGTGCATCCCAACGGTAGGTGAACAGTAATGTCTTCCTTCATATATGGAGGTAATCATTTTTCTACAGATATTATTCTGTAACAAAGCTTAAAAAAATCCTGGGAAACCTTAAAATATTAGTACTTTAAAAAGCAATGGCCTGTCTGTGCCAGGGCAGCATGTGGTCCATGCTGATCGACAGAGACACTCAGGCTGTGCCCTCAGGATGACCGAGTGGGAGACAGCAGCACCAGCAGTGGCAGAGACCCCTTGACATCAAGCTCTCTGGGAAGTGGAGCACTGATGATATGCAGATCAATGGCATTTCCCTGCAGGATTACACTGCAGTGAAGGAGAAGTATGCCAAGTACCTGCCTCACAGTGCTGGGTGGTATGCAGCCAAATGCTTCCGCAAAGCTCAGTGCCCCATTGTGGAGCCCCTCACTAACTCCATGATGATGCACGGCTGCAACAACAGCAACAAGCTCATGATCATGTGCATCATCAAGCATGCCTTCGATTTCATCCACCTGCTCACAGGCGAGAACCCTCTCCAGGTCCTGGTGAACGCCATCATCAACAGTGGTCCCTGGGAGGACTCCACATGCATTGGGCGAGCAGGGACTGTGAGACAACAGGCTGTGGACATGTCCCCACTGCACTGTGTGAATCAGGTCGTCTGGCTGCTGTGCACAGGCACTCGTGAGGCTGCCTTCTGGAACATCAAGACCATTGCTGAGTGCCTGGCGGATGAGCTCATCAATGCCACCAAGGCCTCCTCCAGCTCCTATGCCATCAACAAGAAGGATGAGCTGGAGTGTGGGGACAAGTCCAACCGCTGATTTTCCTGGCTGCTGCCTAATAAACCAGTCTGCCCTTTGGGATGCCTCCCCCACCCCCCCAAAAAAAGTGATGAGATTTGGAAACTTCTAATTGTCCCCTAATATCTAGTTTTCCTTCCTTAGTACTGAAACCCCATTTTCCAGCCTTCTTTGCAATTTGGTGTAGTCAAGTGACTATTTTACTAGCAGAATGAAAACAAAAATGGTACATGCAACCCCCGCCCCTTTCAAAAGGTTCTTAAAGAGAGGAGAGTGTTCCCTTCTGTATCCTCTCTTCTGGTGGAATGCCAGCATTGTGACATATTTCAAAAGTAAATTATTCAGCACATATTTATTGAACACCTAGATCCTAGCCCATGTATAAGAGCTATAGGAGAACATTATCCAGGATGGCATTTTTGGTGATAATTCCATGATACAAAACCTTTTACTTCATTATGCCTCAAGTAAAATGCTTTTTAGATTTCCACTGATAATAACTCTACTTGGCTGGGCACAGTGGCCCACGCTTGTAATCCCAGCATTTTGGGAGGCAGAGGCGGGTGGATCACCTGAGGTCAGGAGTTCAGGATCAGCCAGGTGAAATCCCGTCTCTACTAAAAATACACAAATTAGCCAAGCATGGTGGTGCGCACCTGTAATCCCAGCTACTCGGAAGGCTGAGGTGGGAGGATTGATTGAGCGTGGGAGGTAAGAGGCTGCAGTGAGCCAAGATCACACCACTGCACTCCACCCTGGACAACAGAGCAAGACCCTGTCTCAAAACAAACAAACAAACCACCCAAAAAACAAAGCTCGACTTTCCCCCAAACAACTAAATGGTTATAGGCATTTCTGTAGGAAATTTAGACGGGGCTTCCAAACGCTGTTAAAGTTATGTTGAAAATCCAAGAGGCTGAAAGATATCTGACTATAAGAAAGACGAAAAAAAAAAAAAAAGACAAAAATCTACGTGAATAGACGGGAGAGCGCCGAGCGAAATCAGAAGACTAGTTGTATTGTGAGGATCACCTCGGGTAACCAGCACTCGCTGGGTAGCCCTGGTTTACTAACTTCAACTTTCTGGGGCTCCATTTCTGAATTGAGGGGATTAGAAAAAGGCATCTCTAAAGACCCTCCGTTCCCGAGAACCCTCCCGGAGCACCTTCCCTACTCTGGGCAGCTCGCAGACAGACAAGACTGATCGGCCATAGGCGAAGGGAAACCCTGGTCCCCCGGGTCTCGAGCTCCGTCCGCACGTAATCTCACGGTACTGCACTTCAAGTCAGCGTGCAGAAACGCAGCAGTGGGAGCCCGGCGGCGGCCGCCCACCGGCAGGGGACAGGAGAGGCCCGTCCCGCTCTGCCCGGAACCGTAGATAGCTGGGTCTGAACTCCGGCTCCGGGAGGCCTGCAGAGCAGCCCACCCCGTCCCTCGGAGCTCGCCCTGCCCCCGGCCGGCCACTTGCTGCACGCCGATTGGTCGCGAGGAGCGCCCGGCGTCCCGCTGCGCCCAGCCAACGCCCTCTCCCCGCCCCCTCGCGTCCCGCCCCGCCCCCGGCCGGCCACTTGCTGCGCTCCGATTGGTCGCTGCGGTGCACACGGCGCCTCGCCCCGCCTCACCGGCGCTCTATCCTCGCGTCTGCTCCCAGCTCCGGGCTCCCGGGGCTGAGGTGGAGCCGCGGGACGCCGGCAGGGTTGTGGCGCAGCAGTCTCCTTCCTGCGCGCGCGCCTGAAGTCGGCGTGGGCGTTTGAGGAAGCTGGGTGAGTCCTGTCTGTGGGTCTCCGGCGCCAGGCAACCGTAGAGGGCTCGCGCCCGCCGCCCGCGCGTAAGGAGGCTCCCTCGTCGGGCCCTGTCCGGCCCGGCCTTCTGGGGGCTGTGGGGCCGTCCAGCCGGGTTTTCCCTGCGTTCGGCGCCGGCCTGCAGACTCGGGCCCGCGGAGCCCCCGCCGCCCCTTCTTGCCCCTGCCCGCGTCCCTTCGGGCCGACCGTGACCGTGGCGCCGCCGCGACCCGCAAGCAGCCCGGGGAGGCTGCCCTGCCGCGCTGTCACGCCGTCAGGTTGCGTTCCTGGGGAGGGCTGGAGAGGCTCCATCTCGTGCCTTTCACCTTCTCGCGCGGCGGGCACGGAGGCGACGGTTTTCGGGACGCCCTGCTGCGGCCGCGACGCCCTCCCGAGGCCGGAGCGAGGGCCCCGGGGCGGCTCCAGCCCTTCTTCGCCCCTCCCGTTTGCCCCGAACCATTGCTAGGAGCCTGTGTTTTCTGCACTTTTCTGATTTCATTCTTACGAGAGTCAAGTACAGAGGCGGGAGGGGAAAGGGAAGGGGAACAACATTCTTTCGAGAATTATAAACCTTGAGCTCCGTTAAATAAGTAGCAGCAGAGCATTGTCACTGGAGCAGTGGTAGTCGCGGGTAGGACCGTTTCGGTTTTTAGCCAATAGGCTGGTTAAAGGTACTTAAAACAGTAAGTTGGAAGGTGCTGAAATTCTAAGGTAAATACGTGACCTTTCAAAACCAAAGCAGTGAGACGGGCTAGGCTGGGCTGCTCCCCGCTGCGCGTGCCTGGGTCGGGGGGTGCGGAGGGGCAGGGGGCGGAGGCCTCGGACGGGACGGGGTGGGAGGGAAGTGGCATCCGCATCGTCTTACATCGCGCTGTAAGACCCGATTTTCTCTTTTCGGAGGATCCCATCTCCCTTCTCAGACTCTTCATCCTACCTGCACTGTGGATCCCTTGACACTTCAGAGGCTCTGAACTCTCAGGCCGGTCACACTTTTTCATCATTTTGTTTCTTGTCTTTTAAACCTGCATGCATTTCAAACGTAGAGCAAACATTAAACTTTTTTTTTAAACTGAAGATAGTGGTGCAAGACTTTGTTATTGAAATGCAAACCAAAAGTTATCTTGAATATTTATCGCGCTGGAAAAGCAGGTTTAATTAGAGTGAGGTGGGGACGTATATTTCTTCTTCCGGAGACACAGCCTTCCCACTCACCACCCCAATCCCTCCTCTCTGTCAACTAGGGTTACAGCAGCCTTACACTGGCTAGTCTTTTCTGAATTCTGAATTCACTTCTGGGGGCCAAGGTAAAGAATTTATCGTATTTTATCCTCATTTTCCTTTTCTGTTTTTTTTGAGACAGAGTCTCCCTCGTTGACCAGGCTACAAGTACAGTGGCCCGATCTCTGCTCACTGCAGCCTGCACCTCTAGGGTTAAAGGGATTTTACAGCCTCAGCCTCCCGAGTAGCTGGGATCACAGGCGCCTGCCACCATGCCTGGCTAATTTTTATATTCTTAGTAGAGAGAGAGTTTCACCATGTTGGCCAGGCTGGTCTTGAACTCCTGACCTCAAGTGATCCGCTTGCCTCGGTCTCTGAAAGTACTGGGATTACAGGTGTGGGCACCGCGCCTGGCCTTTTAAAGTGTATTATTATTATTTTTAAATTTATTTATTTATTTATTTTTTGAGACAGAGTCTTGCTCTGTCTCCCAGGCTGGAGTGCAGTGGCAAGATCTCGGCTCACTGCAAGCTCCACGTCCTGGGTTCACGCCATTCTCCTGCCTCAGCCTCCCTAGTAGTTGGGACTACAGGCGCCCACCACCACGCCCGGCTAATTTTTTGTATTTTTAGTAAAGACGGGTTTTCACCGTGTTAGCCAGGATGGTCTCGATCTCCTGACCTCGTGATCCACCTGCCTCAGCCTCCCAAAGTGCTGGGATTACAGGCGTGAGCCACTGTGCCCGGCCTAAAGTTTATTTTTAACTTATGTATATATATATATAATTTTTGAGGCCGAGTTTTGCTCTTGTTGCCCAGGCTGGAGTGCAATGGCGCTATCGTGGCTCACTGCAACCTCCGCCTCCCAGGTTTAAACGATTCTCCTGTCTCAGCCTCCCAAGTAAACTGGGATTACAGGCGCCCGCCGCCACGCCCAGCTAATTTTTGTATTTTTAGTAGAGACTCGAACTCCTGACCTCAGGTAACCCCCCCCCGCCTCGGCCTCCCAAAGTGCTGGGATTACAGACGTGAGCCACCGTACCTAGCCCGTTTTACTTTTTAAATGATTAAAGTAACATTCAGGTTGTTTAAAACATTTAAACATGACAGAAGAATATCAAGTAAAATTCAGACAGCGCAGAGGTATGTCAAGTTAGAATTCCTTGTTTGTTCACTCTTTACATCCTCAATTCCATTCCCTAGGAGGGTATTATATTATAATATTGCTCGGCAACTGATGATAATATAAGGACACATTTCCTTCATAAGCACGTGGAGACCTACCTCATTTCCTCCCAACCCCACCCCTCACTTTGGAGACCGGGTCTCACTGTGTTGCCCAGGCTGGAGTGCAGTGGTTCCCTCACGGCTTGCTGCAGCCTTGGGCTCAAACGATCCTCCCACCTCAGCCTCCTGAGAAGCTGAGACTATAGGCGAGTGCCACCATGCCTAATTTTTGTAATTTTTGTAGAGACGGGTTTCTCATATTGCCCAGGCTGGTCTTGAATTCCTGAACTCAAGCCATCCACCTGCCTCAGCCTCTCAAAGTGCTGGGATTACAGGTGTGAGCCATCCTGCCCAGCCAACTTGCCTCATTTTCAGAATGTTGCATGGTATACCGTTGTTTGGATGTACCCTAATATACATTTTTTGGTTCCTTATTGATGGACATTTTGACTGTTTCTGGGTTTTAGCCATTAAAAGCTTTGCTTTATGAAAATCTTTTTGTCGTTCTAGGGTAAGTTTCAAGTAGATAATATAAACAGATGATTGTACTTTGATATAATTTTATTTCACAAGGAATCTTTTTAAACTTAAAGTTGTTTTTTTTTTTTTTTTTTTGAGATGGAGTCTCACTCTGTCGCCCAGGCTGGAGTGCAGTGGTGCGATCTCGGCTCACTGCAAGCTCCACCTCCCGGGTTCACACCATTCTCCTGCCTCAGCCTCCCGAGAAGCTGGGACTACAGGCACCCTCCACCACGCCCAGCTAATTTTTTGTGTTTTTAGTAGAGACGGGGTTTCATCGTTTTAGCCAGGATGGTCTCAATCTCCTGACCTCGTGATCCGCTGGCCTCGGCTTCCCAAAGTGCAGGGATTACAGGTGTGAGCCACCACGCCTGATGTTATAACTTAAAAGATTTTATAATTTAAAAGCAGTAGCTAAATCTATTTGAATTAAATGCATTTCTAAGATTCCATATATTCTTTTATTATTTTTTGAGACGGAGTTTTGCTCTTGTTGCCCAAGCTGGAGTGCAATGGCGTGATCTTGGCTCACTGCAACCTCCATCTCCCAGGTTCAAGCAATTCTCCTGCCTCAGCCTCCTGAGTAGCTGGGATTACAGACATGCGCCACCACCTCGGCTAATTTTGTATTCTTAGTAGAGACGGGCTTTTGTCAGGCTGGTCTTGAACTCCCGATCTCAGGGGATCCACCCACCTAGGCCTCCCAAAGTCTTGGGTTTACAGGCATGAGCCACTGTGCCTGGCTCTATATATTCTTTTATATTTAGAGGCTGGAACAGAAAATTTTGAAGACTGTATTAAATAATAGAGGATTTATTACTCTTCTTACCACGAAGTGGTGTTGACCTTAAGGTTATATTGCCTCATTTAATTGGGTTGGCAGAAGTGATAAGAGAGGTCCTTCAGATTAGAGGGGGCTCTGCTGCCCAGGCCGGAGTGCAGTGGTGAGATCTTGGCTCACTGCAACCTCCACCTCCTGGGTTTAAGTGATTCTCCTGCCTCAGCCTCCCGAGTAGCTGGGACTACAGGTGCGTGCCACCACGCCCAGCTGATTTTTTGTATTTTTATTAGAGATGGGGTTTCAACGTGTTAGCCAGGATTGTCTTGTTCTCCTGACCTCATGATCTGCCCACCTTGGCCTCCCAAAGTGCTGGGATTACAGGAGTAAGCCACCGCACCCAGCTGCTTGTTCTTTTTTAAAAGTAATTTCTTCCTGGGCGCGGTGGCTCACGCCTGTATTCCCAGCACTTTGGGAGGCCAAGGCGGGTGGATCACGAGGTCAGGAGTTCAAGACCAGCCTGGCCAAGATGGTGAAACCCTGTCTCTACTAAAAATACAAAAAAGTAGCCGGGCCTGGTGATGGGCCCCTGTAATCCCAGCTACTTGGGAGGTGGGGGCAGATAACTGCTTGAATCCAGGAGGCGGGAGTTACAGTGAGCCAAGATCGTGCCACTGCACTCCAGCCTGGGCGACAGAGCGAGACTCCATCTCCCAAAAAAAAATAGTAATAATTTCTTTCATTGCAAATTTTATCTCAGGTACAAAAAAGCATATAAAACATGTATAATTTAAAGAATACTATTGCAATGATCATTTTGTATCCACTACCAGATTAAGAAACAAAATGTTTGGCCAGCCGCAGTGGCTCAACACCTGTAATGCCAGCATCTTGGGAGGCTGAGACAGGCAGATCACTGAAGACTGGGCGTTGGAGACCAGCCTGGCCAACATGTGAAACCCTGTCTCTACCAAAAATATAAAAATTAGCCGGTCGTGGTGGTGGGCACCTGTAATCTCCGCTACTTGGGAGGCTGAGGCAGGAGAATTGCTTGAACCTGGGAGGTGGAGGTTGCAGTGAGCTCAGATCACGCCACTGCACTCCATCCTGGGTGACAGAGAGAGACTCTGTCTTGGGGGTGGTGGCGGTGGGGGAACAAAATGTTTGCATTTTTTTCTTCCAGAGGTAGCCTCTGTCCTGATTTGTTTGTGTTTATCTTTCTCTTGCTTTTTTATTTTATTTATTTTTATTTTATTTTATTTTATTTATTTATTTATTTTTATTTTTATTTTTTTTTTTTTTGGTGACGGAGTTTCACTCCTGTTGCCCAGGCTGGAGTGCAATGGCACGATCTTGGCTCACTGCAACCTCTGCCTCCCGGGTCCAAGCGATTCTCCTGCCTCAGCCTCCTGAATAGGTGGGATTACAGGCATCCACCACCACGCCCAGCTTGGTTTTGTATTTTTAGTAGAGACAGGGTTTCACCAGGCTGGTGTCGAACTCCTGACCTCAGGTAATCCACCCACCTTGGCCTCCCAAAGTGCTGGGATTACAAGTGTTAGCCATTGCACCTGGCCTCTTCAGTTTTTCTTGTAGGTCTCAGTTTCATCGGGTATCATTCCTTTCAGCTTGAAGAATTCCCTTTAGCATTTCTTTCTTAGCGCAGGTTTGGTGATGAATTATCTCAATTTTTGTTTACCTGGAAGTACCATTATTTTACTCTTATTAAAAAAAAGAAAACTGGCTGGGAATGGTGGTGCACACCTGTAATCTCAGCATTTTGGGAGGCTGAGGCAGGCAGATCGCTTGAGTTCAGGAGTTTAAGACCAGCTTGGACAACTGGGTGAAACCCTGTCTCTCTTAAAAAAAACAACAACAACCCCCTCCCCTGCCCCCCAAAAAACACAGCTTTGTTGAGATACAGTATATATACTGTAACATTCACCTGTTTTAAGTGTACAGTCGAATGATTTTTAGTATTTACGGAGCTGTGCAGTCATTGCCACAATCTAGTTTTAGAATCTTGTAGCCTTTTGCAGTCACTTTGTATCTTTCTTCTCCCCATCCCTAGACAGCCACTAATCCGCTTTATGTCTATAGATTTGCCTATTCTGGATGTTTCTTGTAAATGGAATCACACAATATATGGTCTTCTGTCTTTTACTTAGTCAGTTGTTGAGGTTCGTTCATGTAGCATCTATCAGTAGGAACCTCTTTCCTTTTTGTTGCTGAATTTGTATTTCGTTGTATGGATGTGCTATGTTTTATTTATCCATTCGTTGATGTATGTTTGGTTGCTTCCACTCCGTGGCAATTACGAATAATGCTGCTATGAACAAGTTATTGTGAAGATATATTTTCATTTCTCTTGGGTAGTTAGATAGGAGTAGAATTGCTGTCACCTTCTTGTTTTTTTTTTTTTTTGAGACAAGGTCTCACTGTGTCACCTGTCATAGCTCACTGTAACCTCGAACTTCTGGGCACAAGTGATCCTTGCATCTCAGCCTCCTGAGTAGCTGAGACTACAAGTGCACACCACCATGCTTGGCTATCCTCATTTTTGGAGAATATTTTTGCTGGGTATAGAATTTGGGATTGAGTTTTTTTTTTTTTTTTTTTTTCTTCCGAGACAGAGTCTCACTTTTTTGCCCAGGCTGGAGTGCAGTGGTGCGATCTCAGCTCACTGCAACCTCCAGCTCCTGGGTTCAAGTGATTCCTGTGCCTCAGCCTCCTGAGTAGCTGGGTCTACAGGTAAGGGCCACCATGCCCAGATAATTTTTGTATTTTTATTAGAGATGGGGTTTCTCCATGTTGCCCAGGCTGGTCTTGAACTCCTGGCCTCAAAGCAGTCTGCCCACCTCAGTCTCCAAAGTGTTGGGATTACAGGCATGAGCCACCACACCTGGCCTGATTTTTTTTGTCTTAAAGCGTTATTAACAGTGTCATTCCTGTGTCTTCTAGTATCCTTTGTTCTGGTTAGAAGTGAGCCATCATTCCTATTGTTCTGTCTCTGTATATGTTGTATTGATTTTTTTCCCCATAAGACTGTTTCAAGAGTTTCTCTGTATCTCTGGTTTTCAGCAGTTTGATTATGATGTTTTCTTTGTATTTATCCTCCTTGGAGTTTGCTGAGCTTTTTGGATTTATAAGTTAATATTTTTCACCAAATTTGAGAAATTTTCATTTATTCTTTTTTTTTTTTGAGATGGAGTTTTGTTCTTGTTTCCCAGGCTGAAATGCAATGAATGGTGTGATCTTGGCTCACTGCAACCTCCGCCTCCCAGGTTCAAGTGATCCTCCTGCCTCAGCCTCCCAAGTAGCTGGGATTACAGGCATGTGCCATCACACCCAGTTTTGTATTTTTAGTAGTGACGGGGTTTCACCATGTTGGCCAGGCTGGTCTCGAACTCCTGACCTCAGGTGATCCACCCGCCTCAGCCTCCCAAAGTGCTGGGATTGCAGGTGTGAGCCACCGTGCCCAGCCCATCTATTATTTTTTTCAAAATTTTTTTATTTCTTATTCTGTCTTTTCTTCTTCTGGGAACTTTAATTACATATATTTTAGACCACTTAGTATTGTTCCTCAGGTCTCTAAATTGGATAATTTCTTTTGATGTTTAAGTTTACTGTCCTTTTCTTCTACTGTATCTAATCTGCGATTAAGTTCATTTAGTTAATTATTTATTTATTTATTTTTTAGATGGAATCTTGCTCTGTTGCCTGACTGGAGTGCAGTGGTGCAATCTCGGCTCACTGCAACCTCCGCCTCCTGGGTTCAGGCAATTCTACTGCCTTAGCCTCCTGAGTAGCTAGGATTACAGGTGCCTGCTACCATGCCCAGCTAAGTTTTTGTATTTTTAGTGGAGACGGGGTTTCACCATGTTGGCCAGGATGGTCTCGATCTCTTGACCTCGTGATCCCCCCGCCTTGGCCTCCCAAAGTGCTGGGATTACATGTGTGAGCCATCCTGCCCGGCCCATTTAATTTTTAAATTCAAACATTGTAATTTGCAGTTCTAGAATTTTCTTTCTTTCTTTTTTTTTTTTTTTAGGGGAGTCTCGCTCTGTTGCCCAGGCTGGAGTGCAGTGGTGCCATCTCGGCTCACTGCAAGCTCTACCTCCCGGGTTCTCGCCATTCTGCCTCAGCCTCCTGAGTAGCTGGGACTACAGGCGCCTGCCACCATGCCTGGCTAATTTTTTGTATTTTTAGTAGAGACGGGGTTTCACCATGTTAGTCAGGATGGTCTCGATCTCCTGACCTCGTGATCCGCCTGCCTCGGCCTCCCAAAGTGCTGGGATTACAGGCATGAGCCACTGCGCCCAGCCCCTAGAATTTTCATTTGAATCTTTTTACATTTTAATTTATTTTTTAGAGACAGGGTCTTGCTATGTTGCCTGGGCTGGGCTTGAAGTCCTGGCCTCAAGCAATCTTCCTGCCTCGACCTTCTGAGTAGCTGGGATTACAGGTGCAAGCCATCACATTGGCTCCTGATTCTTTTTTTAAAAAATAGTTTCCTTTTCTCTACTAAGATTCTCCATTGGTTCAGTTATTTTGACCATGTTTTCCTGTAAGTCCTTGAATATGATTTTTATAATGGGTGCTTTAAAGTCTTTGTCTGCTAATTTCAATATCTGAGTCATTTTGGGATTTATTTCTATTGACTGTTCTTTTTCCTCCTTAAAAATAGATCACATTTTCCTGGTTCTTTGCATGTCTAGTGATTTTTTTTTAGTATATATTGGACGTTGTGAATAATATGAGTCAATTTTGTTATCTTCATCTGAAAAGTATTGCTTTTTATTGTAACAGGCAGTTAAAATATTGGCTGATCACCTTGAAATTGTGGAGACTTGGTTTTATATTTTGTTAGGATATGTCCCCAAGGTGTTTACTGATCCTCCCTGACTTGGTGGAATGAAAATTCCAAAATGTCTCCCTTATTTTAAAGTGTTTGGGGCTCTCTTTGTGACTTACTCCTTTCCGAGATGTCCCCCTTCAATTTCCAGCTGTTATGGTGGTCCTGAACTCCCATCTTCTGGCATCTCAAGCCAAGAAGACTGTGGCTTTTTGCTGCCACTGTGGCCACTTTGTGCCAAGGGGACTCCCTGGGCTGGGAATGGGAGTTTAATGGGGTTCCTAAGGGGAACAGCTGATCCCACTTACTGTGTTTTCTTTCTTTTTTTTTCTTTGAGAGGGAGTCTCACTCTGTTGCCCAGGCTGGAGTGCAGTGGTGTGATCTTGGCTCACCCCAACCTCTGCCTCCTGGGATCAAATGATTCTCCTATTTCGGCCTCCTGAGTAGCTGGGATTACAGGTGCATGCTACCATGATTGGCTGATTTTTTTTCTTTTTTGAGATGGAGTCTTTCTCTGTTGCCCAGGCTGGAGGGCAGTGGCTCACTGCAAGCCCCGCCTCCCGGGTTCATGCCATTCTCCTGCCTCAGCCTCCCGAGTAGCTGGGACTACAGGCGCCTGCCATCATGCCCAGCTAATTTTTTTTTTTTGTATTTTTAGTACAGACGGGGTTTCACCATGTTAGCCAGGATGGTCTCTATCTCCTGACTTCGTGATCCGCCTGCCTTGGCCTCCCAAAGTGCTGGGATTACAGGCGTAAGCCACCGAGCCTAGCCGATTTTTTTTTTTTTTTTTTTTTTTGAGACACAGTCTCGCTTTGTCTCCCAGGCTAGAGTGCAGTGGCACAATCTTGGCTTACTGCAACCTTCGCCTCCCGGGTTCAAGCGATTCTCCTGCCTCAGATTTTTGTATTTTTAGTAGAGACGGGATTTCACCATGTTGGCCAGGCTGGTCATGAACTCGTGACCTCAAATGATCCACCCGCCTCGGCCTCCTGAAGTGCTGGGATTATAGGCGTGAGCCACCACGCATCTGGCTGTGTTTTCTTTCTTTCAAGGATGAAGTTTCTTTCAATTTCTGCCTGTTTTTCAGCCCTGTCCAGTGCTTTCAATTTTTTTTTTATTTCTTTCTAGAATTTATGGTGGCCTTGAAACATTTCATGTTTACATAATATCTTTGTTTTTAAAAATAGTATGCTACACTCCTATAGTTATTTAGGCACATGATTTTTCTCCTTCTTCCAGTTATGTCTTACTGCGTTACAGATTAATGCCAAAACCCTGTGGCTTAAAACAGTCATTTTATTATGTTTATTAGATTTTATGGGTCAGGAATTTGGAAGGGGCATAGCCAGGATGATGTATCTCTGCTCCATATATCTGGTGCCTTACCTGGGAAGGCTCAAACTTTTGGGATGGTGCTATAGCTGGATAGCAGTTACCTAAAAGTGTCTTTACTCATGTCTGGCAGTTAATACTAGCTGTTAGCTGGGACCTCAACTGTAACTGTGGGTCAGAACACCTATAAATGGTCTCCTTACAGCATGGTAGCCCAAGCATTAGTGTTCCAGAGAACCAGGCAGATGCTCCATTGCCTTCTGTGACCTGATCTTGGAAGTGGCATGGAGAAGTTACATAGCATCACTTCCTCTACTCTACTGGTCTACTAGTCTTTATTGTTGACCCAAATTCAAAGGTAGGACATAAATCTACCTCTCAATGGAAGAAGTGTCAAATATTTTAGATATGTTTAATTTATTTCATTTATTTATTTATTTTTGGACAGAGTCTTGCTCTGTTGCCCAGGCTGGAGTGCAGTGGCATAATCTTGCACTGCAATCTCTGCCTTCCAGGTTCAAGCAATTCTTGTTCCTCAGCCTCCCGAGTAGCTGTGATTACAGGCATGTGCCACCACGCCCAGTTAATTTTTTGTATTTTTAGTAGAGACAAGGTTTCATAATATTGGCCAGGCTGGTCTCGAACTCCTGGCCTCAAGTGATCTGCCCACTTTGGCCTCCCAAAGTGCTGGAATTACAGGCGTGAACCACCTCGGCACCTAGCTCCTAGACATGGTTTAAAACCATAGTGCTCATTTATCAAATAGCAAGCTCCCCCTTGGGTCCTAGCGTAGTCCTATATACATCTCAATTAGGTACTTGTTGAAGTATTGAATTTTTCTTAACTATAGTAGAATAGGACCTAAAGTAAAGTTGTGTGTAAAGCTTTAAGAAAGGAGTAAGGTATTTTACTTTTAGAAAACATTTTCTTAGGTTGATTAGTTTTTGTCTTTCTGTTTGTAGGATACAGCATTTAATGAAAAATTTATGCTTAAGAAGTAAAAATGGCAGGCTTCCTAGATAATTTTCGTTGGCCAGAATGTGAATGTATTGACTGGAGTGAGAGAAGAAATGCTGTGGCATCTGTTGTCGCAGGTATATTGGTAAGTGAGAAAGACTGGTTGGTGACATGTATCCCTTACCTTTTGCCCTGGAAATTAATGCCGGTTCCTTTGAACTGAGAATGGCTTTCCAGAACTATTTATTTCACTGCTGTTTTGTATAGATGATTATCAGAGTTCTAGATACTATTGCCAAGCAGAATATGGTAGGCCCTGGATTCATTTTGACTTTGTAAATGTGTACTTAATATCTTTTCTTCAGTTCCAGTGATAATATAATTATTATAGGCAATAGCATTTTTAACTTACTGATACAACATATATGTAAGTACTTTAAGATCCTTAAAGGCTCAGAATTTGATGTAACCCAAAATTATTGTTGTGACTTATTGAAGGTCAGACAACAGTGACAGTACTCTGCAGATAATAGTAACAACCTTAGGCTCCATTGGAACTGAAGCCCTGCAGCGGCTCTAGGGAAGAAATACCATCTCTGTTTCCCCAGCTGCAACATCAGGGGAGCATCAGAGGAAGAGATTTGTGAAGGAAACTATTGTTTAATTTTCTTTCCATCATTTTTTAACTTTAATTGAAAATGACAGGCATAAAACAAAAGCAGAGAGAATGGTATAAAGATTCCATCACCTCCTTTATCCCATGTGTCTATCATCCAGCTTAAAAAAAAAACACCCCAAAATCAGGACCTATCTTGGTTTATAATTCCATCAACCACTCTCTGTCCGCACTTTTTTTTTTTTTTTTAAAGAGACGAGGTCTTGCTATGTTGTACAGCTACTAGAGTACAGTTGCTATTTACAGATGTGGTCGTAGTATACTACAGCTTCAAATTCATGGTCTCAAGCAATCTTCCTGCCTCAGTCTCCCAGGTAGCTGGGACTACAGGTTCATACTACCATTCCTGGCTCCCACAGCATTTTTTGGAAGCAAATTTCTTTATCTGTTTACATTTTAAAAATTCATCTCTTTCAATGTACAGTTCTACACCTAAAGTCCAATAGAAAAACAAAATGAAATGAAGCAGAGCAAGAACTAACGATAATTGTGAAGCAGTCTGCTCACTGCAGTCTCCGCCTCTGACTTCCCAGGTTCAAGCAATTCTTGTGCCTCAGCCTCCCAAGTAGCTAGGATTAGAGGCACATGCCACCATGCCCAGCTAATTTTTGTATTTATATTTGAATGTTTTTGAGACAGAGTCTCGTTCTTTCGTCCAGGCTGGAGTGCAGTGGCGTGATCTCAGCTCATTGCAGCCTCCACCTCCTGGGTTTAAGCGATTCTCCTGCTTCAGCCTCCCAAGTAGCTGGGATTACAGGTGCCTGCCACCATGCCCAGCTAATTTTTGTACTTTTAGTAGAAACGAGGTTTCACCATGTTGACCAGACTGGTCTCAAACTCCTGACCTCAGGTGATTTGCGCGTGTTGGCCTCCCAAAGTGCTGGGATTACAGATGTCAGCACTGCGCCCGGCCTTGTATTTTTAGAAGAGATGAGGTTTTACCATGATGACCAGGCTTGAACTCCTGACCTCAAGTAATCCACCTGCCTTGGCCTCCCAAAGTGCTGGGATTACAGGCGTGAGCCTCTGTACCCAGCCCATTTATATGATCTGTAGGACAAAAGGAATGTTAAAAAGCAGGTATTGTGCTAGCAAGAGTTTTAATGTTTCAGTGACTTGGGCTGTGTTTTAAGTTTTTTACAGGCTGGTGGATAATGATTGATGCAGCTGTGGTGTATCCTAAGCCAGAACAGTTGAACCATGCCTTTCACACATGTGGTGTATTTTCCACATTGGCTTTCTTCATGTAAGTATGAAGATAATTCTCTATTCAAGGTGATTTTTCTAAAAATACTTTCCTGTTAATGTGCAGTGCTTTCTTGAATAACTTTTTAATTTATTTGATAGACTATTTTTTAACATGATACATACATAATTCCCATTTTATTACGATTTTTTTTAACCAAGAATGAGTGTTGGATTTGGTCATATATCTTTTTAGCACCTATAACAATTATCTTGTGATTTTTTTTTTTCCTCATATTTTTAAATCTGGTCAGTTACATATTTTGTCAGTTGCAAGATCTACTTTTTCGCATTTTAATACCTCTGAATATCAGGATGCATCTTACAGTCAGTGGTATCTTAGAATTATAATTGATAACATTTTTATTTCTTGTCAGTATTAAAAATTAATGGTGTATCTTAAAACTGATGGCTCTGAGATTTCATGAAACATGTTACGTTTCTGCATTTTTTTAGTAGTAAATCACCCGTAGGTGTTGTAGTACACTCAACTTTTACCTTGCAGTATTATTTTTATTTTTTTTAATGTGCTACTTGACTGTGTTTGCCAGTGTTTGAGGAAAAGGCAAGATTGGCCTCAAAAGAGATTTGTTTGTGGCTTTTGTTTTTATTAAATTATTTTTAAGTTTATGTTACCTCATTTCATAAAAAAGCTTGGAAGCTTTTTATGGATGTCTTTTAACAATTAAAAAATATTAAACATTAAGATTACATCATTTCCTTATACCATCAGGAGGTTTTTTTGTTTTTGAGACAGAGTCTTACTCTGTTGTTTGGGCTGGACCACACTGGTGTGATCTTGGCTCACTGCAACCTCTGCCTCCCGGGTTCAAGTGATTCCCTTGCCTCAGCCTCCCAAGTAGCTGGGATTACAGGTGCCTGCCACTACGCCCAGCTAATTTTTTGTATTTTTAGTAGAGACGGGGTTCCACCATGTTTGCCAGGCTGGTCTTGAACTCCTGACCTCGTGATTTGCCTGCTGTGGACTCTCAAAGTGCTGGGATTACAGGTGTGAGCCACTGCACCTGGCCAGGAGTTTTAAAAAGGTTATATTTTGGAAAATGGAACTACTTATATCCATTGTGGCTTCTAAAAAAAGGAAATTCCTGTTACTAATTAATGTACCTTGCTCTAACAAAAATGGAAGGGGAAGCTGAATAAAGTGGGCATATTATACATAAGCTACATTTTCTCTGAGCTTAAGAAATGGATCATAGAAAATCACTTGACTTTTAACACAAAGAGAAACTGTTTAACTCTTGATAATAATGAGAACCTTGAAGTGGGATAGCACTGAGTCATTCATGTATAAATGTGAAATAGACAAAGAATCCAGAAAACTGGTCCCTCTTGTATAATCTCTGGAGAGAAGTGATAGAAATCTCTTAAAATAAATGTGTTTTCTGGGTGTACTTTATGAAAATAAGACTAATGTAACATTTCTATCAACTAGCATTTTTATTAGGTTAAAAATATGTTAAATTATTCAGATACTGATTTTAGTTATGAAATAATCTGTTTTCCGTCTAAGTGTTATATAAATATTTGAGTATTTTAACAGCGAATACTGAAATTCATTTGATGATTTTGTGCCGTTCTAGGATAAATGCTGTATCCAATGCTCAGGTGAGAGGTGATAGCTATGAAAGCGGCTGTTTAGGAAGAACAGGTAAAGATACTTTGAGCTGTTAATGGGTGTTGACAAAACAGAAATTTGTCACCAGAAAAAAAGCCTCTCTTGTGAGTCTTTATTCAAGACTGGTAATGATTATATAGAATATTTTTTATTTGCTTTAAAACAAAGTTTTAGTGTTATTCAAATCCTTAAGAAAGTAAGTTATTGCTAGAAGTTACTGTTTTTGTCATGTTACACTGCCCATGATATAGATAAAAAATGTTGCTATTCAAATGGATCTTGGACTCCAGTGCTAATGATGGATTTATTATTATCCCAATTGTTGACCAATAATGTTACTTACAAGATGGCTGACTATGATTATTAACAGGAAAGTAATGAACACATTAGGGGATCAAACCTAGGACTACAGTGTCTTTACATTCACTTCTGATCACCTGAGTAGCCACCTACAGACTGCAACAAAATTGTTCAGTAGAAAGATGCTATTTGTCTACACATAAATTAGTTTTTATAGTTTGAATTCATTTGAATTGTTATCCAATTTTTGTTTTTTTTTTTTTTTTTTTTGAGACGGAGTTTAGCTCTTCTTTCCCAGGCTGGAGTGCAGTGGTGGGTTTTTGGCTCACCACAACCTCCACCCCCTGGGTTCAAGCAATTCTCCTGCCTCACCCTCCCGAGAGCTGGGATTTCAGGCATGCGCCACCATGCTTGGCTAATTTTGAAGTTTTAGTAGAGATGGGGTTTCTCCATGTTGATCACGCTGGTCTCGAACTCCCGACCTCAGGTGATCCACCCACCTTGGCCTCCCAAAGTGCTGGGATTACAGGAGTGAGCCACCGAGCCCGGCCCAATTGTGTTTTTTAAACATTTACGGCCGGGCGCAGTGGCTCACGCCTGTAATCCCAGCACTTTGGGAGGCTGAGACGGGTGGAACACCTAAGGTCAGGAGTTCGAGACCAGCCCTGCCAACATGGAGAAACCCCGTCTCTACTAAAAAATATACAAAATTAGCCAGGCGTGGTGACACACTTCTGTAGTCCCAGCTACTTGGGAGGCTGAGGCAAGAGAATCGCTTGAACCCGGGAGGCAGAGGTTGCGGTGAGCCGAGATCACCTCATTGGACTCCAGCCTGGGCAACAAGAGTGAAACTCCGTCTCAAAAAAAAAAAAAAAATTTACATTATAATATGAAGAAATTAAGGTACAGTGGGCTTACATAATGTGTCCAAAGTCACAGAGCAAGTAAGTGGTGGAGCCAGGATTGAACATGGACAGTCTGGCTCCAGAGCCCATGCTTTTAGCCACTATGCTGTGCTTGTTTCCCATCTAGAACCATTTGGTCACTTTGTCTGGTTTGGTATCACGTGTATATTTTTTCTTTTTGTCAGCTTAATTGAATATAATTTAAGTATAATAAAATTCACTAATGTATTTATTATTTTATTAATTTTTTTTGAGACGGAGTCTCACTCTGCCACCCAGGCTGGAGTGCAGTGGCATGATCTTGGCTCACTGCAGCCTCAACAGCCTGGGCTCGAGTGATCCTCCTGCCTCAGTTTCTCAAGTAGCTGTGATTATAGGCACATGCTGCTGTGCCCAGCTAATTTATTTATTTTTTGTAGAGACAGGGTTTTACCACGTTGTTCAGGCTGGTCTTGATCTCCTGGCCTCAAGCTATCCACCTGGCCTCAAGCTATCAGCCTCCCAAAGTGCTGGGATTGCAGGCATGAGCCACCACGCCTGGCCAGAATCCACCAATTTAAAGTGTACAATTTGATGAGCTTGATCAAATGTGTACAGTTACAGTTGTGTAACTACCACTACAATCATGATACAGAACATTTCCATTGCCCCAAAAAGTTCCCTCATACCCCTTTTTATAGTTAATACTCTTCCCCTCACCTCGTGGCCACTACTGATCTACTTTCTATGATGGTTGCTTTGCCTTTTCTATGATTTCATATAAATGGGATCATATAGTAAGTATCATAGCCTTTTAAACCAAATAAAGCAGCTTTGAAGAGCTTAGCTTTCTTTTCTACTTGATGTTTTATTTTTTAAATTTTGTATTTATTTTGTTTGAGACGGAGTCTCGCTCTGTCACCCAGACTGGAGTACAGTGGTGCGATCTCAGCTCATTGCATCCTCCGCCTCCCAGGCTCAAGCAATTCTTCTGCCTCAGCCTCCTGAGTAGCTGGGATTACAGGTGCCTGCCACCACGCCTGGCTAGTTTTTGTATTTTTGGTAGAAACTGGGTTTCACCATGTTGGCCAGGCTGTTCTCAAACTCCTGACCTCAGGTGATGCACCCGCCTTGGCCTCCCAAAGTGCTGGGATTACAGGCATGAACCACCATGCCCAGCCTTCTACCTGATGCTTTAAATGCTGATGTAGATTTTGTAACCTCACTTCTACTGGAATCCATGGAGAATTTGCGAGAGGGTATAATGACAAATGACAGATGAGCCTAAGTTTAAAGTGCACAATATGTGTGTGTATGCGCATGCGATCGCGCTTACTTTTCATCATATCCTGTATGTCAGCCTCAGCAGTAATGTCAGGAATGAGGGAAGGTAAAGAAAAAATATATATTAGCAAGTGAAGATGTTGTATGTAGAGCATACAATAATGTACTCCATCATTTTTCTTTCAAGAATATTCCACGGACATTGCTGTGAATTATGTTACTATTATCTTTTTTTGAGACGAGGTCTTGCTCTGTCTCCCAGGCTAGAGTGCAGTGGCATGATCATGACGCAGAAAAGCCTTGAACTCCTGGGCTCAAGCAATCCTCCCCTCTCAGCCTCCAGAGTAGCTGGGATTACCGGTGTAAGCCACTGTGCCTGGCCACTATTATCTGTTTTTTATAGGAAGTTTCACTGTAACTTATCCAAAGTTTTTTAGCTTAAAAGTGGAACCTGTATTTGTCTTTGGTCTGTCTGGTTCCCAAGCCCGTCGTTTTTACCCTAAGTGATTATTATATTTTATTCTATGATATTCCCTATTCTATTAAAATTAACAGTACAGTTTATATTTTTATATTGTGCATATAGTGCAATTTCTGTTTAGTGTTTCAAAAATTAAGGACAAACTGTCTTATAGTCATGCCCAGGTATTGCTACTCTTAAGCTTTTGTACTGCTTAAGTGGTTTATCTGTAAACTATCTCTATTTAGTTCCCGGAGGAATTAATAGGAAAGTATCAAAATAATAAATATACTATAAATGAAACAGCTAAATAATAAAACTATAAAAAAGAACAGGAACTAGGTAGAAAAATGATCATTGTACTTAGAACCTGGGACAAGATGGATGCTTTTAATTGTTCATTAACCTTAACTCAGAGCTTCCTTGTAGCCAAAGCAAACAAGAGAAAATGTTACAGTTTTATTTTTTTGCTAAACAAAAGCATACTTCTTTTTCTTTTTTTTCTCTTTTTGTTAATATGCCCTCAGACATACTTACTTTACAAGAGAAATTTTTTTCTTGTTTAATTCTATTAGAAAGTTTAATGTATATAGCCATAAATAAAGGACATGATGGAAAATAATTGTAAGGATTTTTTTTTTTTTGAAACAGTTTTGCTTTGTTGCGCAGGCTAGAGTGTAGTGGCATGATCTTGGCTCACTGCAACCTCTGCCTCTCAGGTTCAAGCAATTCTCTTGCCTCAGCCTCTTGAATAGCTGGGACTACAGGCACCCGCCACCAAGCCCGACTGATTTTTTTTTCTTTTAGTAGAGATAGGGTTTTACCATGTTGCCCAGGCTGGTCTCGAACTCCTGAGCTCAGGCAATTAGCCCACCTTGGCCTCCCAAATTTCTAGGATTACAGGTGTGAGCTACCATGCCCCGCCTTTAAGGATTTTTAATAGTTCCTTTTATTCACGTTAGATAAAAGCTATGATTGAATATAATTTAGAGATTGTATTTCTCCAAAGAACTAAACATTACTGTTTATTTCTGGAGATCTGCTTAGTATTGTAATAAAATTTAGATAATATAGAGACCTATTTCTCTCAGATATCAGCTGTTCTAACCATTATGAACTTTGATCAGTGCTTCTTCCTTATCTGGTGTCTAAAATGAATCTTTTCCCTGGTAACAAAATATTTGCAACTGAGGCAAATTTAGTTTTCTGTTATGGAAATTGGCTAGGATTTTATTTTTACTTCAGTGGAGCTTTCTTCCCCTTCCAGAGGTTGATGGGGCTGTCAG
Source organism: Homo sapiens (assembly GCF_000001405.40). NCBI lineage: Eukaryota > Metazoa > Chordata > Mammalia > Primates > Hominidae > Homo > Homo sapiens. Next base: position 33,461,160 of record NC_000021.9, on the reverse strand, counting down.
TATACCTGTGAACAGGATCTGGTGCAAGTATTAACCTGCTTTCCTAAAAATATGTTGAATCTACTCAAGTGTCCAGATGATTTACATTATCGAGATCTAGAATTTTGTTCAATACAGGGTTGAAGAGATACTTCTGATCTTGAAGTTTTCATGAATATGTGGTACAGATTGGCTGCCTCAGCAATAAAAAAGCCTGAATATACTCCTAAAGAATGGCCGTTATTTGTACCATATTGAATAATGGTGTGATTATAGAAGCTTACCATTGATTAAAAAGGGACATATTAGTCCTTCTTCATTTGAAGTCTCTCATTCCTATGTGGTGATGGCTATCCAGAATACATGTGCTACTTTTAATAGAGCAATTATTTTGGTAATATATACAACAGTGTAATTTTTTAATTAGGGCATTCGTTTCTCTAGTCAGTAAAAAGGTAACTTTCTTTTTTTCCTTTTCCATGTATGGTTTAACTTCTTTTAGTGTTTTTTTTTTAAATCATCATTCATTTAACTTACAGCAGATTTATATAAATATATGACTATCTTTGATATGCATAATATATACTAGGCTAACAGGGCTCCTAGTATTATGTATTCCTAAGACGTTACAGAGCTGCAAAAATGAACAAAATCATAAAGCCTCTTCTCTACACAGGTGCTCGAGTTTGGCTTTTCATTGGTTTCATGTTGATGTTTGGGTCACTTATTGCTTCCATGTGGATTCTTTTTGGTGCATATGTTACCCAAAGTAAGTATATATTCTTCTTGTATTTTATAGGAGAGATTCAGATATGTCTTTTATATTTGGCTTACTCTACCTTGAGTACAACTTAGTATAATTGTTCACTTAGATTGAAGATACTGCTCTGTGTGAAGATACATGAGTTTAATAAAACTTGTCAGTGGGAACACTTAGTGCAGTAGGATAGCCCTGGTTAGGAAATCCAAGCCACTGACAAAGCTGGTACCTCTCAGCTGTCTCCAGACTTTCTGCTTTCCTTCTTTACCTTAGACAGCCAGGATTTTATGCTAGAGGCCCATTTACTGGGAGTTGCAGTAGAAAAAGTGAGAAACCAGTACAGGTGTACACTCCCTTATATACAATTCTAAAATCCACAAAATGCTGAAAATCAAGTTATTTATAACTAGTCTGGCAGCAAAACCTGACCTAAACTGACATGGAGCTCACTATTTTCTTTATCCCATTTAGTGTAAGTATTCAAATGTTTTATTGTAGGAATGAAAATAGATATATTAGATTATAGGATGTGCTTGTCTATACCCAGCTGGCGGTGCTATGTAGTATATGTGCTTTCCCTTACTGTTCTTAAACCTGAAGAATTCTGAATCCCAAAATATATCTTGCCCCAGGGATTTCAGATAAGGGGTATAGACCCCTTATCTGATAATCTATGGATTGCCAGTAGATAATCTTTCGTTTCATTGACACCTTCTCTCTCCAACCTAATCCTGTAATTTTTTTTTTTTTTTTTGAGACGGAGTCTCACTCTGTCACCCAGGATGGAGTGCAGTGGTGTGATCTCGGCTCACTGCAACCTCCGCCTCACAGGTTCAAGTAATTTGCCTGTCTCAGCCTCCCAAGTAGCTGGGATTACAGGTGCACGCCACCACACCCAGCTAATTTTTGTATTTTTTTAGTAGAGACAGGGTTTCACCATGTTGGCCAGGCTGGTCTCAAACTCCTGACCTCAAGTGATCCACCCATCTTGGTCTCCCAAAGTGCTGGGATTACAGGTGTGAGCCACCATGCCCAGCCAATCCTGTAATTTTTAAGTCATGGGTACAGGGGGAGTTTTTTAAGGGCAAGACTGAACACATATGTATACTCTTCATACAGAAACAGCTGATGGAGTGGGATGAGCTCTTATTACACCATGCTGAAATCTGTGGCTCTGCCAGGTGCCATAGCTTTTCATTCACAGTAGTGATGAAAAATAGAACCCAGTTTCAGAAATGTCTCTGGAAGCGTCGGAAGACTGTTTCACTGGCCCTCTTCCTTTGCTCCTAAGACAGGAGTCAGTTTCAGAGAACGCAATTTATTCATCCTCTGACTCCTCTACCTCTGGAATCTCTTTGTCAGCCTTCTTTGCTTAACTGTCACATCTCCTTGTCCTGACTCACAGCTGGTTTTTGAATACTTTTGATAGTATCATTTAAGTCTCATAGTTTGATCAGTATAAGATCTTTGGAATACTTTTGTTTTTCTTTTGTCTTTCACTTGATACAAAATAAGTCAGATTACAAGAGGACAGTGGTTGGCTTAAATAACATTGGTCACCAACTGTATCTAAAATGTGTTTTTTAGTTAATTAAAAATACTACTAGAGCACATAATTCTGGTATGAAGCATATCTGAAGGAAAATGCTTTTTTAAAGATAGCTTCATTGAGATATAATTTGCATACCATATAATTCAGCCATTTAAAATATGCAGTTCAGTGTTTTTAGTATTTTCACAGAATTATGCTACCATCATCACAATCCAATTTGAGAATATTTTTATCACTGCCATACCCATTAGCAGTCACTCCCCATTACTCCTTCCCCTAGCCCTAGGCAGCCACTAATGTACTTTCTGTCTGTATCTATTTCATACACATGGAATCTTATAGGAAAGTGTTTTTTTGAGACAGAACCTTGCTCTGTCGCCCAGGCTGGAGTGCAGTGGCGTGATCTCGGCTCACTGCAACCTCTGCCTCCCAGGTTCAAGCAATTCTCCTTTCTCAGCCTCCTAAGTAGCTGGGACTGCAGGTGCATGCCACCACGCCCAGATAATTTTTGTATTTTTAGTAGAGATGGGGTTTCACCATATTGGTCAGGCTGGTCTCGAATTCCTGACCTCAGGTGATCCACCCACCTCAGCCTCCCAAAGTGCTGGTATTACAGGCGTGAGCCACTGTGCCCAGCCGGAAAGTGTGTTTTAAACTCATTTTATCCCTGACTGTAAGAAGGGTGGGCTGCTGTCACTGATTTTCTTAAAAGGTCTCCATAGTTATGTTAAAGAAAAACTTTAGATAAATTAGCAATTTGAGCAAACCAAGAAGAGGTTCGGAGAGCTTCACCCAGCAGCATGAGCAGCTGTAGGCTGAACACAAGGCAAAGACAAGAAATTTTTAGATTGTCTGTAGCTATATGTTTGTCTTATTTGTGCATGGTCTCATCAGTTGGCTGCTTGGGATTGGCTAAAGCTTAGCCGTTTGTGATTGACTAAAATTCAGCTATTTATTAAAAAATATAACCCTAGGTTTCAGTTCGTTTACGTAAGTTAGGTTCCGGGGGGTGGGTTGGGGTCACACAGGAACTCAGAGTAGGGAGATAGCCTCAGGTTAATGGCTTCCTGCTTATTTACTTTAGCAGTTGAAGTGATCCATGAGCTTTACAGTTTCTATAGTGAAAATAGGGATAAATTGCCATTTCTGTAAGGTATGTAGGGAAATATTGTTTGTAAAGGCTTTACTATTGTTGAGTGTATTTTTTTTTTTTTTTTTGAGTTGGAGTTTCACTCTTGTCGCCCAGGCTGGAGTGCAATGGCACAGTCTCGGCTCACTGCAACCTCTGCCTCCCGGGTTCAAGCGATTCTCCTGCCTCAGCTTCCCGAATAGCTGGGATTATAGCCGCCTGCCACGACTCCCAGCTAATTTTTTGTATTTTTAGTAGAGACAGGGTTTCACCATGTTGGCCAAGCTGGTCTTGAAGTCCTGATCTCAGACGATCTACCCACCTTGGCCTCCCAAAGTGTTGGGATTACAGGCATGAACCACCGCTCCCAGCCAATTGTATCTTAATATTTAAAGAACTAGTAAATATTGATAAATTTCTTGATTGTGAATTTCATCTTTCTATTTCAACAGCATTACTCATTTAAATATACTTTTCTTTTTTTTTTAAGATGGAGTTTCGCCCTGTCGTCCAGGCTAGAGTGCAGTGGTATAGTCTTGGCCCACGGCAACCTCTGCCTCCTGGGTTCAAGTGATTCTCCTGTCTCAATCTCCCAAGTAGCTGGGATTACAGCCATCCACCACCACACTTGGCTAATTTTGTATTTTTAGTAGAGACAGGGTTTCCCCATGTTGGCCAGGCTGGTCTCAAACTCCTGACCTCAAGTGATCTACCCGCCTCGGCCCCCCAAAGTGCTGGGATTACAAGCGTGAGTCACCACACCCAGCCTAAATATACTTTTCTATTTGTAAAGTGAATATGACTTTATTTCAGAGAGCATTTCTAGGCCATGTTTCAAATCTTTTACTGTACAGATTTGCTTGAACTATTAATATTCATAGTAATAGCTAACTTTTATATATTACTTTATAGGCTAGATACTGTTCTAAGCACTATATAGAGTCACTCATCTAATTCTTACACTCTGGAGTAGGTGCTATTACAATGCCCGTTTTACAGGTGAGGAAATGAAGATATGCTGAGGTTAAATAATTTGCCCAAGGTCATACAGTTAGTCATTGGTATAGATAGGATTCAAACCTGGGTCTGGCTCAAACTTGGAGCTCTTAACCATGCTGCTGTATTGTTTGCTATGATATCAAGAGCTCAGAATTGAACCAGTTTCTTCATCTTCTCCAGTATTTTTTAAATCAACATTTGTAGTTTTACAAAAGTTAATAATCCACAAAAATTTAAGTAGTTTCCATTTTGTTTCTTTTCTTTTCCTATAAAGATAGTAACCATTTCCTCCAGGATAGATTCAGTGAAAGAGAATGATAAATTCTAACTGTGTTATTTATATCTGACATATTTGCATGATAAAACTCCTGGATTGAGAGCCAGGCATTGTGGTGTGTGCCTGTAGTCCCATCCACTTGGGACGCTGAGGCAGGAGGATCACTTGAGCCCAGGAGTTTGGGCTGTAGTTTGCTATGATTGTGCCTGTCAGTAGCTGCTGCACTCCAGTCTGGGCAATATAGTGAGGCCCCATTTCTTTAAAAACAAACACAAAAAACCTCTTGAATTCATGAAAGAAAATAAATTAACAGACTGTTTAAAAGTCAAGAATTTATTTTGTATGTTTTTACGATTTTGCATTTCAGTGTTGGCCATAGGAGGCAAAGGAGCAAGTTACTGCTTCCTCAGCAGTTTTGATGTAGCTAGAACCAGCAATTACTTTGACTAAAAGAAAACTTTGTAAGTTCATTGACTTTTATCCAGAGTAAGAGCAGTCCTTTGCTTTGGGGGAATTAAATTGGCATTTTCTTCTTTCAGTTTCATTATAGATGTCTTACAGTTAATGAATAATAGCAGTATGTTGTAATATACAAAATGTATCATTATGAATGGCACTGATACTTTATTACTGCCGTTTGCCTATATAACCGTCTAATCTGTTTTACTTTGTGTATGTAGATACTGATGTTTATCCGGGACTAGCTGTGTTTTTTCAAAATGCACTTATATTTTTTAGGTAAGTTGCCTTATTTTTTAACCACGCCTGTAACATTTACAGAAATGTCAACTTAATTAAGGCAGCATATATATGGAACACATATAAATCCCATGGATTGGTTACAATGATAGAACTTCTTTTAAAAGGTGAGAATTCCACTGTTACATAAGAGCAGAGAGGCCTTTTAACTAGAGGTCTTGCTGTGTATCAAGACTTTAGCTGGATCCTTTATATATTTTACCCTTTGAATTCACATTTAGGCCAAGTGCTGTGGCTCATGCCTGTAATCCCAGCACTTTGGGAGGCTGAAGTGGGTGGATTGCTTAAGTCTAGGAGTTTAAGACCAGCCTGGGCAACATGGCAAAACCCTGTCTCTATAAAAAAATATAAAAATTATCTGGTTGTGGTGGTGTACAGTGCCAGCTACTCAAGAGGCTGAGGTGGGAGGATTGCTTGAGCCGAGGAGGTTGAGGCTGCAGTGAGGCAAGGCTGCACCACTGTACTCCAGCCTGGGCAATAGAGTGAGACCAAAATAAAATAAAATAATGCATTTAATTATTTTAAATATATGTCAGGTGTTATTCCCATTTTATTTATTTTTATTTTTATTTATTTATTTATTTTTTGCGAGGGAGTCTCACCCTGTAGCCCAAGCTGCCTTAGTGCAGTGGAACAATCTCGGCTCACTGCAGCCTCCGCCTCGGGACTCAGGCGATTCCCATGCCTCAGCCTCCCGAGTAGGTGGGACTACAGGTGCACACCACCACACCCAGCTAATTTTTTGTATTTTAGTAGAGACGAGGTTTCACCATATTGCCCAGAGTGGTCTCGAACTCCTGAGCTCAGACAATTTGCCTGCCTCGGCCTCCCAAAGTGCTGGGATTATAGCCACCACACCCAGTGTTATTCCCATTTTATAGATGAGGAAATAAAGTTTAGGGCTTGCTTTAGGATGCCTAGCTAGTAAATGAGAAGCCTGGATTTGAATCCAGACTGCTGCTTCCATAGCCTGTGTCTTATTAAAAAACCCTATCAGACCCATTGTTTCACTTGACTAGCCTTTCGGGAAAAAAAAAATTAACAACAACAGGTAAAGTACCTTTATGAAGAAAAAAGGAAAAACCAGAATTAATACCTAGTGGCCAGCCAGGTGTGGTGGCTCATGTCTGTAATCCCAGCACTTTGGGAGGCTGAAGTGGGTGGATCATCTGAGGTCAGGGGTTCGAGACCAGCCTGGCCAACATGGTGAAACCCCATCTCTAATAAAAATACAAACATTAGTCGGGCATGGTGGTGTGTGCCTGTAATCCCAGCTACTCGGAAGGCTGAGGCAGGAGAACCACTTGAACCCAGGAGACACGGGGGTTGGAGTGAGTCGAGATAGTGCCACTGCATTTCAGCTTGGGTGACAGAGCAAGACTCCATATCAAAATAATAATAATAATTAATACATAGTATGCATATTATATACAAAACCTGTTGGGAAATTCTGTTTTCTGAATGCCCTTTTAAGAAAAGTTAAAGTAAGTGGAAAAATAAACCAATATTAAAAGTATTTTTTAGGGGCAGTCTTCTAAAATATCCCCAAAATGAAGTCCATTCTATGCTTTTTAGAATGAATGTCTTTTTTTTTTTTTTTTTTGAGCTGGATTCTCGCTCTGTTGCCCAGGCTGATGTGCAGTGGTGCAATCTCAGCTCAATGCAACCTCTGCCTCCCAGGCTCAAGCAATTCCGTGCCTCAGCCTCCCAAGTAGCTGGGATTACAGGCATGCACTGCCACACCCAGCTAATTTTTGTATTTTTAGTAGAGATGGGGTTTTGCCATGTTGACCAGGCCGGTCTCGAACTCCTGACCTCAAGTGATCTGCCCACCTCAGCCTCCCAAAGTGGTAGGATTACAGGTGTGAGCCACCATGCCCAGCCTAGAATGAATGTCTTTTAATGTCAACATAGGATATTTAGGTATATATTTATAAAATTTTATCTGCCTCTGTCCCCATCCCCCATAAATCATTAAGTAACTTCTAAGCCTTGAAAAACTTTGCTTTTGTCACTGGTTTTAAGTAATTTGATTACGATGTACTGTGGTCTAGTTTTCTTGATATTCCTTCTGCTTGGTGTATATTGAGTTTCTTGGATCTATAGGTTTATAGTTCATCAATAAATCTAGATTCTTCTCAGCCATTATTTCTTCAAGCATTTTTTGTATCCACTGCACCCTCCCTCTGGGATTTCAATTACAGGTTATAATAGGCTGCTCGAAGTTGTCTCACAGCTTGCTAATGGTCAGATTTTTTTTTCCTGTTTGTGTTTCAGTTTGGATAGTTTCTATTGTTACATTTTAAAATTAATCTCGGCTGGGCATGGTGGCTCACACCTGTAATCTCAACACTTTGGGAGGCCAAGGCGGGTGGATCACTTGAGGTCAGGAGTTCGAGACCAGCCTGGCCAACATGGTGAAACCTCATCTCTACTAAAAATACAGACATTAGCTGGGCATGGTGGTGCATGCCTGGAATCCCAGCTACTCGGAAGGCTGAGGCCAGAGAATCACTTGAACCCGGGAGGCTGAGGTTGCAGTGAGCTGAGATCACACCATTGCTGAGCAACAGAGCGAGACTTCATCTCAAAATAAATAAATACATAAATAAATAAAATTAATCTCTCTATTGTCACTTTGAAGAATTAAATAAATTAATCTCTACTTCTGCAATGTCTAATCTATGCCATCCAATGATTTTTTCATCTCAGACATTGTATTTTCTCTCTCTAGAAGCTTGATTGGGTCTTTAAAAATATTTCTGATGTCTTCCCTTAACATGCTCATGCCCTCTTCCACCTTGAACACACAGAGTATATTTATAGCTATCTCAGGGTCCTTGTCCAATTGTCTGTGTCATTTCTGCATCTGCTTCTACTGATTTTTTCTGCTTCTGTTTACTCTTCATTTTGGACCTATTTTCCCTTATTTGGTGCTTTGCATACAATTTGTTGGGACTGGATCTTTGCTAGTCCTTTAAATGTTTTTAAGCTTTGTTTTGGGATGCAGTTAGGTGACTCAGAAACAATCAGAAACAATTTGATCCTTTTATGTCTCTTAAGCTTTGTTATAGGCAGGACCAGAGCAGCTGTAGCCCAGGACTGATTTGTCCCCCTACTAAGGCAGTCATACCCTTTGAGTGTTTCCACTCTCTGATGCTTCATGTATTCCGAGGTTTCTCTACTCGACTTGTGAGAGTATGAACTCTCTTCCAGCCTTGTGGTAGCTCTGGGACATGTTCTTTCCAGTGGTTCTTTCCTTCCCTTGGGTAGTTTCCTCTTATGTATAGACTCTTCAGTACTCAGCCACAGACTGAAGGAGCACCCCCTGCAGATCTCCTGCGTTCCCTCTGTGTGGCTGTCTGTACGCTGCATGGCAAACTCTAGCCATGTGGTCTCCCTCCACTCTCAGACCACCATGCTCTACCTGGATTTCGCCTTGTGGCCTTGACACTCCTGGTTTTGAAAGATGTTTGGCAGTTTCTGCTGTCTTATATGTCAAAGACATGTGACTGACAGCCTTCTGGGGATATGGTAAGTTGTTATGAAGACATTTTAGGCAGTCTTTAGAGATTAAGTTCAGATTCAACACTTTGTGGTGGTAGATGAATCCACTTAAATGACAATTGGATGAACAGAAACCTTGTATGCTCAGGTGGACATAGTTGACAGCTGTGTCATCTATGTGCTCTGCCCAGAGGCTGGCAAGTTATCAGGCAGCCTGTATGCTTCCTGTGTGCTGGACCTGTTCTAAGCTCTGGGGTACAACCTCTTTTATTTACATCTCTGGTCACTCCTCTGTTTTCCTTGCAAGCTGATCCTCCACTCCCTGCCTACTACCTTTTGAAGTCTCTTAAAGCTGTTCTTGGCCTTAAGAAACTCCTTGTTATTTTTCTGTCCCTGGGTGAACTCATGTGTACTTAGGACTCCAATTATTGCTTATATGCCAGTGAGTCACAGATGTCCCTTTCCAGGCCTAAACCGTATATCCAGATTCCTACTTCACATCCCTTCTTGGGTTGCTGACATTTCAAATCCAAAACATTTAGTATGCCCACAGCTCAACTCATGGCCCTGGAGTGTCCCATCTCTCTGCTCCCGCCTCCTTATCCTCTCTCACTTTGCCGAGATAATTCCCCCTCTTCTTTTGGATCTCAATTCAGTCACCACTCCTCAGGAAAACCTTTCCTGACCTCTCTAACTAGGTCTGATCCTTATGTTTCACTCTGAGGATACTGTGCACCTCTCATTTATAGCATTTTTTTATAGGTGGAATTTTATATTTATTTGATTGTCTCCTTATTAGACCCTTAGCTCCATTAGGGAGCAAGTTTGTCTGGACTCAGTCTCACCCCAGCACTTAGGTGCTTGGTACGTAGCCACTTTTCAGTGCACAATAATTATTTGTTGAAGGAATGAAGAATTGCAGCATGGTCTGTTGTAGGGTGCTTCAGTTACTGTAATTTAGATATGGTAGGCTCCTGGAGACATAAAATGGCCCTAATGCCTGTCACTATGAGAATGGTCTCTCTCCCTTTTTCTTTTGATTTATTGATTCATTTTTTTGTTTCTGAGTCATAGAGAAATGTCTCTTTTCCTTACAAGTTGCCTGTTAATAACTTCCCAGGCCTTAAGAAAGAATACAGTTATGCTTAGCCATCGTAGTTAACAGACTGCTTTACAAAATAAGCAAATTAAGACCAACACTGCCATGATGTCTAATTTAATTTTTAAAATTGATAGGAATCAGTGAAGTACCTGTCAAAGCATATTGAGAAAATGAATTCTGTGTTGCTTGTTCCATCGGTTTTTTCCTCATGATTTGTTTTCCTATCTTTCTAGCACTCTGATCTACAAATTTGGAAGAACCGAAGAGCTATGGACCTGAGATCACTTCTTAAGTCACATTTTCCTTTTGTTATATTCTGTTTGTAGATAGGTTTTTTATCTCTCAGTACACATTGCCAAATGGAGTAGATTGTACATTAAATGTTTTGTTTCTTTACATTTTTATGTTCTGAGTTTTGAAATAGTTTTATGAAATTTCTTTATTTTTCATTGCATAGACTGTTAATATGTATATAATACAAGACTATATGAATTGGATAATGAGTATCAGTTTTTTATTCCTGAGATTTAGAACTTGATCTACTCCCTGAGCCAGGGTTACATCATCTTGTCATTTTAGAAGTAACCACTCTTGTCTCTCTGGCTGGGCACGGTGGCTCATGCCTGTAATCCCAGCACTTTGGGAGGCCGAGGCGGGCCGATTGCTTGAGGTCAAGTGTTTGAGACCAGCCTGGCCAACATGGCGAAACCCCATCTACTAAAAATACAAAAATTAGCCAGGCATGGTGGTGGGTGCCTGTAATCCCAACTACCTAGGAGGCTGAGGCAGGAGAATCGCTTGAACCCGGGGGGCAGAGGTTGTAGTGAGCTGAGTTTGCGCCACTGCACTCTAGCCTGGGGGAGAAAGTGAAACTCCCTCTCAAAAAAAAGAAGGACCACTCTCAGTATCTGATTTCTGAAGATGTACAAAAAAATATAGCTTCATATATCTAGAATGAGCACTGAGCCATAAAAGGTTTTCAGCAAGTTGTAACTTATTTTGGCCTAAAAATGAGGTTTTTTTGGTAAAGAAAAAATATTTGTTCTTATGTATTGAAGAAGTGTACTTTTATATAATGATTTTTTAAATGCCCAAAGGACTAGTTTGAAAGCTTCTTTTAAAAAGAATTCCTCTAATATGACTTTATGTGAGAAGGGATAATACATGATCAAATAAACTCAGTTTTTTATGGTTACTGTAAAAAGACTGTGTAAGGCAGCTCAGCACCATGCTTCTCGTAAAAGCAGCTTCAAATATCCACTGGGGTTATCTTTTGACAACTTGCCATTATCTGATGTTACACAATTCAATAGCAAGCAAGTTTGAGACAATCGCAGTTTAAAAGCATGAACCATTTAACAAAAAGTGGAATAATTAAAGATAAAGCACTTCTTCCCAAAGGGAATTATCACCTAGTGAAAAATTATGCATTTCATCTACTCAGTTACCGACTGCAAGTCTCTCCTCGCTCTAGCTCTCAAGCTTTGGGTGAATATTCCTGTGAAATATATCTTCAACTTGAAAGTTCATACTCCAATCAAAAACTCCTTTTACTGAGTTTGCAGTACTGTATTTGCACTGTTTGTATTCCTCTGGGCCCTTATTGCTACTTTTGCTTTCCTTTGTTACACAGATTTTGTGTTGCACTTTTTCTCCAGAGGGGTGTTGTAGAGCCTTGGTTGTATGAATAATACCAGTGGTAGTGTCCACGGCTCTAATGTAAGCCCATTTGGCATCACTCCTCTCCTCTCTCTTGAGAGGATTTCTTGTGCACAGAGTATGAAGCAGTTGTGGAGCGCTGTGCCTTTGTCAAGATACCATCTTGTTTGATGACTTCTTTCTTTGCTGTTTTTTCTTCAAAATGTTAGTAAGCTCTGTCATGCTTCTAGCAAATTGTAAGACTAATTATTTGTTTCCACCTCATAACCTGTTGCAATAAATATTACTTCTCATACAGTTTAATATTGTTGTTTGTTGGAGAAAATGAACCATAAAAATTGATTTGCTGTTCAGTTTTCAATTATTCAAGTATACCCAATTAAAGATGCAGTTATGTTTATAAAATAAGAAGAAATAGACTTGTAAAATGCTTATGTGAGGGTTATTGAAGGTTTCCCTGAAGACTGACTGGAAATGGTGGCTGTTTTTTTCTATTTCTGACTCTGCCATGAATTTTTTTTTTTTTTTTTAAAGACAATATCTCACTCTGTTGCCTAGGCTGGAGTGCAGTGGTGCAACCACAGCTCACTGCACCTTCAAATGCTGGAGCTCAGGCAATCCTCTTACCTCCGCTTTCCAAGCAGCTGGGACCACAGGTACGTGTCATTATGTCTGGTTAATTAAAAAAAAATGTTTTGGGAGGCCTAGGTGGGCGGATCACGAGGTCAGGAGATCGAGACCATCCTGGCTAACATGGTGAAACCCTGTCTGTACTAAAAATACAAAAAAATTAGCCGGGCGTGGTGGGGGTCACCTGTAGTCCCAGCTACTTGGGAGGCTGAGGCAAGAGAATGGCGTGAACCTTGGAGGCAGAGCTTGCAGTGAGCCAAAATCGTGCCACTGCACTCCAGTCTGGGCAACAGAGCAAGACTCCATGTCATTAAAAAAAAAAGTTGTTTTTTGTAGAGACGGGGGTCTCACTATGCTGTTCTGGGTGAACTGGTCTCAACACATCCACCTGCCTCAACCTCACAAAGTGCTAGGTTGACAGGCATGAGCCACCACACCCAACCCTGAATTTGTTTTTTAGTTGTGAGCAAATCACTTAATTTTCTGTTTCTTCATTTTAAAAAAAGAGATAATGTGGTCAGGCGTGGGGGCTCACGCCTGTAATCCCAGCACTTTGGGAGGCCGAGGCGGGCAGATCATGAGGTCAGGAGTTCGAGACCAGCCTGGCCAACATACTGAAACCCGGTCTGTACTAAAAATACAACAAATTAGCCAGGCGTGGTGGTGCACCCCTGTAATCCCAGCTACTCGGGAGGCTGAGGCAGGGAGAATTGCTTGAACCCGGGAGGCAGAGGTTGCAGTGAGCCAAGATCGTGCAACTGCACTCCAGCTTGGGTGACAAAGCGAGACTCCGTCTAGAAAATAAAAAATAAATAAAAACATAAAAGAGATAATGTTAGTATCCACTCTTAGAAATATTATGAGTTAGGGCAGAATCTTTGGTAATCATCTACAAATGCATGTGATTCCCTTACTAAGGTTCTCAAGCTGTCACATAGATTCAGTGGTCATTGAATCTGAGTGTTTTTTGTGTGTGGACCAATATTATCAGAGTATTCCATTTTATTGCTCTAAGATCCTTGTATTCCTTGTGCTGTTGCCACTGAGTAAAAACCCAGAGGCTGTATTTTTCCAGTATATATATATATGTGTGTGTGTGTGTGTGTGTGTGTGTGTGTGTGTGTGTATTTCTATACACAAGACGTTGACTTGACATTGATTTGCATCAACATAATGAAATTGGAAGACTGAAAGATTGATGATATCAAACCATATAATTTGGCCCCTTGAGCAAGAGCCCCCAGAGGGTTTGACATGGGTGCATTGAACTCATGATCTCTACATTTTTCCCCAGTGGAAGGGTTTTCAGTCACAACATCAACTCAGGAGTCTTTGTTTTCATTGTTCTTTTTTATGGAGTCCTTTTTACAGTGTCTTACTCTTGCCCAGGCTGGAACGCCGTGGTGTGATTATAGCTCACTACTGCCTTGAACTCCTTGGCTCAAGCAGTCCTCCCCTCAGTCTACTATAGGTGTGCACCACCACACTCAGCTCTCCTTTTTAGATTTAGTTGCACCTTTCCCAAGTTGCTTTTAGAACACTGGTGGCCCTGAAGGTGTACCTGAGAAAAGGTGTGTGTGTCAAAGAAGCTTGGGAAACCCTGGGCTGAACTAGGTCTAAACATGTTTTTTCTTTCTTTATTTCTTGATTTTTTTTTTTTTTTTCAGATGGAGTTTTGCTCTTGTCACCCAGGCTGGAGTGTAGTGGTGCAATCTCAGCTCACTGCAACCTCTGTCTCCCAGGTTCAAATGGTTCTCGTGCCTCAGCCTCCCGAGTAGCTGGGGTTACAGGTGGGTACCATCCTACCCGGCTAATTTTTGTATTTTTAGTAGAGACATGGTTTCACCATATTGGCCAAGCTGGTCTCAAATTCCTGACCCCAGGTGATCCACCCGCCTCGGCCTCCCAAAGTGTTGGGATTACAGGCGTGAGCACTGCGCCCCGCCTTCTTGCTTAGTCTTTTTTAGAGAGGGGTCTTGCTATGTTGCCCAGGCTGGTCTTGAATTCCTGAGCTCAAGTGATCCTCCTGCCTCAGCCTCCTGAGTAGCTGGGACTAGAGGTGCAAATCACCACACTAGGCTCCAAAACACCTTTTTAAAATTCTGTAAAGTTCTTTTCTTTCTTAGAGGTTTTTTTTTTTTTTTTTTTTTTTGTGTGTGTGTGTGTGTGTGTATTGTATGTCTTTAGGAGGAGGGTGTCAATTATATGGTGTTTTCTATTACTGAGACTTGGAAATTTATCTCCTGGAACATGTTGAAAAATGTAATTTGGGGCCAGGCACAGCGGCTCTCGCCTGTACTCCCAGTACTTTGGGAGTCCGAGGCGGGCAGATTACTTGAGGTCAGGAGTTCGAGATCAGCCTGGCCAACATAGTGAAACCCATCTCTACTAAAAATACAAAAAATTAGCCAAGTATGGTGGTACATGCCTGTAATCCCAGCTACTTGGGATGCTGAGGCAGGAGAATTGCTTGAGCCCAGGAGGCAGAGGCTGCAGTGAGCTCAGATCAAGCCACTGTACTCCAGTGTGGGCAACAGAGCAAGACTGTCTCAAAAAAAAATAAAAAATAAAAAATAAAAAAAATAAAAGAAAAATGTAATTTGGGGAAAGTGCTGCTATGGTGGCTTTAGAATAGATAGAACACAGGGAATTAACAAAAGGAGAGGAAAATGTTTAGGTGTGGGCATGGCTGGCTTTGGGAAAAGCCTGTGGCCAGCCTGATTATGGGGAATAAAAATGGTGGCAGGAGGGCACAGTAGGAAGAATTCTTCCAATTGCGTTGTTACTAGACAGTTGTGGTTTGGGCGCTGGGATTCTCGGAGGCCTATGGATTTAAGTTTAGGTTGGTTTACTTCTCCCTTATTCCCTTATTCTGGCACTGCCATTTATTAGCTATTTGACTGCAAGACTGTTTCCCTGTCTGTAAGTATGTTTGAGAATTAATCTGAGGAAATGCTTAACAAAGTTCCTGGAAATAATAAGTGATTCACACAAGTAGGCTTTTTTTTTCCTTTTTTTTTTGAGACAGAGTCTCACTCTGTCATCCAGGCTGGAGTGCAGTGGCTCACTGCAGCCTCAGCCTCCTGGGTTCAAGCCATTCTCGTGCCTTGGCCTCCCAAGTAACTGGGATTGTAGGCACATGCCACCACGCCTGGCTAATTGTTTTTGTATTTTTAGTAGAGATGGGGTTTTGCCATGTTGGCCAGGCTGGTCTCGAACTTCTAACCTCAAGCGATCCGCCAGCCTTGGCCTCCCAAAGTGCAGGGAATTACAGGCGCCGTGCCCGGCATTTCTTATGATGACTTTTGAAGGGATGTTTCCTTTCTCATCTGATGACTTTTTAGCTTTTTGCCACAAGGTGGCATGCCATGCTAAGAAAAACAAGACTTCCAAGTTTAGAGCCTGCCAGAGCATTTTTTTGTAGCACTTTTATCACAGCTTAAGTAATTTTACTTAGGGTTTTGGATAGCAGTAAATGCCTCTTCAATTCTTTCAGCTGTGGCAGATAGGATATTTTAAATTTCTTTGAGTAAGTATGGCAGGACAGGCTGCCTAGACCCTCATGGATTATGCCAGTGTAGAGAGTGCTGGGTCTTTGATTTGGGGAGCATGTTGACCTCTTCCCCACCCCAGAGGTCTAGACATAAAACCAGAGAGCTCTCCAAAAAGGATGTAAATTGTGCTCTTTTCCAGCAGCAGTTTCTGGTTTTTTTTTTTTTTTTTTGAGACTGGGTCTCACTCTGTCACCCTCCACCTCCCAGGCTCAAGCGATCCTCCCACCTCAGCCTTCCAAGTAGCTCAGGTGCATGCCACTACATCCTGGCTAATTGTTAATGTTTTGTAGAGATGGGGTTTCACCATGTTACCCAGGCTGGTCTCGAACTCCTGGGCTCAAAGGATCTGCCTACCTCAGCCTCCTAAAGTGCTGGGATTACAGGTATGAACCACTGCACCCAGCCAGCAGTTTCTTTTGTTTCTTTTTCTTTCTTTTTTTTTTTTTTTTTGTAAAGAGATGGAGTCTCACTATTTTACCCAGGCTGGAGTACAGTGGCTTTCACAGGCATGAACATTGCACACTTCGACCTGGAACTCTTGAGCTCAAGTGACCCTCCAGCCTCAGCCTCCCGAGTAGCTGGGACTATAGTACAGGTCTGTGCTCCAACAGTTTCTACTCCTGGTGCCAAAAACATTATTCAGTGTGATCAGTGTACTTCCCTCCCACCATGGAAGTTGTGAGTTTAGAAATTAACCTTTTTTTTTTTTGAGACAGGGTCTGGCTCTGTCACCCAGGCTGGAGTGCAGTGGTGTGAGCTCGGCTCACTGCAACCTCTGCCTCCTAGGCTCAAGAGATCCTCTCTCCTCAGTCTCCTGAGTAGCTTGGACTACAGACGCACGCCACCATGCCTGGCTAATTGTATTTTTTGTAGAGACACGGTTTCACCATGTTGCCCAGATTGGTCTGGAGCTCCTGAGCTCAAGCGGTCTGCTCACCTCAACTTCCCAAAGTGCTAGGATTACAGGCGTGAGCCACTGCGCCCAGCCTGAGATTAACTTTTTATGTTGAAATTACATCAGACTTACCAGGAGAGTTATAAAAATAGCACAAAGAGGCCAGGCATGGTGCTCACGCCTATATCTCAGTGCTTTGGGAGGCCAAGGTGGGCGGATCACCGGAGGTCAGGAGTTCAAGACCAGCTTGGCCAACATGGTGAAATCCCATCTCTACTAAAAATACAAAAATTAGCCAGGCGTAGTGGCAGGTGCCTATAATCCCAGCTACTTGGGAGGCTGAGGCAGGAGAATCGCTTGAACCCAGGAGGCGGAAGTTGCAGTGAGCCAAGACCCCGCCATTGCACTCCAGCCTGGGCGACAGAGCGAAACTCTGTAAAAAAACAAACAAACAAACAAAAAAAAACCACAAAGAATTCCTGTATAACCTTTCAGATTCCCAGAAGTTAACATTTTACTACATTTGCTTTGGTCTGTTATTTTAAATGTTTGGCAGCATGCTGCAGATGTGACGCCTGTTTACTTACCCTTGAATCCTGTGTATATTTCCCCCCAAACATCACTGCGATACGATGCCAAAGTCAGAAAATTAACATTGATACAGTACTTTGTGCCTTATTCAAATTCTTCAGATTACCCCTGTAATGTACTTTATAGTAAAGAAAAATACTATTTTTCTGTGGCAGGATCCTGCCCATGGTCACACGTTGCATTTAGTCGTCATATCCCTGCAGTGTCTCTAATATTTGGAATGGTTCTTCAGTCTTTGTCTTCTGTGACTAGGCATTTGGAACTTGAGTGGCTTACGTATCAGGACTACTAGCAGTTGCTGTGTGCCTTTGTGTTCTGTTTAGGTCAACAGCACCTGTGGGGTTGTGCGGTGCACAGCCTACAGGAATGTACCCACAGCCCCGACTACTGGTGCTCCACTATTTTAGTAGTTAGCATGGGGCTGGCCACTTGAGAAGTGTCTGGATCTGGAGGACACTTGAAGGTACTCACAGTTGTATTAAGGGTCACAGGAAAATTTCAGAAAGTAAATAGTCAAGAAACACATTAGTTTGATTGATTAATTGAATTTTATGCCAGGCAAAATTTTGTACCTGCCCATCTCCAAGGACCTCAGGGTCCTCCTACCTGGACTTACCAGCTCTTTAAGGGTTTGACCCTCTCTTAGGCTTTTCAGATACAAAAATACTCTTATTACCCACAGAGAATAGATCAGATATTTTTATTCACCTGAATGTAGAAATGAAACGAGTTGAATTAATATTTACAGTTATTATACATTGTTACTCATACCACTATTTAATTTCAAGGAAAATCATTAATATCATATGTTGTGCTTTTTGTTTTGATTTGTTTTGTTTTTTTTTTTGAGACAGAGTCTCTCTCTGTTAGCCCAGGCTGGAGTGCAGTGGCACGATCTTGCTCACTGCAACCTCCGCCTCCCAGGTTCAAGCGATTCTCATGCCTTAACCTACTGAGTAGCTGGAACTACAGGCATGCACCATCATGCCTGGCTAATTTTTGTATTTTTAGTAGAGACGGGGTTTCTCCATGTTGGCCAGGCTGGTGTCGAACTCCTGACCTCAAGTGATCTGCCTGCCTCTGCCTCCCAAAGTGCTGGGATTACAGGCATGAGCCAGCGCGCCTGGCCACATATCATTTGATGTTTATGTTGTAGCTAGGTATATGGATGTAAAGTAACCCTGAGGGTCTGCCTCCCTCCTCTTTTTTTGATAACTGAGGGGCCCAGAGAAGCTAGTGCTGCCTGTATTTCTACAATGGGATGAATTTTTAGGCTATCATTTTTTAGGAATGTCTAGGTGTCATTCCTAGAGCATTGGCAAGTTGCCCTGACCAGAGTCCTCTCCTTAGCAACGGGTGGCTCTGAGGCCCCAGGTCCCAAGTAACCACTCTGACCAGTTTCCATACCCTCTCAAGCGTAGCCAGCTGTTTTCCCTCACCACAGACTGGAAACAAGGAGAAAGACGTCACTTTCACTTCATTCCCGTGGGACAGTCCTTGAGTCTCAAGGGAGGCTGGGAGTGGCAGTGAAGGGTGGGGAGGCATGACTGCATCTCCGGAAGCTGCTGGGGTGGAGTCTCACTTCTCATCAAACAGAAGGACAGCTGGGGATGTTCTCATCTCAAATAGAGACTATTTGGCAAACAGCAAATATATTTTGAAGGGCTCTGGGCGCCTCAGAGATGTGACTGCATAGTGTGGAAGTTGTCAGAATCAAAATGGAGTCACTTGTGCTTCAAACAAACAAGCAAACAAATAAAAAACCCTGACAAATAGAGCTGGGGAAGGCCATGAAGGATTCTCATGCAAAAATGCTTGATAACAAAAATGATCACAAGGCCGGGCGTGGTGGCTCATGCCTGTAATCCCAGCATTTTAGAAGGTTGAGGCAGGTGGATCACTTGAGGTCAGGAGTTCAAGACCAGCCTGGGCAACATGGCAAAATCCCATCTCTACTAAAAATACAAAAAATTAGCCAGGCATGGTGGCGGATGCCTGTAGTCCCAGCTACTAAGGAGGCTGAGACAGGAGAATTTCTTGAATCCAGGAGGCAGACGTTGCAGTGAGCTGTGATTGCATCACTGCCCTCCAGCTTGGGTGACAGAGCAAGACTCTGTCTCTAAATAAATAAATAAATAAAAATGATCACAAAAGACTGCAAAAATCTCAACCTTGCACAAAGCCCTTCACCGCCTTACACAACAAACACTTCTATGAGGACATCTGCCCAACAACTGCCTGTCTAACCTTGGAATGGCATCCCCCTTGCTATTGATCCTTATAGCCAAGGATAATTATCTTAAAACAGTGATCTAATCCTCATTTTTTCCTTTAAGAACCTTTGTTTTCCTTCACCTTCCTAAATATGTACATAGTTTACTCTGGCACACGTGTTCCCCTTGTAATACCCTATTCCCAAATCAGTATCATTTCCTTTCAGAGAGCCTCTCTCTGTTGTGGCACTTCAAAGACATAGTGGCCATAGTGACTATGCAGGCTTCTTTAAATGTTATGTACCAAGAAGTCCTTTTTTTTTTTGAGACAGATTCTTGCTCTGTTGCCCAGGTTGAGGTGCAGTGGTGTCATCTGGGCTCACTGCAACTTCCACCTTGTGGGTTCAACCGATTCTCCTGCCTCAGCCTCCTGAATAGCTGTGATTACAGGCACCTGCCACTGCGCTGGGCTGATTTTTGTATTTTTAGTAGAGACAGGGTGTCACCTTGTTGGCCAGACTGATCTTGAACTCCTGACCTCAGGCGATCCGCTCACCTGAGCCTCCCAAAATGCTGGGATTACAGGTGTGAGCCGCCGTGCCCTGCCAGAAGTCCATTTTATGTGATTTAAACACTATGGACAGAGACGTTATTTTATTTTATTATTATTTTTTGAGACAGAGTCTTGCTCTGTCGCCCAGGTGGAGTGCAGTGGTGCAATCTTGGCTCACTGCAACCTCTGCCTCCCAGGTTCAAGTGATTCTCCTGCCTCAGCCTCCTGAGTAGCTGGGATTACAGGCACACATCACCACGCCCAGCTAATCTTTGTATTTTTAGTAGGGACGGGGTTTCACCATGTTGGTCAGGCTGGTCTCAAACTCCTGACCTCATGATCCCTCCTGCCTCAGCCTCCCAAAGTTCTGGGATTACAAGCGTGAGCCCCCGCACCCGGCCTATTTTATTATTATTTTTGAGACAGAGTCTCGCTCTGTCACCAGGCATGCAGTGGCACGATCTCTGCTCACTGCAACCTCTGCATCCCAGGTTCAAGCAATTCCCTTCGCTCAGCCTCCTGAGTAGCTGGGATTACAGGCATGCACCACCATGCCCAGCTAATTTTTGTATTTTTAGTAGAGACGGTGTTTCACCATGTTGGTCAGGCTGGTCTCAAACTCCTGGCCTCAAATGATCCGCCCACCTCAGCCTCCCAAAGTGCTGGGATTACAGGTGTGAACCACTACACGCAGCTTACCTTCTGGGTTCTAATAAATATTTATGAACAGTGAAATTTGAATATCATAGAATTTTCATGTGTGATGAAATATTCTTCTTTTGACTTTAACTATTCCAAGATGTAAAAGCTATTCTTAGCACACGGGTTTTACAAAAACAGGGAATGGGCTGATTTGGCAAGTAGGTTATGGATTATGCCCTGTCAACGGATTATTTATAAGAGTGCTTCCAACTCAAAAATTTTGACAATGTACTTAGCTTGACTTTATTTTTCTTGAGACAGAGTCTTGCTCTGTTGCCCAGGCTGGAGTGCAGAGGTGCCATGTCAGCTCACTGCAACCTCCGCTTCTCGGGCTCAAGTGATTCTCCTGCCTCAGCTTCCCAAGTAGCTGGGATTACAGGTGTGAGCCACCACGCCCAGCTAATTTTTGTATTTTTAATAGAAACAGGTTTTCGCCATGTTGACCAGGCTTGTCTCAAACTCCTGACCTCATGATCCACCCACCTCAGGGTCTCAAAGTGCTCGGATTACAGGTGTGAGCCACTGCGCCTGGCCTTGACAGTGTAAATACTAATCCCATCAATTAGTCATTTATTTTACTAAGGAGAATGAGGCATTTCATTTCAGAAAATACTATTTAAGGCTGGGCACAGTGGCTCACACCTGTAATCCCAGCACTTTGGGAGGCTGAGGTGAGCGGATCACCTGAGGTCAGGAGTTTGAGACCAGCCTGACCAACATAGTGAAACCCCATCTCTACTAAAAATACAAAAATTAGCTGGGTGTGGTGGCGCACATCTGTAATCCCAGCTACTCTGGAGGCTGAGGCACAAAAATCGCTTGAACCCGGAAGGCAGAGGTTGCAGTGAAGTGAGATTGTGCCACTGCGCTCCAGCCTGGGCAACAGGGTGAGACTGTGTCTCTAAATAAATAAATGGGGTGGCACAGATGCACTTACCCTAACAGAGTTGATTTGCCCTCTGTCCTGCTGGGCTGAAACTCTTTCCTGTTCTCCTGCTATAGATGTATCCTCCACTCCTCGCTGGCCACCATCCTGCTGCCCAACAGAAGAAGCTCTTCTGTCTCCGATTTCCTGAACGGTCTAAGGTAAGTCTTTACAACTCCTATCTACAACTTCTTCCTCCAAACTTGTCTACTTAAGGTGCACCTAATGCATACAACAGATGCTTCACAGGGAGACTTGTGTGCATGGGGTGGGAGTGGGCCTTGTTTTTCTAACTCTTGCCACTGCAGACAGCATGGTACACAACACTTAAGAGAGTTAGCCACTTTTGCCGGACACGGTGGCTCACGCCTGTGATCTCAACCCTTTGGGAGACCAAGGTGGGTGGATCATGAGGTCAGGAGTTCGAGACCAGCCTGGCCAACATGGTGAAACCCCATCTCTACTAAAAATACAAAAATTAGCCAGGCATAGTGGTGCACGCCTGTAATCCCAGCTATTCGGGAGGCTGAGGCAGGAGAATTGCTTGAACCTGGGAGGTGGAGGTTGCAGCGAGCTGAGATCGCGCCACTGCGCTCCAGCCTGGGCGACAGAGTGAGACTCTGTCTCAAAAGAAAAAAAAAAAGCCACTTTCTTACCAGCAGTACAGGGCCCCAACTGCCTCCCATGTAGCTGGGATTATAGGTGCCTGCCACCACACTCAGCTAATTTTTGTGCTTTTAGTGGAGACAGGCTTTCACCATGTTGGCCAGGCTGGTCTCGAACTCCTGACCTCAGGTGATCTGCCTGCCTCGGCCTCCCAAAGTGCTGGGATTACAGGTGTGAGCCACCGTGCCCAGCCTATAAATGGATTTTAAATACATATCCTTTGAACAACAGAGCCCGACAGTACTGACACAATCAGATGACTTGCGTGCTCAGTAGATAACATTACTATTGATTAATCAGTTAATTCTCTTTATTGCCCACAAATCCCTGCCTTGGTCAACACAGTGTGACTTGTCACATATAAATGAAGTGCTAATGTGCCTTCTGCAAATCCCCCTTATAACTTTTATATTTTTGAGACAGGGTCTCTTGCTCTGTTGCCAAGGCTGGAATGTAGTGGTGTAATCATTGCTCACTGCAGCCTTGAACTCCTAACTCCTAGGCTCAAATGATCCTCTGGTCTCAGCCTCCTGAGTAGCTGGGACTACGGGTGTGCACCACCACGACTAGCTAATTTTTTATTTTTTGTGAAAACAAGGTCTCACTATGTTGCCCAGGCTGTTCTCAAACTCCTGGCCTCAAGCGATCCTCCCATCTTGACCTCCCAAAGTGCTGGGATTACAGGCATGAGCCACCATGCCCAGCCCTCTTTTTTTTTTTTTTTTTGAGATAGGGTCTCGCTCTGCCTCCCACGCTGGAGTGCAGTGGCATCATTTCGGCTCATGGTAACCTCCGCCTCCCAGGCTAAAGCATCCTCCCACTTTAGCCTCTCAAGTAGCTGGGACTACAGGTGCATGTCATCATGCCTGGATAATTTTTGCATTTTTCATAGAGACAGGGTTTCACCATGTTGCCCAGGTGGGTCTAGAACTCCTGGCCTCAAGTGATCCACCCACCTCAGCCTCCCAAAGTGCTGGGATTATAGGCGTGGGCCACTGCACTAGGCCCTGGCCTTCTTTATAACCTTTGGAGGATCAAGTGACATCCATAGGAAGTGTTTGCTGAGTTCCCATGAGGCCTCAGTAGCTCTAGCAGGTGTTATTTAAGAAAAAACAAGTTTAGATTGAGTAATTTTAGAAAGCTGAAACTCTGCAGAAAATAGGCTACAATAAAGAAAACACTTCACATAGACTTTAAAAAACATGCACTATACAATCTTTTATTTCCAGTTTAAAAACAAAATCTTAAATTACTAGGAGTATATTTACAAGATTAATTACATTTTAAGCCAGCACACCATGGATGTACATGAAGGGCCACTCGGTGTCCCTCGCTGGGACAGGTTGTGTGACCTGCCCAAGGGGCTCCGGCTCATTTGCCAAAGTCAAGACGACGACCAGGTCTTCTGACTGCTCAGCCCAACCAATAATGAAAAAAGTATCAGAGATGTGTCATATCCATTTTGCTAACAAGCAATTACATGCCTTTTTAGTGTTTAAGAGAAGCCTTAATTTTCCTGGGATATCTCCGTAAAATCATTCTGGAATTTGATTTTGAAAATTCTTTAAGAAAAAAAAAAAAAGCTTGTCACCCCCATGAGACCTGCTGTCTCTCATGTCTGCAGGGACAGGCCTTTTAGAGGCAGCAAAAGGGAATACTGGTCTCTGGAAAGTCCAGACAGAACTCTAGCAGCTCCGATGGCTTGATCTCTTCCAGGGAGCCAGTGGGCTAGGCCCATGCTTTGGTTCAAAGCGTTTGGAGAACATCTTCTTGCTCCTTTTCCGGAAACGAGATAATGGACACAGAGTCCCAGACGTCATCCTTTGGTGAGCTGTCCTTGTCCAAGGCCTCTAAGATGGGCTGAGTTGGGTCTTTTAAATACTTGAGGAGGTTGGAAAGCAAAATTGTAATTAGTTTACCAGTTCAGTATACCAGACCTTTTAACTTTAGTTTTTGTTTTTATTTTATTTTTATTTTTATTTTTTTTTTGAGATGGAGTCTTACTCTTGCCTAGGCTGGAGTATAGTGGTGTGATCTCAGCTCACTGCAACCTCTGCTTCCCAGGTTCAAGCGATTCTCCTGCCTCAATCCTCCAAGTAGCTGGGACTACAGGTGCCCACCACCTTGCCTGGCTAATTTTGTATTTTTAGTAGAGACAGGGTTTCACTATGTTGGCCACGCTGGTCTCAAACTCCTGATCGCAAATGATCCACCCACCTTGGCCTCCCAAAGTGCTGGGATTATAGGCGTGAGCCACTACGCCTGGCCTACTTTAGTTTTAATTGGTATAGTTATTTTATTCAGATATAAGTTGATTCTGTCCACCAATGACATAACTTATTTTTCTTTTTATTCAACAATGAAACAATTTTTTTTTTTTGAGACGGAGTTTCACGTTGTTGCCCAGGCTGGAGTGCAATGACACGATCTCATCTCACTGCAACCTCTGCCTCAGCCTCCCAAGTAGCTGGGATTACAGGCATGCACCACCACACCCTGCTAATTTTGTATTTTAAGTAGAGACGGGGTTTCCCATGTTGGTCAGGCTGTCTCGAACTCCTGACCTCAGGTGATCCGCCCGCCTCGGCCTCCCAAAGTGCTGGGATTGCAGGTGTGAGCCACTGCACCCGGCAACAATTTTTTATTGTTGTTGAGTCAGTCTCTTTTTCGCCCAGGCTGGAGTGCAGTGGCGCGATCTCGGCTCACTGCAACTTCCGCCTCCTGGGTTCAAGCAATTCTCCTGCCTCAGCTTCCCAACCAAGTAGCTAGGATTGCAGGCGTGCACCACCACGGCTGGCTAATTTTTTTTTTTTTTTTTTTTTTTTTGAGACGGAGTCTTGCTCTGTTGCCAGGCTGGAGTGCAGTGGCGTGGATCTCAGCTCACTGCAGCCTCCGCCTCCTGGGTTCAAGTGATT
Organism: Homo sapiens; assembly: GCF_000001405.40. Taxonomy (NCBI): domain Eukaryota; kingdom Metazoa; phylum Chordata; class Mammalia; order Primates; family Hominidae; genus Homo; species Homo sapiens. The sequence goes on along the minus strand of NC_000021.9, from coordinate 33,435,793 downwards.
CTCCTGCCTCAGCCTCCCAAGTAGCTGGGACTACAGGCGCATGCCACCATGCCTGGGTAATTTTTGTATTTTTAGTAGAGACAGGGTTTCACCCTGTTGGCCAGGATGGTCTCGATCTCCTGACTTCATGATCCACCCACCTCGGCCTCTCAAAGTGCTGGGATTACAGGCATGAGCCACCTCACCCAGCCAACAACTTCTAATAGTTGAATACTCCTTACCCCTCATCTCAGTAATCACTTTAATACTCATCCCAGGGCTGACCATGTTAATATGCTGAGAGTTTAAAAGGGCAAAACTCAGGAAAAGCAAGTTTTGTTTTTTTCTTCTGATTTTCTGATTGGAAGAAAAGCAAGTTCTTCCTTGCAACCCTCAGTGTAGGCCTGTGGGTTATTAATCTTAAGACGTCTCTAAAATTGTAACCTTTCAGTGAAGGAGGGACTGGGGGCTCTTGTTCAGCTGTGATGGGGAAAAAGAGGGCAAGTTCACAAGCATTGGTCTCAGGCACTCCTCCACCCCTCCCCTTGCACCAGCGCACAGCAAGCAGAGAATCTGGGAGCGAGGGCCTTAGGCCTTAACATATAAAGGGGTGTTTCCCAGCGATTAATTTCCCTTTTGCTCCCGCAGGCTTTAGGCTTAGCCATAGATTCACCAAGTTACCAAGAATCTAGTGTCTAGCTCTTGGAAATGCTGAAAGATACTGGAAGACAATAAGCTTGTAGCTGACTGACTGAAAGAGGAACAAAACCAAAACATGTACCCTTGTGAAACCCCAGAATTATAAGTGAAACATGATTCACTGTTCCCATGTAACTCAGAGACCTTTGGCGGATGTTCTTTATGCTTTCCTAGAAAAGTGAACTGACAGGCCTGTGTTTTCTGTTCATGTCTCAGAGGAATGACTCATAGTATATTCATGTACTGGGGCTCAGCTGGTAGTTCTACCAGGAGAGAGAGAGATTATTACTGCAAGTAAGATTCTGAGACCTGTTAGGAGCTGTGATTTTGTGACAATATTAACCAGGGAGGTTCTAGTAGGGAATCTGTATACTGCCTGTGTACCTACAATACATCATGGCAGATGAAGGAACAAGTGACTAGGGTTCTTTCTGAAAGTGCTGCTATGTTTCTGCAGACTTGGACCTTATCTAACCTCTGTTCATCCCACATGTAACTGAGTAACATTCTGCTTCCAACACCTTTACTCTAGGTTTACCCAAGAATAATGTGAAGCCTCCAGAAGCAAATGCTTTTTATTTATTTTATTTTTTTGAGATGGAGTCTTGCTCTGCCACCCAAGCTAAAGTGCTATGGTGCGATATTGGCTTACTGTAACTTCCACCTCCTGGGTTCAAGCAATTCTCCTGCCTCAGCCTCTCATGTAGCTGGGATTACAGGCGCCCACCACCACGCCCGGCTAATTTTTGTATTTTTGGTAGAGACAGGGTTTCACCATGTTGGCCAGGCTGGTCTCGAACTCCTGACCTCAGGTGATCTGCCCACCCTGGCCTCCCCAAGTCCTGGGATTACAGGTGTGGGTCACTGCGCCCGGCTGCAAATGCTTTTTAAATGTTCTTCTCTCAGCTCGCCTCTGATCCCCAAAATGTCCTGACCGTGTCCTCAGAAGGCCCAATGGCCTCACAGAGCCTCAGGGGGCTGGGGTTATGCAGGAAAATAAGACTTTCCACAAGACCCACGCTACTGTTCTTTCTCAAGTCCTTTCAAATATTAGCAATACCCACTGGGCAATGGGTACACGGGGCCTGGCACTCACAGCTCTGGGTGTTGACTCTGCCTTAGGGCCCTCCTAAGCACCCTGTGGGCCCCAAAGCTCAAGCTCCTGATCACTGTCTCCACCGCCTTCACGTCCTCCAGCCAGGCCACTTCCCTGGAGCATTCTCCAGACAGCAGAGGAGACCTGCTGCCTCGGAGAGGGGTCTACTGCAGCCAATCTCCAGGCCAGGCCACCTTTTTAGCCAACCCCATGCCATTAAAAAAAAAAAATTAAATTGTGGTAAAATACACATAACATAAAATGTACCATCATAACTCTTTTTAGGTGTACAGTTCGGTAGTGCCAAGCACATTCACATTGTGCAATCATGACCACCATCCATCTCCAGAACTCTGTACAGCCCCAGAACTGAAACTCTGGCCCCATTCAACACGAACTTCCCACTTCCCTCCCTCCACCACCGCAACCACCATTCTACTTCCTGTCTTTATGGATTTGATGACTCTGGGGACCTCATTTAAGTGGAAGCAGACAGTATCCTTTTGTGACTGCCCTACTCTACTCAGCATAATGTCCTCAAGGTCCATGTGTGTGGTAGGATGTGTCACAATCCCCTTCCTTTCTAAGGCTGAATGATATTCCATTGTATGGAAAGACCATCTATTAAAGATTTATCTATTAATCCTTCAACGACACCGGAGTGCTTCCACCTTTTGGCTGTTGTGAATCGTGTCAACATGAACATGGGTGTACAAACAACCCCATACCATTTGTAACCCAAATCTCTGTGTCCACGGCTTTGCCCACAGCTGCACTCTTAGGGGTTGCCAGGGGCAGTGGGGCCCTGATGTGTCACCATTAAGATGTCTGCGTGGCCGGGCGCAGTGGCTCCCGCCTGTAATCCCAGCACTTTGGGAGGCTGAGGTGGGTGGATCACTTGAGGTCAGGAGTTTGAGACCAGTCTGGCCAACATAGCAAAACCCTGTTTCTACCAAAAATACAAAAATTAGCAGGCCATGGTGGTGAGCACTTGTAATACCAGCTACTCAGGAGGCTGAGGCAGGAGAATCGCTTGAACCTGGGAGATGGAGGCTGCAGTGAGCAGAGATTGTACCATGACACTCCCGCCTGGGCAACAGAGCAAGACCCTGTCTCAAAAAAAAAAAAAGAGATGTGTGCACACGTACCTCTTCTATCTGTAATGGGATGCTTGGTGGAGTGTGAAACCAGTATTTAATCAGGCCTCTATATTTCAGGACCAGGAAGAAACAGGCTCCTGCCAGCACCGACAGCAACGAAAATGTTCCCACGGAGATCAGGATGACTTGCTGAAGCTCAGTGGAGGCTAAAAAGAGGACACGAAAGTGAACAGAATGATCTTCCTACGCACAACACAAACATCAGTTAATGTTCCATCCATGCTGCTTAAAGAGCATTCCTGTCCTAGTAAAATGGGCAAGTCCCTCTACCCCCCACCCTCACCTGGTATGCTTACATTAATAGCTAAAGTCAATCCTGTAATGAAATAAAGCAAGTGGTAGCTGTCTGGTAGCCTCCACTACTGCAAATCTCAGCACAAGCTCATTATTCCTGCAGTTCAGCACTCTTCTCACTGGGTCTCCCCACTCCCACCACCCATGACCTCATAAGCATTCCCCGATTTCACTATTGGAGGAGTATTCTTTTCCCAGTTCAGAAAGGACATAAGAAGGTATATTTTACCATCTGCCATTGTTTCGTAGCAAGATATGTTGCTTAAATGCCCGACTCTAAAGATGTTACTTTTGTTCCAAAGCAGTTGTGCCTGGACTTGTAAACAGTACACTCTGGAGGGTTTTAAGTTATCCAATGAAATGGAGTTGCTTCTGAAAGGGCCTTTGACCTGTTTTAAAAACATCACAAGCACACATGTAAATGAACATGGCCAAGCTGCCTACATCTTTTCTGATGTTTCCTCAAATTCACTGTGAACACGACAACCAAAGAAGAACAAGATGCCATTTTTAGTGGGTCACTGGCTGGCAGTGGACACATTTTATGTGTGAAAATTGGTGTGTTGTGTGGCCAAAGAGGCTGATAGCTTTAGAACTGTGTTTCTGGCTGTGAGGTCTCAGAGTGCCCATTGTAGTAACTAGACTTCAGTAAATCCCAATTTCTAGGATAATCTTTTTCTCCTTTAACATTTTGGGCTGGATGGGGTGGCTCACGCCTATAATCCCACCACTTTGGGAGGCCAGGGTGGGTGGATCACCTGAGGTCAGGAGTTAAGAGACCAGCCTGGCCAACATTGCAAAACCCAGTCTCTACTAAAAGTACAAAAATTAGCTGGATGTGGTGGCACACACCTGTAATCCCAGCTACATGGGAGGCTGAGGGAGGAGAATCACTTGGACCAGGAGGCAGAGGGTGCAGTGAGCTGAGATTGCGCCAGCCTGGATGAAGAGCAAGACTCCATCTCAAAACAAACATTTTGTATTTCTTTTTTTTTTTGAGATGGAGTTTCGCTCTGTCACCAGGCTGGACCGCAATGGTGCGACCTCGGCTCACTGCAACCTCCGCCTCCCAGGTTCAAGCAATTCTCCTGCCTCCAACTCCTGAGTAGTTGGGATTATAGACACCCACCATCATGTCTGGCTCATTTTTGTATTTTTAGTAGAAACAGGGTTTCACCATGTTGCCCAGGCTGGTCTCGAGCTCCTGATCTCAGGTGATCCACCTGCCTCGGCCTCCCAAAGTGCTGGGATTATAGGCGTGAGCCACCGCGCCTGGCCAACATTTTGTATCTCACGGTTAATCTAGATACCTCAAGTTAGTCAACAGAGAAAAAATTATTCTGGGAAATAATGTTCCTTTCATTCCCAACCTGCTTCTAGTTTGACCGAAATGTGCTTGAGCCTCCTATAGTTTCAGCTAAAATGACCTTAAGGATTTATGTCATCAGGAGACAACTGGACCCTAGACTCTAGGAAGGTTCTGTGTCTCCTCTGCGCATCCCTCTGCTGCCTTGAGCAGGCCTTGCTGCCTCCCCACCTGGTCTTCCAGGCAATGGCTCCTGTTGTCCTGGCAAGGCTGTCATTGTCCCATACCAAAGTGGAAAACAGCGATACCCTATTATGGCAGTATAGGGTTTCTTGCAAAGAACTGTTTTCTAATTTTGAGATACAATATAATCCACTACAGCCACATGAAATGGTGGTATAACATATGCTTGAAAACATGGGAAGACAAGGCTGCTAAATTGTTAACTGAAAAAAGGCAGATTATTCAAATACAGAACATGTTGTTATTTTTTAAAATACAAAAATAGGCCAGGCATGGTGGCTCATGCCTGTAATTCCAGCACTTTGGGAGGCTGAGGTGGGAGGATCACTTGAGTCCAGGAGTTTGAGCTTGGGTAACATAGTGAGACCCCCTCCCTCCGTCTCTACAGAAAATAATAATAAAAAAATAAGCTGGTCATGGTGGTGCATGCCTATAAGTCCCAGCTACTCGGAAGGCCAAAGTGGGAGGATGGCTTGAGCCTGTGAATTGGAGGCTACAGTGAGCTATGACTGCACCACTGCACTCCAGCCTGGGTGACAGAGTGAAATTGTCTCTGAAAAATTAAAATTAAAAAATAAAAATATAAAAGTAATTGTATGATCTATGAATAATAGTATTACTTGATGGTTTTACATTTTCTTTTCTTCTGTTTAATGGTGTTGGACTGCCAGGGCAGAGGAAGACACGATTTTAAGGACAAAAATTCCCTTTGGGTTTATTTCAGCATTCAATTGGAATTCCTAAAATTTAGAGTCACAGACTGCAGAAGAGCTAACGTAACAGGCCTAACACTAATGCCCTTTGAAGGGCCTGATTTCCAGGTCAACCCTTAGCTGACATCTGGGAATTTGTGTGCGTTTTTTGTTTGTTTGTTTTTTGAGACGGAGTCTTGCTCCGTTGCCCAGGCTGGAGTGCAGTAGTGTGATCTCGACTCACTGCAACCTCTGCCTCCCAGGTTCAAGCAATTCTCCTGCCTCAGCCTCCTGAGTAACTGGGATCACAGGTGCCCACCACCACGCCTGGCTAATTTTTGTATTTTTAGTAGAGATGGGTTTTCACCATGCTAGCCAGGCCTGTCTCGAACCCCTGACCTCAAGTGATCTGCCTGCCTCGGCCTCCCAAAGTGCTGGGATTACAGGCGTAAGCCACCGCGCCCAGCCTGGGAATTTGGATTTCAAGTTTATCCCTCCCATTCCCAAACTGGTAAGGTGGCTTACCGTCCCTACACTGTTTGCACAATGTGTTTTCTTTATGAGGAACATCTGTTTTCCTTCTGGGAGTCGGAATTTTGGCATACGCTACACAGAGGGTGCGTATGTGGCCAGCCCCCAGAAAAAGCCCTGGGCGCTGGGTCTCTCATAAGCCTCCCTGGCAGACAACAGTTCACATGTGCAGTCACAGCTTGCTGGTGGAGCAATGAAGTGTATCCTGCGTGACTCAGCTCAGGAAGGGCTCCTGGAAGCCTACCCCTGGACACCTGCGGACTTTCCTCCATGTGCCTCTTCCCTTTGCCGATTTTGCTTTGCATCCTTTTGCTATAAAAAATCAGAGTATGGGCCAGGCACAGATGTGGAGGCTGAGACAGGAAAATCTCTTGAACCCGTGAGCCGAGATTGTGGCACTGCACTCTACCCTGGGAGACAGAGTGAAATTCTGTCTCAAAACGAAATCAGAGTGTGACTCTGTGCTGAGTCCTGGGAGTCCTTTGAGCGATCTAGGGTGGGTCTTGGGGACCCTAACACACAGACTCACAGCTGGAACAAAGATCACATTGGTGGCTTTCAGAGTCATTTTCATCCTTGAACCTTTTGATCATGGAAGCCAAGTACAGATGCTCTGGTCAAATGGAGGAAAGGGACTTGGGGGCCCTCACGGCTGCTCCTCTTCACAGGCTCCAGCTTATAGCTCAGTTGTTTCATTTTATACACGAGGAAGCTGCAGCCCAGAGAGGCTAAGTGACATGGTGCTAAGCGGGTCCCAGGCAGTGGAAGCCTGTTCTGTGTGCTCTTCATTAGAGCTTGCTGCTCAACAAGGCTGGCCCCAGGGTCCTGGAGCTGAGTTCTCCAGTGCTGGGCAGCCCTGCCCAGCTCTAGGATACAAGTGGCAACTCGCCCTCTGGGGGCTGACTCAGTGCAGAGAAGTGGATGGACTCCATCCTAAAAAAACAAAAGTATGGGCGGGCCCTTGGGGAGGGAGCATGGCAACACGGTGCCCTCGAGTGAAGAAAGCAACCAAAGGGTGGAGAAAAGCGTGGCCAGAGGGCCCATCCTATCTCTTGCATTTCCGGCACCGTATCCAGTTGGAGAGGACAGACTTGGAAGAGGCAGAGTCTCTCTTCTGGATTCTGCCAGGCTCCCTCTATTCTAATCGACCCAGATCTTGAGCTCTGATATGGAGAAATGATTTTTCCCTATTTCCTAGATGCTAAGTCTGTTTTTCAGTGAGTCTCACTCTTCCCAGTTTCATATTCCCCATAATGAAATGAAGAGGAGGCTGGGAACGGGCTCATGCCTGTAACCTCAGCACTTTTGGAGACTGAGGTGGGCAGATCGCTTGAGACCAGGAGTTCGAGACCAGCCTGGGCAACATGGCAAAACCCCATCTCTATAAAAAAAAATTTAAAAATATTAGCCAGGTGTGGTTGGCACAGGCCTGTAGTTCCAGCTACTCGGGTGGCTGAAGTGGGTGGACTGCTTGAGCCGGGGAGGTAGAGGTTGCAGTGAGCCAAGATGGTACCACAGTACTCTAGCCTGGGCGACAGTGAGACTGTCTCAAAAAAAGAACAATAATTAAAAAAAAAAAAAAAATGAAGGAGAAGTGCAGATACAAAGCGTGTGGCAGAAAAAGATGGTGGTCAAGAGCAGGGCTCTGAAGCTAGGCATCTCTGCTCTGCTCTGCTCTGCCAGTGATTCGCTGCTGACCTGAGGCAAGCCACTTAACGACTTGGATTCTCTCTCTGCAAACGGATTAGTATAAAGATGAAATGGGCCGGGCACGGTGGCTCATGCCTGTAATCCCAGCACTTTGGGTGGCCAAGGTGGGCAGATCACCTGAGGTCAGGAGTCTGAGACCAGCCTGACCAACGTGGTAAAAACCCTGTCTCTACTAAAAATACAAAAACTAGCTGGGCATCAAGAGCGAAACTCCAGCTCAAAAAAAAAAAAAAAAAAAAGATGAAATGAGATGAAGTATCTAAAATTCTGGCCCAGAGCCAAACACAAAGGAAGCTCTCAATAAATGTAAGCTCTTATTATCAAAAACCATCATAATGTTGAATTTAGGAAATCATGAAGTTCCCATAGATAACAGAACCTCCTTAAATGCAGCTAGGATAATTTAGGCACTGGAGATGCTTCAAGACCATGATGCTTTTTCCTATACTCCCCGAGGCTGACCAGGCCGCTCTGATGTCATGCACCTCTGTCAACGTGAGCACCTGCCACAGCCCCTTGTGGATTGCATTTCTGACCAATCTAAGCACCTGCAGTTCTCCACGTATGCCACGCCTTCTCATACCTGCTGGTACTGCTCTCTGGAAAGCTCTTTCTCCCTCTGTTTCCCCCCGATTTCGCATGTGCCCTTTTCACAAACTGTTCAAACATTTATACAGTTAAGCCTTGCAGGCTGTAGTTGTGGATTCCTCATGGAGAACCAGGCCCACTAAAACCTCCTCCAAACTACAGAGCGTGGCAAAGGCATCGTAAGCAGGGCACCGGCAAAGTCTCAACCCCACACAAGGGACACAGAGTGACATCAAAGGATGGCTGGCCCTTCAGATCAGCCTGGCGGAGGGAGGTCTCAGCAAACCGAGTGGAAAAACAGGTCTTGAAGAGGACAATGAAAACAGGCTCAGGGCTCAGCCTCTATGGGGACACGGGGACATGGAGACACCCTGTTCTTGCCCATGTTAAAGGTTTCTTTCTTTTGCTAAGCCAGAAACTGCAAAGAAAAGAAAATCCAAACAAAAAAGAAAGATGCTCTTGCCTGTTGGATTCCTCCTTTTTCCCAGTAATGGACATAATAACAAAAAAAGGCCGTGGAGGTATCAGCGATGTCAAAGGGAGAGGAGAACCTGATGATGAGGGAGCCTTCTCCTGGGGTCACCTCAATGTTTTCTGGAGGCCCGACAGTCACTGAAAAAGAATTACAAAGAGAAAACCACACACATACACATATGTATTATAGATATAATACAATGTATTATATAATGCTATATATATATGTATATATATATATATAGTGGGTGTAGATATATACACACACGTTTTTATCTATCTCTTTATTTATTATTATTTTTTCGAGACAGTTTTGCTCTGTCGCCCAGGCTAGAGTGCAGTTGTGCGATCTCGGCTCACTGCAACCTCCACCTCCCGGGCTCAAGCAATTCTCTTGCATCAGCCTCTCAAGTAGCTGGGATTACAACAGGCGTGTGCCACCATGCCTGGCTAATTTTTATATTTTTAGAAGAAACAGGGTATCATCATGTTGGCCAGGCTGTTCTCGAACTCCTGACCTCGTGATCCGCCCACCTCAGCCTCCCAAAGTGCTGAGATTACAGGTGTGAGCCACCGCGCCTGGCCTATTTATTTATTTATTCATTTTTGAGATGGAATCTCGCACATATCACCCAGGCTGGAGTGCAGTGGTGCAATCTCAACTCACTGCAACCTCCGCCTTCCAGGTTCAAGCGATTCTCCTGCCTCAGCCTCTCATGTAGCTGGGATTACAGGCACACGCCACCATACCCGGCTAATTTTTGTATTTTTAGTAGAGACAGGGTTTCACTATGTTGGCCAGGCTGGTTTCAAACTCCTGACCTCAGGTGATCCGCCTGCCTTGGCCTCCCAAAGTGCTGGGATTACAGGCGTGAGCACCATGCCCATACTATATTTAAACACAATAACTGAGAAGTGTTGCCATGTAAGTCTATTTGTTCAGGCTTTTCATATAATTCACAGGTCAGGCTAGGACTGTGACTCATGATGTGCTATCAATGAGGGGTTATCAAGCATTTATTAAGTAAGCATGCACATTGTATAATTCACCAGAGAAACTCAGATCAAAGTACAGTTTGGGTCCTCGAAGTTCTAAGAGACCAATGTCTGCACATTTTACACAAGGAGACAATCCTGTCACTGTGTGTTCACAACAGCAGGGCTGGATTCTCTCCCCTGGGCACTCCAGGTTGGTGAGGGTTAGGTGTATGATCTGGCCAAGCTTCTCTCTGTGCAAAAGAACTGCTGAGTTTGTAGTTGTGCCCCCTCATTTGTTCTGGTGGAGGTGCTAAGTCCAGACAACTCCCAGTGGCAGAAGTGAGGTCAGGCCTGGCCCACCACCAGCCATAGTGATGTTTGTGGATTGACTGCTAGTGACAAAATGCTCTTCCACTCAGCCTGCCCAGGGACACCAGCACACACGTTCTCCAGCTTCCCTTGTCCCAGCTAAGTGAGCAGAGTGTGCAGAAGTGCGTTGCAGAAGCACCTGCAGGGACTGGCTTTGGACACATTCTTTGGGCATCTCCATTAGCACATGGGAGTGTGGACACCAGCCACAGCTGGCCACTGCACGGCTGAAAACACAGGGCTCAGACCTGCCCTTCTGAAGAGAGTCCTGGCCCGGAATCTGACATGAACCCAGTAAACCTCATCTAGAGGCGAGAACAATCTGCCTCCTCTCACAGCACTGGAGGAAGGCTGGCTCTAGGGAACACTGGACGACAATGTGTGGAGTCTCCAGGTAAATGGCCTTTCCACGAAGCCTCTCACGATCAGTGTCACTGCCAAATAAGGGTATCACGGGATGGGCATGGTGGCTCATACCTGTAATCCCAGCACTTTGGGAGGCTGAGGTGGGCAGATCACTTGAGGTCAGGAGTTCAAGACCAGTCTGGCCAACATGGAGAAATGCCGTTTCTACTAAAAATACAAAAATTAGCTGGGCATGGTGGGGCATGGTGGTGCATGCCAGTAATCCCAGCTACTCAGGAGGCTGAGGCAGGAGAATCGCTTGAACCTGAGAGGCAGAGGTTGCAGTGAGCCGAGATCGGGCCACTGCACTCCAGCCCGGGTGACAAGAGTGAAACTCCATCTCACAAAAACAAAACCAAAATTAACTGGGGTGTGGTGGCCCATGCCAGTAATCCTAGCTACTGGGGAGGCTGAGGCACGAGAATCACTTAAACCTGGAGGCGGAGGCTGCAGTGAACTGAGATCGCTCCACTGCACTCCAGCCTGGGCGACAGAGCGAGACTGTCTCAAAAAACAAAACAAAACAAAAAAACAAATAAGGTTATCCCCATTTCTCAGACGAGGAAACGGAAGCCAGGAGGTGACACTACTTGCCCACAGTAACACAGCCAATAAATGGCAGAGTTGGGATATGAACCCAGGTGAGGGTGATGCTAAAGCCTGCCCCCTCCAACCACCATCTCACTCCTCTGCTTGGTAAACCACCTCCATATCCATTACTGATTCTAACGCCACCAGCAGAGGTGAAAGTGGCAGATGTGACATGAGACCACCACTGTGTCAAGCTTTTCAAGCACGAGGGCAGAGAACAGCAGCCCAGCCAGTAACTAACAGAAACATGGGTGCTTGACTCCGGCCGGAAGCGGCAGCTGGCTGGCACCGGACCCACTGTCACGATACATCCTGCTTCTGTTACCTTCTCTTGATCCCTGGGCAGTGGCGGTAAGTATCATTCCTTTTTTTTTTTAAATGACAGAGCCTCGCTCTGTCACCCAGGCTGATGTGCAATGGTGTCATCTTGGCCCACTGCAACCTCCACCTCCCAGGTTCAAGAGATTCTCCTGCCTCAGCCTTCCAAGTAGCTGGGATTACAGTCGTGTGCCATCATACCCGGCTAACTTTTGTATTTTTAGTAGAGATGGGGTTTCACCATGTTGGCCAGACTGGTCTTGAACTCCTGACCACAGATGATCTGCCTGCCTCAGCTTCCCAAAGTGCTGGGATTGCAGGGGTGAGCCACTGCGCCCAGCCATCATTACTTGTTTGCATACTCCTAATTCCCACTTATTTGACACTTTATAGCTCAAATGGAGGGTGGTTTGGCACCCAAGGACAAATGGCTTGTCCACAGCAGACGAGGAGCTGGCAGGATTGCCCTGTCTTCTCTGTTTCTGTCCCTCACAGTACCTAGCACAAACCACTGATTAAAAAAAAAAAAAAATAGAGATGGGGTCTTGCTATATTCCCCAGGCTCATCTTGAACTCCTGAGCTCAAGCGATCCTCCCACCTCAGCCTCCCAATGGGCTAAGATTACAGGCATGATCCTCTCTAAAAAACTTTTTATTGGCCGGGCACGGTGGCTCTCACGCCTGTAATCCTAGCACTTTGGGAGGCTGAGATGGGCGGATCACGAGGTCAGGAGTTAGAGGCCAGCCTGGACAACATGGTGAAATCCCGTCTCTACTAAAAATACAAAAAATTAGACGGGCATAGTGGCGTGCACCTGTAGTCCCAGCTACTTGGGAGGCTCACTTGAACCCGGGAGGGAGAATCACTTGAACCCAGGAGGCAGAGGTTGCAGTGAGCCGAGACTGCACCACTGCACGCCAGCCTGGGCGACAGTGCAAGACTCCACCTCAAAAACAACAACAACAAAAAAAAACTTTTTATTACAGAAAATTTCAAACACATAGAAAGTAGAGAGAAGATAGGCTGGGTGCGGTGGCTCACGCCTGTAATCCCAGCACTTTGGGAGGCCGAGGCGGGCGGATCACAAGGTCAGGAGTTCAAGACCATCCTGGCTAACATGGTGAAACCCCATCTCTACTAAAAATACAAAAAATTAGCCGGGTGTGGTGGCGGGCGCCTGTAGTCCCAGCTACTCGGGAGGCTGAGGCAGGAGAATGGCGTGAACCTGGGAGGTGGAGCTTGCAGTGAGCCAAGATTGCGCCACTGCACTCCAGCCTGGGCAAGAGAGAGAGACTCCGTCTCAAAAAAAAAAAAAAAAAAAAAGTAGAGGGAAGATCATTAACAAACACTCATGTACTAATTACCCAACTGAATCAACTGTCAACTTATGGCCAATTTTGTTTCTTCTATGCCTGGAAGCTTTGTCCTTGTCCCTCCTGTTCTTTGGATTATTTTGCTTTTTTTTTTTTTTTTTTTTTTTTTGAGATGGAGTTTCACTCTTGTTGCCCAGGCTGGAGTGCAATGGTGCAATCTCAGCTCACCACAACCTCTGCCTCCCCGGTTCAAGCGATTCTCCTACCTCAGCTTCCCAAGTAGCTGGGATTACAGGTATGCACCACCACATCCAGCTAATTTTTGTGTTTTTAGTAGAGATGGGGTTTCACCATGTTGGCCAGGCTGGTCTCGAACTCCTGACCTCAAGTGATCTGCCTGCCTCGGCCTCCCAAAGTGCTGGGATTATAGGCGTGAGCCACCGCGCCCAGCAGGAACTCTTTTTATTCCCCCAATTTTTTATTGTGGTAAAATACACATAACATAAACTTTAACATCTTAACCAGACCTCCTCCTCCTTTAAAAATCATAACCAAAACACCATTATAACACTGAAAATAAGTCAACAATAAAATTGTTCATTATATATCAAATATCTAGACGGTGATCACATTTCAATTGTCTTATACATTAGTTTGTCTAAATCAAGATCCATGTAAGTTTCATGCCCTGTGTGTGCATAAACCAGACACGGAAGAAACATCTGGCATGGCTGACTACGTGACAAATGAATTACTGGAGGAACAAATGTAGGAACTGGAATCTGAGGGTTCTTCTGTCTCCTTCCAATATCTGGGGACATATTTGTTCACTCAGTCATTCAACAAATATTTACTGAATACCTACTACATGCCAGGCACCATTCAAGGTGCCTATTCTGCAACACAAAAGAAGTTGCACCAGAATAAGTAAGGGTGATCAGAGAGATATGCTAGCATCCCTTCTAGCATGAGGTTGGCAAACTTTTTCAGTAAAGAGCCACAGTAAATTTAGACTTTGCAGGCTCAACAGCTGCTATTGCAACTACTCTACCATTGTAGTGTGAAAGCAGTCATAGACACAATAAAAGATGGATGTAACTGTGTGTTCCAATAAAACTTTATTTACAAAAACAAGTGGTGGGCCCGATTTGGCCTGCAGGCTGTAGTTGGCCAACCCCTGGTTTAGCAAATCACACTCCCTTAGCATCAGCCTCCAAGGTCAGAGTGTGGGTTTGACTGTCCTACCCATTTGTCTGCTGGTCATTTAGGGTGACAGGCAGGACAGAGGTGTGTGGAGTCGATACCGCAAGTGAAGAAAACCTGGAAAGTATAAAGGAAGTTCTATACTCAAGTTCTCTTACCATTCCGATAGTGTTGAAACCAAGGCATTGTCACCCAGGCAGAATGGAGTGCTCCCAGCTCAGCTCGAAGGCGTAGAGTGACATTGAAATCCATTGGGAAGCCTGCTGAGGGACTGGCGGCAGTGAAGTCACACTCTGTTGCTGTGATCTGTGTACAATTCACCCCTATGGACATGATGTCGGCCGTGAACCATTTACTGTCGGTGCTGGGAAGGAAAAAAGGATTTCAATTCACAGAATTCTCTGTTTCATGTGTAATAGTTTCCCCAGAGCTTTTGTTCAAAACGCAGGTTTATTGAGATACAATTTATATGTACCATACAGTTCCCCCCCGCTTTTTTTTTTTTTTTTTTTGAGATGGAGTTTTGCTCTGTCACCCAGGCTGGAGTGCAGTAGCGCAATCTTGGCTCACAGCAACCTCCACCTCCTGGGTTCAAGTGATTCTTGTGCCTCAGCCTCCCGAGTAGCTGGAACTACAGGTGTGAGCCACCACACCCAGGTAATTTTTGTATTTTTAGTAGAGATGGGGTGTCACCATGTTGGCCAGGCTGGTCTCAAACTCCTGACCTCAAGTGATCCACCTGCCTTGGCCTCCCAATGTGCTGGGATTACAGGCATGCACCATCATGCCTGGTTAATTTTTATATTTTTAGTAGAAACGGGGTTTTACTATGTTGGTCAGGCTGGTCTCAAACTCCTGGCCTCATGTGATCCGCCCACCTCGGCCTCCCAAAGTGCTGAAATTACAAGCGTGAGCCACTGTGCTTGGCTGCTACTGTTATTTTTATTTTTAATTTCTTTGTAGAGTTGGGGGTCTCTCCTTGTTGCCCAGGCTGGTCTTGAACTCCTAGACTCAAGTAATCCTCCTGCCTTGGCCTCCCAAAGTGCTGGGATTACAGGTGTGATCCCTTGTGCCCAGCTGTGGTTTTTAATTGGGTTATTTGTCTTCTAATTGTTGAATTGTAAGAGTTCGTTATCTATTCTGGATACAAGTCCCTTGTCAGATAGATGATTTGCAAATATTTTCTCCCATTCCATCCCATAACTGATTTTAATACTTCAAACTCAGTCTCTGTAGCCTATGTTTTGGGAATGGAACTGTGTTAATACAAACTCCAGTCCTGCTTCCTGCTGGTGCGGAGTTTCTTTCCACCCATAGCTGCCCATTCAAAGAGGATTTGTCTCACCCATATGAAAACCTTGCCAAATACATGGCCACACATCCTTGTGAATGACAGTGCCTTTCCCAGAGTCCCAATGCCACACTCCCACGTGGGACTCTAGTCCCCAGCTCTGACCTCTTTGCCTTAGGTGACAGACTTCAGAAAGGCCAAGGAGGTGGCTGCTGGGAGCCTGAGTAGGGGCAGCGGACAGTATCCCCCTACAACAGCAACTATGGCCCAGAAAGCAAGGCCATGGGAGACAGGAGACGAGACTGGAGACCGCTCTGTATCCCCACGACCACCGGCTTTCACGTACCACACATGCTTCTAACTGTACCTCCGACCCTCTCCAAGATGCATCTTCCGCTTAAGTTGCAAGGGACAAGATGAAAGCCACTTCAAGATGCGTGGCCAGGGCTTCCATGAAGACACCCGCCATAGATACCTACTACTCAGCCCCAGGGTGACAGACCCTAATGGGGAGAGGGATCGCAAACCACGAGCCTCTCCTCTCAGGTCGGGGGTGAGGGGCGTGCTCTGGAAGAGGTGAGTGATTTCTTTTTCAAGGTAGACAGATACCTAAAGACCCTCTAACCGCCCCGCTCCTCCTCCTCCAAGAGCAACATGCACGGCTCTTCCTCAAATGCAGTGCAGGGCCTGCTCCCCCAAACCCCTGCCACTGCCGGGGCTCAGCCTGTCCCTGGGACTCAAGAGCTATGTCCAGCCTTTGTGAGGTCACTCACAAAAACATTAAGTAAGTCCATCCCCTTTGACCCAGCAACCTCTCTTCTAGAAGTGTAAGAAAATAACCAGATATGATTCATGTACGAGGTCATGACTTAGGACAGGCACAAGCTGCCAACTGTCTACGCCCATGACTGGGGAAAAGTTAAATACAACACATGTGATATGTCACATAATGAAACATACAATGTCCACACAGAAATAATTACATGAAAAAATGCTCACATTTAACTACATCAAGTTAAAATAAAAAAGGAAATAGACCCCAGAAGTGTGACCCCAGTCTGGTTTGGTTTACACACACACACACACACACACAATTTTCAAACAAGAGAACGAATTTAGAAAAAAAAGTCTAAAATGAGAATAATGGCTGGGTGCAGTGGCTCACACCTGTAATCCCAGCACTTTGGGAGGCTGAGGCGGGCAGATCACTTCAGGTGAGGAGTTCGAAACCAGCCTAGCTAACATGGTGAAACTGCATCTCTACTAAAAATACAAAAAAATTAGCCAGGCATGGTGGCGGGCGCCTGTAATCCCAGCTACTTGGAAGGCTGAGGCAGGACAATCACTTGAACCCAGGCGGCGGAGGTTTCAGTGAGCTGAGATCACGCCACTGCAGTCCAGCCTGGGCAACAGAGTAAGACTCTGTCTCAAATAAATAAATAAATAAGATAAAATAAAAAGTAAAATAAAATGAGAATAGTGATTATTCTTAGAGTGTAGAACAACAGGTTATTTTATTTTCTTCTACTTTTCTAGATTGTCCAGATTTTCTATAAAGAACATGGATTGCTATTAAAATCAGAAGAAAATGAAAAACAAATGTTTGAGAAGACAGGGCTGGGCAGGTCTGAGAGAGGGGCTGGCAGTAGACCAGGAGGCGTGATCTGGAAGGGGCCTTGCTGCCCGACTGTCTGCATTTTCAAGGAAAACTGACATCAGGATTGGTTTTTTTTCCTGTTATTTATTATTATTTTTTTCTAAGTGAAAAGTCCAGATTTCTTAATGTTGGCAACAAATTGAAGAAAAAAAAAATTAAACACTGGGAGCCAAATAGCCTGCAGCCACTGTCTGCTACCCATGATTTAGACTTGAAATTCTCCCATCAAGTGCTCCATGTAATTTTGGTCTTGATACTCTGTCAAAAAACAAAGGCATCTTCATTTTTAATCATAGCAATGCTTTATTGTAGAGAAACACGGTGGAAATTTAAGTCTCACAAGCCTCAAAACTAATAAAAAGTCCCAAACACATGTTTGTATCTAAAACAAAGTATCTAAAAACAAATGCAAAGGCCCTCTTCCATTATCAAATCTACAAACTGAAAAAGAAAAAGAAATCATCCCCGATTTCACCTTTTTCTAACAGGAATATTCACATGTACCCTAACCTATGTTTCTTTTACTAAAACCAACCTCTAGGCTGGGCGTGATGGCTTACACCTATAATTCCAGCACTTTGGGAGGCTAGGTGGGCGGATCACCTGAGGTCAGGAGTTCGAGACCAGCCTGGCCAACATGGTGAAAAGCTGTCTCTACTAAAAATATAAAAATCAGCCGGGCGTAGTGGTGGGTGCCTGTAATCCCAGCTACTCAGGAGTCTGAGGCAGGAGAATCGCTTGAACCCACGAGGCGGAGGCTGCAGTGAGCCGCAGGTTGCAATGAGCCGAAAGTTGCAGTCAGCTGAGATCACGCCACTGCACTCCAGCCTGGATGACAGAGCGAGACTCTGTCTCAAAATAAATAAATAAATAAATAAAAAATAAAACCAACCTTTATCCCTGAGAAAATATCTATAAAATGCTTTTTGAAAAGAAGACAAAGTGAAACAGGTTAGTTTATCAAATGAAACTCTATCAAAGGTTTTTTTTTTTAATGCAATAACGTTTTATCCCATTTTTAGAAGCATCTCCTCTGAAAATCAGTAAACGTACTTCCTTGTTCAAGGCCAAGGAGCCCATAAATCAGCATCAAGCCTAAGTCAATACATCAGCCGTGACTCTCACAACAAGCTTCTTGTTTAGCTCTAGGGTGTAATGTTTGCTGAATGCTGAGGGTAGGGCCAACTTCCTGACATGTGACCTGTGCGCTCACATCAAGCCCGTTCTCAGAAAGGCACTTCATTTGATGCTCTGCGGTTGCCATCTTGAAATTCTTAATACTTTTTAAATAAAGGGTCTCACATTTTCATTTTGCACTGGGTCTTGCAAATTGTGTAGCCTGCTCTGGTGGATTGCTCCATTAATTACAGGTAACTTAATGTTCGTAATTTATAACTACTGGAGGAACAGATCAATGTGATTTAGAGATAACTCTCAAACCTCAGTTTAGCACCTGTTTCTATTAAGCAAATACTGTTACAACGGACATTTAAAAACAAATAAGAAACGCCAGTGTGATGGCTCATGTCTGTAATCCCAGCACTTTGGGAGGTTGAGGTGGGTGGATCACTTGAGCCCAGGAGTTCGAGGCCAGCCTGGGCAACATGGCAAAACCCCATCTCTTCAAAAAATTAAAAATTAGCTGGGTACAGCAGTGTGCGCCCATAGTCCCAGCTACTTGGGAGGCTGAAGTAGGAGGATCTCTTGAGCCAGGAAATTGTGGCTGCATTGAGCCATGATCATGCCACTGCACTCCAGCCTGGGGGGCAGAGTGAGACCTTGTCTCAGAAAAAAAAAAAAGAAGTTATCTGAACCGGGTGGGGTGGTGCACACTTGTAATCCCAGCTACACAGAAGGCTGAGGTATAAGAATTGCTTGAACCTGGGAGGCGGAGGTCCAGTGAGCCAAGATCGTGCCACTGCATTTCAGCCTGGGTGACGGAGACTTTGTCTCAAAAAAAAAAAAAAAAAGAAAAAGAAAAAGAAAAACAAGTTACCTGGAAACCTACTCCTCTAACAAATCAATTGCCTGTCATTTTTCCACATTACTTTTCTATTCTTTTTTTTTTTTTTTTGAGATGGAGTCTCGCTCTGTCGCCCAGCCTGGAGTGCAGTGGCACGATCTCGGTTCACTGCAAGCTCTGCCTCCCGGGTTCACGCCATTCTCCTGCCTCAGCCTCCCAAGTAGCTGGGACTACAGGCGCCCGCCACTACACCCAGCTAATTTTTTGTATTTTTAGTAGAGACAGGGTTTCAGCGTGTTAGCCAGGATGGTCTCGATCTCCTCACCGCGTGATCCGCCCGTCTTGGCCTCCCAAAGTGCTGGGATTACAGGCGTGAGCCACCATGCCTGGCCTACTTTTCTATTCTTTTACAGGTGTGAGCCACCATGATCGGCCCCTTTCTATTCTTGACAATAAATACATACCACTTGCAACTTTTCAGTATAAAAGTGAATAAAAAATTTTTTTAAGTAACAAAAATAAGAAATAAAAAATACAAATACATGCCAAAGTTTACAGAGTTGCAATTTCTACCAGATGACATCTAATTATCCTTTCTATTGGCTGTCTGTGGTTTAGTGTTCAAGCGTAAGTTAGCAGGCTAAAATTGGTCACTTTCCTACTGATGGATATGAATATACACTTCCATGTATCTCTTCATGATTATAGTTTTTGTCTCTCTTTTTTTTGATGGGGGGTTGAATTATCTGTGTAGGATAAAACTACTATGAAGGCTGGGCACGGTGGCTCATGCCTGCAATCCCAGCACTTTGGGAGGCCCAGGCGGGCAAATCACTTGAGGATGGGGCCAGGAATTTGAGACCAGCCTGGCCAACATGGCAAAACCCCATCTCTACTAAAAATATACCTATTAGCCAGCCATGGTAGCTCATGCCTGTAGTCCCAGCTACTCAGGAGGCATGAGAATCACTTGAACCCAGGAGGTGGAAGTTGCAGTGAGCTGAGATCATGCCATTGCCCTCCAGCCTGGGCGATAGAGGGAAACTCTGTTTCAAAACAACAACAACAAACAGACACACATGCACACGTGCACACACACACACACATTGGAAAACTACTATGGACATTTCCATGACTTCAAATGTCTGGTAGAATTCCTCTTTGAAAGGGCTATGCTAATTGATTCTGCAAACAGCATCAGGTGAACACATATGAACCAGTCCCATCTCACAAGCACTGGACATCATCATGTCTTTACATTTGGTTTACCAAATAGTACAAAATGACTTAGCCAATAACTTCACCTTACTCTTCAATTAACCTACTTAACAACGTAAACAAAAAATAACAAAGGATGTGGACTTTGCCCTCTTTCTATATGTATTTATATTGCAAATCAAGTGATGGCCAATTCTGCAAAAGCTTGAAGAGGCAAGAGACAGATGAAAGAGCCAGGATAATATGCAAAATGGAAAACCAGTTGAGAAACTCAGAATTCATTGTAATTAACCAAACAAATTTCTGATCAGGCCATATTTGGTCTATAAGGTTAAATCAATCCGATTTTTAAGCCCGAAGATGAAGACTAAAAGCTGCCTCCTGTTCTTCCATGGTGGAAGCCTATTTTTACAACCTTTCTCCTGAAACCAGCGAAAGAATGAACTTTCCACCAAAGCAAGAACCCGTGTGGTTAGACAGCGGAGTCCTGACTGCCAGTGTAGTTTAAGCCTTCAGATGAGTGGGAGGCTGTGAAACCTCTGTCCTCAGAGATTTTACAAGCTCCAAGAACGATGTGTTTCCCACGGGTTTGATAACAAACCCTGCACAGAGGCAGGGACTAGTATGTGGCCCCAGGGTTCCGCACGATGCCCCCACAGCTCCCAGCAAGGATCCAACAGAAATACCGGCTTACTATTTAAACTGCACTTGGTAGACAACAGGCCTCGTGCTATTGCTCAGGGCCACTGGCTCCCAACTCAGGACCTGCTCTGCGTTGTACAGGCGAATCTTCGGGTGCTGAGGAGCGGGCAGCTGGGAAAGAGGGTCTTGAGGGGGACAGAGAAAAAGAAGAGGGAGGAAGGGAGGAGAGAGAGGGAAATAATTACAAAAATGTTTCAATGTCCATTATCTAAGTCATTCATACAACTCAGTTTTTGTCAAAGTGCAGAAATGGCATTACCAGGTCCCCCTGGGCATGGCCCCACACCCCCGACTTTTGGCTACAAAGATGGCCCTACTGGTACAGGCAGCACAAAAAGAAAAGAGGCGCCTGGGGCAGCCTTTCCACCTGCAGGTCCCAGTTGTTACGAACAGGTCCTGGGCCCTGGAGTCTGGCCGGACTGGGGTCCCAGTTCTACCATTAGTAACTGCATTAGGCTCGGGGCAGGTCACTTCACCTGTCTGAGCTTGAGTTTTCTTTTTCAGGAATAAGGGGTCAATAATGATACACCCACAGGGCTGTGGCGAAGATTAACGTGGTGATCATGTGACACGCGTTAGCTTCAGATTTAGTACCAAGGAAGTGTCTGGTAAATGTCCGCAAATACGTGCACACGTGCACACACTACACACGCAAAAACACACAAACATCCTAAATCAGGTACGCAAAGCCCAAGCTGCAGGGGAGGGCAAGGAACGCCGACTTCTGGGCACCATCAGAGTTGTCGTCTCTCAAGGACCCCCAGCATCGCAATCACAGGGGTGCTGGTTAAAGTGCAGGTCCTGAGGCCCCCAGGAAATCTGCATTTTAAACAAGCTTTCCAGCTGCTTCTCACACACATTAAAGTTAGAGGACAACACGGCCCGAGCTCAGTGGCTCACACCTATAATCCCAGCACTGTGGGAGGCCAAGGAAGGCAGATCACTCGAGGTCAGGAGTTTGAGACCAGTGTGGCCAACATGGCAAAACTCTGTCTCTACTAAAAATATAAAAGTTAGCCAGGTGCGGTGGTGAGCGCCTGTAATCCCAGCTACTCAGGAGGCTGAGGCAGGAGAATCGCTTGAACCCAGGAGGCAGAGGTTGCAGGGAGCTGAGATCGCACCATTGCACTCCAGTCTGGGCGACAGAGAGAGACTCTGTCTCCAAAAAAAAAAAAAAAAAAAAAAAGGTTAGGGGGCAATAAACAGAGAAAGAATATACTCCCCCGGAAACACCACCAATATCAGAATCCCTCTCTTTGGGGTGACCTGGAAGAAACAACCACAACCTCTCCCTTCCCCAAGCAGGTACTTCACAGGGAGCCTTCGGGGACCTAGAAGAAACTGCCACAACTCCTCCCTTTCCCAAGCAGGTACTTCACAGGGAGCCCTTTGTCTTAGAAAGAAAACATAATCAAGATAAGGCTTTTGACCAAAAAGATTAATAAGAAATGCCCAGAAGGTGGAAGAAAGGTTTGAAAAACATGCTGTTCCAAAATTCAAAGCAGGAAATTCAAGCCACACATTTTCGGTAAATGCGCTCAACCTCAAAGAGATCAGCTGACAGCCTGACCACTGGCTCTTCTTCTGAAAGATGAATTGCCAAGTCTGCGGCCATTTGTTTAGTTATAGGATGCCCCTCCCCTCCACACCTATGAGCTCTGGGTGACCTTCACCCAACCAGCTAACAACACTTCTCCTGACACACAGCAGGCCTCATGACATCCTGGGCCGAAGGCAGACAGGTAAAGCTGCGTGGCAAGAGGCAGGCCCACCAGGTGTGCTGTGGCTGCTATGACCTAGCAATGCCCAAAGCCAGTTGGGGACTGGATGCTTCCAGAGGGGGGTGGTGGCAGGTCAATGCTCCCTCACAGTCACACAGAGAGGCCTGCATGACAGTCACACAGACAGATCTGAATAGCATCCGAACTATGCAGAGAAATTTCCACAATGCTGCCTTCACATTAAGCTAATAATTAACCCCAGGGAAACTGACGCCCAGACATCAAAGCCAGAAATGAAACACAGATCCTACACAGGCTTCTTCCAAACCTGGAGCAAGTCAAGATAACAGAGGCAGCTGTTTGAATAGATTTATTGGAGAGTCTAAGGCAGCTCTCCGGACCAAACTGTAAATGAGACAAGATAGAAATAAACTCCTGGCCGGGCACAGTGGCTCATGCCTGAAATCCCAGCACTTTGGGACGCTGAGGTGGTGGATCACCTGAGGTCAGGAGTTCGAGGCCAGCCTGGCCAACATGGTGAAACCCTGTCTCTACTAAAAATAGAAAAATTAGCCAGGCATGGTGGCACACACCTGTAGTCCCAGCGACCTGGGAGGCTGAGGCAGGAGAATCGCTTGAACCCGGGAGGCGGAGGTTGCAGCAAGCCAAGATTGCACCACTGCGCTCCAGCCTGGGCGACAGAGCGGCACTCCGTCTCAAAAATAAATAAATAAATAAATGCTCTGGTACCACAGTCCTCATTAAATAGAATTTAGGAGACAGGCCTTGACGGTATCGGGGACCTCACAGCTTGATTAGACTTAGAAAGCACATTTTTGGCCTCTGACTTTCTAGTTGAAACAAAATTAGTTACTCATAGACTTAGTGCAATACCACACATAGGCACATAACCCAAACCTATGTAAGCACAAAGAAAATCAAACACTTTGAGTTGGTCTGGTCGGATTATCTCCGACCTTCCTGTTACAGCAATAAATTCTCTTTCTTCCTAGTTTGTCTGCTTCTTGTTATTGGGCCATGAGAAAACGCAGCTGGACCCGGCTCTTTCCAGGAACAGGGTGAGTGTCTGCTTAGGGTTGGGCATTCAAAGAATCTGACAACTCCTTTTATTTCCTGTATTAGGTTCTTCTTATCACTGTAACACATTATCACTAACCTAGTGACTCCACACAACCCAGATTTAGCTGGGCGTGGTGGTGCGCACCTGTAGTCCCAGCTGCTCAAGGGGCTGAGGCGGGAGGATCACTGGAGCCCAGGAGTTCGAGGCTGTAGTGCATGTGCTATGATCATGCCTGTGAATAATCATTGCACTCTAGCCTGGCCAACATAGCGAGATCCCCCCATCTCTAAAAATAAATAAATTTTAAAAAATCACATCTAAATTTATTTTCTTATAGTTCTGCTGGTCAGAAGTTTAAAGTCAGTCTCACTGACTAAAGTCAAGTTATCAGCAGGGCTGGGGTCCTTCTCGAGCCTCCAGGGAGAATCCATTTCCTTGCCTTTCCCAGCTTCTAGAGGCCACTCCCATTCTTTGGCTCAGGGCACCTTCCTCCAGCAAGGTTGGCCGCATCCTTCTTGTCTCCCTGGTACTGAACCTTCTGCCTCTGCTCCATCTTTTGGGGACCCTGTGGTGGTATAAGGCCACTTGGCC
This sequence comes from Homo sapiens, assembly GCF_000001405.40. Lineage (NCBI taxonomy): Eukaryota > Metazoa > Chordata > Mammalia > Primates > Hominidae > Homo > Homo sapiens. Next base: position 33,411,619 of record NC_000021.9, on the reverse strand, counting down.
CAACAATGCAAGACAATCTCCCCACATCAGGGCTCTTAACTTACTCACATCTGCGGAGTCCCTTTTGTACGTCAGGCAGCACATTCCCAGGTTCACGGACTCTGAGGATGAGGGCGTGGACATCTTTGGGGACCATTATTCCGCCCTCCACACGCCTGTTCACCATCTCCCATCTCTGGGGAGGAACCAACAGGAATAGTCTCTTCTTCCCGACTTCCCTTTCCGGGCACCTCTAGTTCCCCAGTCTAAGCATTCAGTTCAGAAAGGAAGCACCAAGGGGCTCCGGGGTGGGTGGCGAGGGGACAAGGAAGGGCTTCCACCCCAAGCGACGCGTGGAACAGCAAAAGGGCATCACTGTATAAGTCGGGGTTCCCATGCCAGCCTTCCATTTCCTTCATTTTCCGTTTCACTGAGGTGTAAGAGATGGCCCAAGCAACATTGTTCTGCCTTATATCCGGGTTTCCTATCATCCCCTATCTTTTCACATTTATAGAAGAAAATCAGTCTCAGAACTGCAGACGCCACAGGGAAGTGCCAAGGATTGCACATCTGTGATAAGACTGTCCTTTTTGTAGGCCAGGGGGCCTGTCCTTGGGCAGCCCAGCCTCTGTGTTCCAGGCCACATGGCCCCCGATGGGAAACACCAGGGCTGGAAGGCTGGGGAGAAGGAGCAGTGGTTGTGAGATGCAGGTTTCATACAGGTTACACCCAGATACTCTTGTCTTACCATGAGTAGCTGCTGAATCATTGCACCATTCTTGGTAGGTCTCCAAAGTTAGCTGTGCTGAGCATAAATTTTAGATTATGAGTTATGAATTTTAAAAATACAACATGTAAAAAGTTATTCTAATTGGATGGGCGTGGTGGCTCACGCCTGTAATCCCAGCACTTAGGGAGGCTGAGGTGGGCGGATCACCTGAGTTTGGGAGTTTGAAACCAGCCTGGCCAACATGGTGAAACCCCGTCTCTACTAAAAATACAACAATTAGCCAGGCATAGTGGTGCACACCTGCATTTCCAGCTACTTGGGAGGCTGAAGCACAAGAATCATTTGAACCCGGCAGTGGAGGTTGCAATGAGCTGAGATCACGCCACTGCACTCCAGCTTGGGCGACAAGAGCGAGACTCTGTCTCAAAAAAAAAAAAATTGTTGTAGGCTGGCCGCAGTGGCTCACGCCTGTAATCTCAGCACTTTGGGAGGCCAAGGTGGGTGGATCATGAGGTCAGGAGTTCAAGACCAGCCTGGCCAAGATGGTGAAACCCCATCTTTACTAAAAATATAAAAATTAGCCAGGCATGGTGGTGGGTGCCTGTAATTCAAGCTACTTGGGAGGCTGAGCCAGAGAATTTACTTGAACCTGGGAGGTGGAGGCTGCAGTGAGCCGAGATTGCACCACTGCACTCCAGCTTGGGTGACAGAGAGAGACTCTGTCTCAAAAAAAAAAAAAAAAAATTATTGTAATTAAGACAATGAACTTGCTGAACCTTCTTGCCTCTTGAGAACCTCCTGTATAATACATCTGTAATATATCTGTAACTGCTTTTAATAAACTTAAACTTCCCCGAAGGCAAGGAACTTACTGGTATGTTCGCCCATAAAATGGACCCTGCTACCAACAAAAAAAAATGAAGCTTATTGAACTGGACTAATGCGTTAATGGTCGAACCCCAAATCTTACAATACATTAGAGAGGGAATTCCTGAGAGGGAATTCTTTAAAGAAGGAAATACACGTGCTTATAGAGGGCATTTTGGCTCAACTGTCAAAATTTCATTTTCAAAACCTCACTTAGGAAACCAAGGGACATGTGTGAGAGCAAGAGGAAAAAATAACGACACATTTTCACATATAAGCATGACCTGAGCACTCTCCCTAGGCAGAGTCTCAAGCGCCATACCTAATTCAGAAATCAGCCATTTAATCAAACTTCTGTAACCATCTGAGTGCATACTGTCTAGTTCTTTACAGAAAAACTTTGCCGATTCCTGGCATGGAGGGTAGAGTTCAGACTTGAGTAAGCTGAAAATCCTTCAAGATCTTATCCCAGACCAATCACCACCACTCGCTAAAATACCATAAACTCTATCCTATTTTATTTTGGACCTACATAATTTTGCATATTGCTTTTTCTTTTTTTCTTTTGAGACAGAGTCTCACTCTGTCCCCCAGGCTGGAGTGCAGTGTCGCAGTGGCGTGATCTCGGCTTACTGCAACCTCCACCTCCCAGGTTCAAGCAATTCTCCTGCCTCAGCCTCCCGAGTAGCTGGGATTACAGGCACCTGCTACCACGCCTGGCTATTTTTTTGTGCTTTTAGGAGAGACGAGGTTTCACCATTATTAGCCAGGATGGTCTTGATCTCCTGACCTCCTGATCTGCCTGCCTTGGCCTCCCACAGTGCTGGGATTACAGGTGTGAGCCACTGAGCCCGGCCTCTTTTTTTTTTGAGACAGTCTTGTTCTGTCACCCAGGCTAGAGTGTAGTGGCACGATCTAGGCTCACTGTAACCTCCACTTCCTGGGTTCAAGCGATTCTCCTGCCTCAGCCTCCTGAGTAGCTGGGATTACAGGCACCCGCCACTGTGCCCAGCTAATTTTTGTATTTTTAGTAGAGACAGCGTTTCACCATCTTGGCCAGGCTGGTCTCGAACTCCTGACCTAGTGATCCACCTGCCTCGGCCTCCCAAAGTGCTGGGATTACAGGCGTGAGCCACCACACCTGGCCTTTTCTTCTTTTCTTTAATCTGAAACTCCATGCTTCAAAACCCAGCTCAGTTTGTTCTTCCTCTATTGGACTTTCTTCAACTCTTCCTGGCAAGTAGTGTCCTATAACATTTAAAAATATTTCTATTCTAGCACTTTTGAAAAATCATGGCACATAGTGTATGTGTATCTATTATAGTACACATGGTAATACAGACATTCTGACAAGGTCTCTAAGTAGACTATTCTCTACATTCATTGTCTTAATCATTTTTATACACTCAGGGCCAAACACTAGGACCATTTAACAACCAGTGAAGAGGTGAATGAACAACTCTGCCTTCCTGACCCATCCCAACACCTTTGATCTACCTATCCCAGATCCAGGCATTTCAGACTTTATGCATATTTAGGAATAGGAGGGGCTGGGTGCGGTGGCTCATGCCTGTAATCCCAGCACTTTGGGAGGTTGAGGCAGGCAGATCACTTAAGGTCAGGAGTTCGAGACCAGCCTGACCAACGTGGTGAAACCCTGTCTCTACTAAAAATACAAAAATTAGCCAGGTGCGGTGGTGCATACTGTAATCACAGTTACTTGGGAGGCTGAGGCAGGAGAATCACTTGAACCCGGGAGGTGGAGGTTGCAGTGAGTCAAGACCATGCCACTGCACTCCAGCTGGGCAACAAGAGCAAAACTCCATATCAAACAAACAAACAAAAAGAATAGGAGGATATCCTGGGTCTTAACAGCATAGTTTGATTAACACTTATCACACACAGATAATAAAATAAAATATAATTAACATTAATCATTTAATCTTGATAATTAAGGACTGACCCTTTAGGATCTTTCTATTGGGGGCGGGGACATTATGATGAAAGTCAATTAGGTGAACATCATTGATCCCACCTCCATCACCTTGCAGATGAGAAATAAAAAGGCATTTTCTGATTCCTCAGCCATAACCAGGAAATTGTTCTCTTCAAGAAATACTAGGCCAGGCATGGTAGCTCATGCCTGTAATCCCAACACTTTGGGAGGCTGAGGCTGGCGGGGGTTGGCGGGGGGGGGTGCGGTGGGGATCACTTGAGGTCAGGAGTTCGAGACCAGCCTAGCCAACGTGGTGAAACCCCGTCCCTACTAAAAATATAAAAATTAGCAAAGCATGGTGGCAGGTGCCTATAGTCCCAGCTACTTGGGAGGCTGAGACAGGAGAATCGCTTGAACCTGGGAGATAGAGGTTGCAGTGAGCCGAGATAGCGCCACTGCATTCCCACCTGGGCATCAGGGCGAGACTCCGTCTCAAAAACAACAACAACAACTGGACATCAAGTTATTGACCTAGATTATTTGGCTCTTCCTATCAAGAAAGGTTTGACTTTCCAGGAAGTAAACTAGAGATATAACCTAGTTCGAAAGAATGGCTGAGAAAATTAAGAGAGGTAATGTATATAAAGCACTTGGCATCTCGTCTGACCAATAAATGTTACTATCATGATCGTTTATAAAGGTGGCAAAAGCATTCCAGCTACATGATATTTTCACTTGCTGAGATTATGAACACTCAGGAGCTTACCCAGTGGACATTCACATGCAATGGTTTTTAAGTTGCTGGGGACTTACTGTCTTTCTCGGTGGTCTCTAAGCATATGAGAAGCTCTGGCTGTTCAAGTCAGCAAATAATGATAAAAAATTCTGTGGCACAGTACATATCCAATCCCCTGAAAAAGTCAGCAGCACCTGCTACAATTACAAATAGAAGCCTTAATTCCTCAACACTCAGGTAACTAACTGGTCAGTTGATTTACTGCACTTGTGCTGTTGGTTACATTTTTCTATCTAGCGCAAACGGCCACTACTTAACAGCTCATGGCTACAAATTGCCACAGGTCCCATATTTTACATATTCTACTCTTACAGAACTCTAAGGGATAGATACTATGTCTCCCTTTAAAAAATCTGTTTCCGGAGCCAGGCTGGGTGGTTCACATCTATAATCCTAGCACTTTGGGAGGCTGAGGCGGGTGGATCTCTTGACCCCAGGAGTTCAAAACCAGCCTGGGAAACACGGTGAAACCTCATCTCTACAAAAAAATACAAAAATTAGCCAGGTATGATGGCGTGCACGTGTAGTCCCAGCTACTCAGGAGGCTGAGGTGGGAGGATGGCTTGAGCCCAAGAGGTTGAGACTGCAGTGAGCTGTGATCATGCCACTGCACTGCAGCCTGGGCGATGGAGAGAGATACTATCTCAAAAAAAAAAAAAAAAAGTTTCCAACACTTTTTTTTTTCTCTGACCATAAAAGCAATTTCAAAATTACACCGGTAAGTTATGGGAAAGTGTGAAAACCTTTCTACCACCCATTTGCCATATAATCATTGTGAATATTTTCACTTTGTGTTTTGACTAAAAGAGTGTTTCTTTTGAAGATATCCATTAGGTTTGTTTTTAAGCTGTTTAATGTGAAAATGTTCAAATAGTTGCAAAATAGAGATTAGTTTAAAGCACTACACTACTTTTCTTTTCTTTTTTTTTCTTTTTTTGAGACAGAGTCTTGCTCTGTCACCCAGGCTGGAGTGCAGTTGCATGATTTCGGCTCACTGCAACCTCCCCTCCCAGGTTCAAGTGATTCTCCTGCCTCAGCCTCCCAGGTAGCTGGGATTACAGGCGCCAACCACCACGCCCGGGTAATTTTCGTAGTTTTAGTAAAGAAGGGGTTTTTAACATGTTGGCCACACTGGTCTCTGGAACTTCTGACCTCAGGTGATCTGCTCACCTCTGCCTCCCAAAGTAATGGGATTACAGGCATGAGCCACCGTGCCCAGCTGCTACTACTTTTCAAAGGATCAATGGAGCCAGTTTTTTTATTTGTTTGTTTTTGTTTTTTTGAGATAGAGTCTTGCTCTTGTCGCCCAGGCTGGAGTGCAGTGGTGTGATCTCAGCTTACTGCACCTCTGCCTCCTGAGTTTAAGTGATTCTTCGGCTTCAGCCTCCTGAGTAGCTGGGACACAGGTGTGTACCATCACGCCCCCTAATTTTTGTATTTTTGGTAGAGACGGGGTTTCATCATTGTTGACCAGCCTGGTCTTGAACTCCTGACCTCAGGTGATCCGCCCGCCTCAGCCTCCCAAAGTGCTGGGATTACAGGTGTGAGCCACCGAGCCTGGCCTCACTTTTTAAAATTTTTTTATTTTGCAACATATCACATAGACCAAAACTTTTGTAGAATACAATTAAAGTTAATCATTAACAAGATGGACAGGTAGCTGGATGTTGTGGCAATGTCAGACTATAGTTTCTAAATACATCTTTCAACCTCTGGACTCATCACAGGTAAGTCACAAACAGTCCACAGATCACCACTAGTCACTCCTCTCTGGCATGAAGTCACTCGCCTGCTGATCCCACACTAGGACAATCATCAACTCTCATTAGGAGGAGGCCTAGGGAGGAGGCATATGCAGATTGCTCAAGACGTGAAGCCAAGTGGAAGCAGAGTCAGGATTTGAACCCATCTGTCTGACTCCCATGGAAAAGCAGTTAATAATTTCCTCAAGTGCAAGGCACCCCAGATCAAGGAGATACGGAACTTATGGGCCTTTGCAAGGAATGCCGGTAGAAAAAACAAACCCACAACACAAGGTTATAGCTTCGAATGGGAAGAATCTTCTAAATTCTCGAGACTCCTATGATATCACTCTCCCCAGGGGAAAGAACCCAGCAAAACAAAAGCAGATACATACACAAGAATGTTCTAGCCACACATTTGTCATTAAGGTCTTTTCCTCTTTTTCTTTTTTTTTTTTTTTTTTTTCTGAGACAGAGTCTTGCTCTGTCGCCCAGGCGGGAGTGCAGTGGTGAGATCTCAGCTCTCGGGTTCAAGTGATTCTCCCGCCTCGGCCTCCTGAGTAGTTGGGATTACAGGCGGGCGCTACCACGCCCAGCTATGTATTTTTAGCACAGACGGGGGTTTCACCATGTTGGTCAAGCTGGTCTCGAACTCCTGACCTCATGATGCTGCCTCAGCCTCCCAAAGTGCTGGGATTACAGGCGTGAGCCACCAAGCCTGGGTTTCTTTTGGTTTTTATGTTTGGCTCATAAGCGTGGTCAGCTGGTGTCAGAGGTTAAGGAGGCCGCCAGGTAAGAAGCTCTCTGGGTAGGGACAGAACCGGTTTTAAAAGCCTGGCTCAGCTGGGCACGGTGCCTCAAGCCTGTAATCCCAGCGCTTTCAGAGGCCAAGGCGGGTGGATTGCTGGAGCTCAGGAGTACAAGAACAGCCTGGGCAACACAGTGAGACCTCCTCTCTACAAAAAATACAAAAATTGGCCAGGCGTGGCCAATAATACCACCTTCTTGGGAGGCTGACGTGGGAGGATCGCTTGAGCACGGGAGGCGGAGGCTGCAGTAGCTGAGATGCTGCCCACTGCACTCCAGCCTGGGCGACAGAGCGACACCCTGTCTCAAACAACAATAAAATAAATAAATGCCTGGCTCAGTTGACACTCTTCCTCTTCCGCCCCAACACTGATGGGACCCGGACAGTTCTGAGCCCTGCCTGAATGCTGCTGCCCCATCTCTATGACCGCGGGAACTGTCTAGATTTCACACCCAGTGTCAAACATGCCCTCGGCCAAAGTCGGAATTGAGTCTGGGTCACCCGTCCAAGACGCTGGTCCCTGCTCCACCGCTGCTACTACAAAGGGACTGAGTCTAGCTTCCAGCCAGGCCTTCGGGAGGCACTCCAGGCGGGGACTAAGCGCAGTCTCGCCAGGCTGCAGAACCAGTGGCCAGCAAAGGCGGCCCCCGCCGGAGCCCTGGATTCAATTTGCTGTTGTTCATTCCGAGAAATTCGGAGACTGGGGCCACGCTGGCTTTCCCGGCGCGGGCGCGCGGGTGGGGGAGGTGGCGCAGCCGAGGTTACCGGCTTCACGGAGGGGCACCGAGTGTCCTCTCCCGGAGAGGGGTGTCCCGGCGGCCAGGACGCCAGGAGGGGTGCCCCCCGTCTTCCTGCTGCTGCCCAGCTCCTGTCTGGAACTCCTGGCCGCCCATCCCAGCCCCGCTGCGGGCTCCCAGCGGGCCCCTCTAGCCCTGGGCACCCCGCAAGACCCCCACCTGGGGCACCCGCAGGTTCCCACCTGATCTGAGCACTCCGCATATCCCACCCACCAGGAGCACCCCGCAGATTCCCACCCACTCTGAGCACCCGGCAGATTCCCCCCACCCCACGATCCGGGAGTCCCCCAGCCCCCACATGCTGCGGCTGCGCCCGCGTCCCGCCGCGGAGGCCCAGGCCCGGCTCACCTGGCGGGGCCGCGGCGGCGGCGGCGAAGACTCCGAGCAGCAGCAGCAGCGACCACAGCAGCGTCGGTCGCATGGCCCCGGGCGCTCGGCGGCGGCTCAGGTCGCGGCCGGGGCCCCGCTCGGGGTCCGCGGAGCCGCTCACGTCGCCGCCCAAACCGCCATGGCGAGCGCAGGGCGCGCAGGGCCCGCCTCTTCCCGAGCAGCAGCGGGGCGTCCCGGTGGAGGGGATTCGGCTCGGCCGCCCGCGCCCCCGCCCCCGCCCCGTCCCGCCCCCGAGGCCACCGCCCCCGCGCGGGACTTTCCCGCTCCGGGAACCGCGGCCCTGGGGGGCCTCTGCGGCTGCAGCGCGGGGACCCCACGCAGCCGGCCTCCCAGAGCGCGGAGCCTCCCGGAACGTCCTGGAGACTGGAGCCCCGCGGGACGCCCACCTTCGGGGGCCGCGATCCTTCCGGAAGGGCCCCGCGAGACCCCGGCCCAGACCCCCGGGCTTTCCCTGGAGCCCCCACCCCTCCTGACCCCCCCCAACTCTCCTCTCGGGTGCTTGATCGCACAATTCGAGGATTCGCCCCTTTAGTCGAAATGTTTGCTTTAATAGCCCCCAAAGTACATATTAAGCTTTCAACTCTCCCCCGCCCCCCTCCCCTTTTTTTTGAGACGGAGTCACCAGGCTGGAGTGCAGTGGGGCGATCTCGGCTCACTGCAACCTCCGCCTCCAGTCAACCCCATTTTGAAAAGGGTTTTAAGGGGAAGGAGTTAGAAAGGGCCCAGTGAAGGAGGAGGTGGGGCTCTGGGGGTGGGGGGAATGGCCTCCGAGCAGGGGGAGGGAGAGACAGAAACTTCCAGCATTTCTAAATGGCGTGGGGTTTGCCCTGGAGCCGGCGGCGGTGCACGAGTAGGAAGTCCTTTAGCAGCTGGGCAGCCGCAGGCCCGCTCCCCAGCCCGAGCCTGCACCATGTCGTTTGACGCCTGTTGGGAGAGGGTTTTAAATCTGCCCTGTTCTTCCAAGATGCGTCATAAAGCTAGCGCAGCAAAGGAGGGACGCGGTGCAGGGAGACCAAGAATTTAAAAACAGGTCGTCCCGGGAGCCCACTGGACACGTTAGCAAAAATGGGTTTTGCAACATAGAGCTTTTCTTTTGCTCTTCCCACATTCTTGCATTTCCTCTTTGTAGAACTATTTTGAAATTGGCCACGCTCGTGAAAATACGTGATGAAATACCTCGCAGACAATTGAATTATGCATTGGATATTTCTAGATACAGAGATGTATTTATATGTTACACGAAAAAAGCGGGCGATAACTTGGAATCACTTCAAAAAGTATGCACTGATGCCAGGCGCGGTGGCTCACGCCTGTAATCTCAGCACTTTAGGAGGCCGAGGTGGGCGGATCACATGAGGCCAGGAGTTGGAGACCAGCCTGGCCAATATGGCTGAAACCCGTCTCTACTAAAAATACAAAAATTAGTCAGGCGTGGTGGCCGGCGCCTGTAATCCCAGCTACTTGGAGGGCTAAGACAGGAGAATCACTTGAACCCGGGAGGCGGAGGTTGTAGTGAGCGGAGATTGCGCCACTGCACCCCGGCCTGGGTGACAGACCGAGACTCCGTCTCAAAAAAAAAAAAAAAAAAAAAAAAAAAAAAAAAAAAAAAAGGCACTGAAAATGACAGGATTGCAAGAAGGATTCTGTTTTCAAACAAATAAATAAAATTACAAGAAAACGACTGGGTGAAAGATGCCAACATTCTAACAAGAAATCGGTTACAGGATCACACAAGTGTCATCCGCCTCAGGGGATGTAACCGAATGCTGGTTCAGTCGCTGGCTGCTTGCAGAGTCTAACAAGAGCAAGATGTGGTGGAAAGAAAGTGACTTTATTTCCAAAGCTAGCAAGGGGAAGTGGTTGGATTCCTATCCCCAAAGCAATCACGTTGAATTGTGGGGTATGGGGAGTGGGAAAGGCAAGGGTTATTTATTTTATTTATTTATTTATTTATTTATTTATTTATTTATTTATTTATTTGAGACAGAGTCTCCGTCACCCAGGCTGGAGTGCAGTGGTGTGATCTCCGCTCACTGCAAGCTCCGCCTTCTGGGTTCACACCATTCTCCTGCCTCAGCCTCCCGAGTAGCTGGGACTGCAGGCGCACGCCACCACACCCGGCTAATTTTTTGTGTTTTTTGTAGAGATGGGTTTTCACCGTGTTAGCCAGGTTGGTCTCGATCTCCTGACCTCGTGATCTGCCTGCCTCGGCCTCCCAAAGTGCTGGGATTACAGGCGTGAGCCACCGCGCCCGGCCAAGGCAAGGGTTTAAAACGGGAAAACGATGTGGAAGTCAGGCAAGGATTATGCTAAGTACACTGTCTGTTTGTCTTGTTCCGGTGGCTGTCTTGGGTCCTAGTCCACAGGAAGCCTGTGGTCTGGCATCATCTCAACAATGGCTGGATTCTTAATTAGACGCCTTGAGGTCACATGTGGAATTTTGCAGAAGAATCTCCAGGCTTGGTCTGTCTGTCTCAAGATTAGCGTCTGGAACCTCTAAGAAGGCACGTAACTAGACACGGGCATACAGTTAGATAAATGTGAAGGGAGTTTATACGGTGAAGAAGGGAGGGACATGGAGTCCATTTTAAGGCTAAGGGAAAAGGCTTCTGCAGTTTGTTTCAAGGTTACATCTTTGATGGCTGGGTGCGGTGGCTCACGCCTCTAATCCCAGCGCTTTGGGAGGCTGAGCCAGGTGGATCACCTGAGATCAGGAGTTCAAGACCAGCCTGGCCAACATGGTGAAACTCGTCTCTACTAAAAATACAAAAATTAGCCAGGCGTGGTGGCATGTGCCTGTAATCCCTGCTACTTGGGAGGCTGAGACAGGAGAATCACATGAACCCAGGAGGTGGAGGTTGCCGTGAGCTGAGATCATGCTGCTGCACTCTAGCCTGAGCCACAGAGCAAGACTCTGTCTCAAAAAAAAAAAAAAAATTGTAACCTGTATATCATTCTAAAGAAATACTTTTGGCCAGATGTGGTGGCTCACACCTGTAATTCCAGCACTTTGGGAGGCCGAGGTGGGTGGATCACCTGAGGTCAGGAGTTCAAGACCAGCCTGGCCAACATGGTGAAACCCCATCTCTACTAAAAATAGAAAAATTAGCCAGGCATAGTGGCAGGTGCCTGTAATCCCAGCTACTTGGGAGGCTGAGGCATGACAATTGCTTGAACCTGGGAGATGGAGGTTGCAGTGAGCTGAGACAGCACCACTGCACTCCAGCCTGAGTGCAGAGTAAGGCTCCATCTCAAAAAAAAAAAAAAAAGAAAAGAAAAAGAAATACTTTTGTGCCTAATTTTATAGTGAGTTGTGTATTTGTTTATAAAGAGGGCTCCATCTATTATATACACTTCAGCCCTACAAACCCTGAATCTGCACCATCCCTTTCCATTAATTCCTTACCTTGTAATCAGTTGATCTTCCTGAAGCATTTCTAATAGCCTAGAGGGACTCCTCTCACCTCCCTCAGGAGAGTGGGTGGGGGATGGCAGAAAGAAGCCAACATTTTTTGCTGGCCAGTGGTGCTTCTCTAGGTATTATAACACTCAGACCTCCCAGTTAGGCAGGCGATGGCTGTCCCATGGGGACACTAGCAGAGTTCAGTGACTTGGCCTGTGGTGGGTTTGCACTGCAGTAGGTCTGCTAAACTGTAACTGCATTTCCTAGAATTCCCCTCCCTGAAAAGTTCTGAGGTAACATGGGCAGGGAAGGATGTTTGTGTGTGTCTTGGTCCATTTTCTGTTGCTTATAACAGAATATCTGAAGCTGGGTAATTGATAAAGAAAAGGCATTTATTTCTTACATTTTGGGAGGCTGAGAAGTCCAAGGTCTAGGGACTAAATCTGGTGAGGGCCTTCTTGCTGGTGGAGATTCTCTGCAGAGTCATGAGGTGGTCAGGGCATCACATGGCAAGGGGGGCTGAGGGTGCTAAGGTGCTCGGATTTATCTTCCTCTTTTTTTTTTTTTTCTTTTGAGATGGAGTATCACTCTGTTGCCTAGGCTGGAGTGCAATGGTGCAATCTTGGCTCACTGCAACCTCTGCCTCCTGGGTTCAAGCAATTTTCCTGCCTCAGCCTCCCAAGTAGCTGGGATTACAGGCACCTGCCACCACACCCGGCTAATTTTTGTATTTTTAGTAGAGTTGGTGTTTCACCTGTTGCCCTGGTCTTGAACTACTGACCTCAAGTGATCCACCTGCCTCGGCCTCCCAAAGTGTTGGGATTACAGGAGTGAGCCACCATGCCCATCCCCTCTTTTATAAAGCCACCAGCCCCACTCCCATGATAACCATTGGTCCATGAACCCATTAGTCCATGAATGAATCCACCCATCCATGAGGGCAGGATCACCATAACCAATCACCTCTGAAAGGCCTCATTCCTCCATACTGCCATATTGGGAATCAAATTTCCAGCACGTGAAATTTGGGGACACATTCAAACCCTAGCAATGTGCGAGACTTGGAAGATGGAAGGAAAGGTGCAGCCATATTCCTTTACCCTTGGGAGGCTGGGGCAGGGCACAAGGCATCCATCTTTGCAGCTCCCGACCTGTGGCTTCTCTGCTGATGTCCTAGATGGCAGGGATGCAGACAGGCTCCAGGCTCCTCCAGCTCCCCGTGGATCTCATGTGGTCGTGTAAGCTGGAGGTGTGGAGATGGAGAGCAGGGTGAGGAGGGTGGCAGCTGAGCCTTAGATTTCAGCTTGTCCCTGCTTCCTCCATCTCTTGTCCACCTTCTCTTCCCGGCCTCCTGCCCTGAGGACTTCAGGCTCCAGCACCGGACAGGGGAAAATTGTCTCTCCTGGACTGTGCACACATCTCTCATGTTTATGTGAGGTCAAATCTCTGTAATATAACAACACACACACACACACACACACACACACACGCACACACACACACACACACATCACATCACATGATGGTTTTGCTTGTTGGATCAAAATCTGGCTGAGCATGCCCCAAATCACACAGCCAATGAGTGGCAGTGTGGGCTCCTAGCCAGGCCTGTCTAGTGCCAAAGCCCCCTGCATTTCACAGCAAACTTCTCATCATGCTGTTCAGTTTTCTCGTAATGAGACCCAGCTCTGTGCCCAGTCAAGCGCTCCACAGCTCCCCATGACCCGGCTATTCCATCAGTGAGTCTTTGAAATTGTACTTCGTGAAGGTCACATGTGCCCTACTTGTCTGCCTCTTCCTCTGCTGTTCACCCCACCTGTTTGCGCCTCTCCCTGCCTTCATCTACAACGCCTCCCCCAACCCCCACTCCTGCCATACCCACAGTCCAAATTCTACAACTTCTGGACTCCATTTCCTGAGAACTCTGTTGCCTTCTCTGACTACCATCTTCCACTGTTTGCTGCCATTTTGTGTCATCGTTGGTGTCCGTGGGGATTGACATAGCCAAAGGCAGGGCCGCTGACACCTGTGAGTGGGTAGGTGAGTGTCTTCCCTGGATTCAACAGAGCTGTAAGAGGTCCGAGCTCAAAGTAGGCCTTGATCATTACCAAGTGGGGCCCTGATATGTGACTTGGTGCCCCCTTGTTTCAAGAAATTCCAGGATCAAGGTCAGAGGAATTGGCATGTTAGCGAAAGGATGAATTCCCTTAGGTCTCCGGTGATGGGCTGGGTTTTTCTTGCTGTTTGTCATGGGCCACAGCCCCCTCCTTTCACCAGCCTACACTTGTTGCATTTCTACTTCCCCAGTGGGGCCATCATAAAACATCATTCCAGTAATGCCAAGTCTTCTCTAGTCTTTTGCCTCCTGTCTGGGACCCTCACAAGAGTAACTATTACACATACAGCATTCTATATTTAATTCCTCCTGAAAACAGGGAATGAATGATATCCTGATTTTTTTTTTTTTTTTTGAGACAGAGTCTTGCTCTGTCACCCAGGCTGGAGTGCAGTGGCACAATCTCGGCTCATTACAACCTCCGCCTCCTAGATTCAAGTGATTCTCGTGTCTCAGCTTCCCGAGTAGCTGGGATTACAGGCGCCCACCACCATGCCTGGCTAATTTTTGTATTTTTAGTAGAGACGGGGTTTCACCATGTTGGCCAAACTGGTCTTGAACCCTTAGCCTCATGTGATGTGCCCGCCTCAGCCTCCCAAAGTGCTGGGATTACAGGCGTGAGCCACTGCGCCCGGCCGATATCCTGAAATTTGTCAGGGAGAAGAGACAACAGGCAGAGAAAAGAAAATCTTCCAGTTCCTTTTTAACTCCTTGAAAAACAGGAGACTCCTACACTTTTTAAGTATACGAAGCTTTAATATTCCTGACTTTGGTATGTAGGAAAAGCACCCACAACCCCAGGGCCACAGCCCAGGGCCTGGGAAGCTGCCAGTAATAACTAGAAGGCCCAGGCCTGAGATTTTTTTTTTCATGAGTTCTCAGGACAGGACTTGTGTAACGAATCCTCTTGGGTTTTGTAATTCAGAAAAACTCAAACCAATCCCCATTTCCTGGAAGGATTAAGAGCCTATCATTTTTTCTGTGTGTTTAAATTTGCTCGCCGACTGGGTGCGGTGGCTCACTCCTGTAATCCCAGTGCTTTGAGAGGCTGAGGCAGGAAGAATCCCTTAAGCCCAGGAGTTGGAGACCAGCCTGGGCAACACAGCAAGACCTCGTCTCTACAAAAAATTTTTAAAAATAAAAATTAGCTGGGAATGGTGGCCTATGCCTATAATCCCAGCTGCTCAGGAGGCTGATATGGGAGGATTGCTTGAGCCGAAGAGTTCAAAGCTGCAGTGAGCTATGGTCGCTCCGCTGTACTTTAGCCTGGGTGATAGAGCAGACTCTGTCTCAATAATAATAATAATAATTTTGCACTCTGGGATCCTGCAGACTTCCAGGAAAAACCTGGCAGCTTGGGCATGAGTAGGAGCAGTTTATTAACCAAGGGCTCATGCTAGGTAGCAGCTGCTGGAAGGCAGTGGTCCACAACCTTTTTGGCACCAGGGACCAGTTTCGTGGAAGACAATTTTTCCAAGGACCAGGCGGGGGGTGGGGGGCGGGGGAGCAGAGAGGAATGGTTTCGGGATGATTCAAACACATTCCATTTATTGTGCACTTTATTTCTATAATTATTACTTTATAATATATAATGAAATAATTATACAACTCACCATAATGTAGAATCAGTGGGAGCCCTGAGCTTGTTTTCCTGGAACTAGGCGGTCCCTTCTGGGGGTGATGGGAGACAGTGACAGATCATCTGTCACTAGATTCTAATGAGGAGTGTGTGACCTAGATCCCCTGCGTGTGCAGTTCACAATAGGGTTCACGCTCCTATGAGAAGCTAGTGCCTCTGCTGATCTGACAGGAGGCAGAGCTCAGGGGCGAGCAATGGGGAGCGGCTGTAAACACAGATGAAGCTTTGCTTGTAGCTCAACCCTGTTCATGAGCAGTGGTTGGGGACCCCTTCTGTAAGCCACAGCCAGGAGGAGGCCCATGGGGCATCTGATGAGTCACTACAAGGCTGTGGGCAAACTGGGAGCTATGCCCATATCCTCTAATAAGAAGAGGTACCATTTATTGACCTCCTGCCCTGTGCTGTATATATCGCTCTGCCAACCCTCATAACACATCTATGAGGTAAGGGTAATGGCCATTTATCTTGATTTCTGACTGTCCAGAATCTTTGGAACGCTCTTGCTGTACTGGGAGGATTTTCAGTCTTGTGAGTATTTACTGCTTCCAGAAAATTCAAATTCCCAACCTCCCTTGCAGCCATGCTTTCCAGCCTGTGTCAACCCCACCTTCTGTGGGAGCCTCCTTCCGCTATACACCTTCACTGGACCCAGAATCATGCACGATTTCACCTGAAAGAATCACCTGGAGCTCCCTACACACCCCCAACTCCTTGACAATTTTTCATGAGGGACATCAGTTCCATATAACCCAAAGAATCTAATGTCACATATTCTGAAAGTGAAAAACAGTTGTTATTCTTACTCTCTTTCTTTGCAAACATACATATGAATACCCTTTCAGATACTCTTTACCTTGTTTATTGTGACTCTCTTTGCTTTCAAAAAATACATTTGAATCTTTTTTCCAAACATGTATTTTGATTTGATTACTGTTACTTTTCGGGTTTGGAAAGTGTGTACTTGAACCTCTTGTAAATCTTGTATTCTCTGAGTTTGTTCACCTTCAAGAGCATGACTTCCTCGTGTGTGTGTGTGTGTATGCATGTGTATACGTGTCTTGGGAAGGGCTTGGTCTTTGGCTATGCCAATATGTAAAAAAAGAGCCCATAGGCCGAGCGCAGTGGCTCACACCTGTAATCCCAGCACTTTGGAGGGCCGAGGCAGTGGATCTCACGAGTTTGAGACCAGCTGGCTAACACGGTGAAACTCTGTCTCTATTAAAAGTACAAAAATTAGTCGGGTGTGGTGGTCCATGCCTGTAATCCTAGCTACTCGGGAGGCTGTGGGAGGATTGCTTGAAGCCGTGAGGCAGAGGTTGCAGAATCATGCCACTGCACTCCAGCCTGAGCAACAGAGCGAGACTCTGTCTCAAAATACATAAATTAAATAAATAAATACATAATTTTTTTAAAAGAGCCCATAAAACAGAGATGTGAGAAACAGAAGTGAAGATGTCACCGGCTTCTGCCTGATGGGTGCTCATTTTATGTAGATTGTTAAGGAAATAGCAACAGTCACTATCTCAAAAACACCTGTGCTGGGCCGGGCAAGGTGGCTCACGCCTGTAATCCCAGCACTTTGGGAGGCCCAGGCGGGCTGATCACGAGGTCAGGAGATCGAGACCATCTTGGCTATCACGGTGAAACCCGTCTGTACTAAATATACAAAAAATTAGCCGGGCGCGGTGGCGGGCGCCTGTAGTCCCAGCTACTCAGGAGGCTGAGGCAGGAGAATGGCGTGAACCCGGGAGGCGGAGGTTGCAGTGAGCCGAGATAGCGCCACTGCAGTCCAGCCTGGGCGACAAAGCAAGACTCCGTTTCAAAAAAAAAAAAAAAACACCTGTGCTTGCCTTGCCACAGCAGAACCACACCGTAGGAATCAGTCTCAGTGAATCCAGTCCCGGTTTTGCAACCATACAGAAGTTGCCAGTCAGCGTTTCTGGTGACAGAACCACATTGCCACACTGAAGGGGTGCAATACTAGCCACAAATGAAGAAACTCGATGTTTTCACTTTCTTAGGAAGCCTGCCTGGGAGCACATGGGTGGCTTCCAAGGGGTTTTGAAATGCTGGGGCCACACTAAGGGACTTCACCCTTCCATGTAGGACTCTCAAGATGCAGGGAACCAGGCTGAGGATGCCCAGCTCAGAGATGGGTGGGCCAGTCTCTTTTGCCAGTGCACCCCATGGAGGTCTGGCCGGGCCCCCAGTTCTTGGAAGCTGGATTCGTTTCCTATGGCTGCGGTAATGCATCCCCCCAAACTTAGTGGCTTAAAACAAAAATTCATTCTCTTATAGTTTTAGAGGTCAGAAATCCCAAATGGGGCTGGGTGCTCATGCCTGTAATCCCAGCACTTTGGGAGGCTGCGATGAGAGGATCACTTGAGTCTAGGAGTTGAGAACAGCCTGGGCAACACAGCAAGACTCTGTCTCTACAAAAAATAAAACATTAGCCAGGCGTGGTGGTGGGCACCTGTAGAGGACTACTCAAGAGGCTGAGTTGGGAGGATCACTTGAGCCCAGGAGTTTGAGGCTGCAGTGAGCTATGATTGCACCACTGCATTCCAGCCTGGGTGACAGAGTGAGACCCTGTCTATAAAAAAGGAAGGGACATCAGTTCCATATAACCCAAAGCCTGGGTAACAGAATGAGACCCTATCTATAAAAAAGAATAGGAAAAGAAAGGGAGGGTGGTGGTGCATGCCTGTAGTCCCAGCTACTAGGGAGCCTGAGATAGGAGGATCTCTTGAATCCAGGAGGCAGAGATTGCAGTGAGCCGAGATGGTGCCACTGCACTGCAGCCTGGGCAACAGAGTGAGACTTTGTTTCAAAAAAAAAAAAAAAAAAGGAAGGAAGAAAGAGAGAAACCCAAAATGGATTGGCAAGGCTGTGGTCCTTCCAGAGGCTCTGGGGAGAATCAGTTCCTTGCCCTTTGCAGCTTCTAGTAAGGCTGCCACATTCCTTTTTTCTTTTTTTGAGACGGAGTCTCACTCTGTTCTCCTGGCTGCAGTGCAATGGTGTGATCTGGGGTCACTGCAAACTCCGCCTCCTGGGTTCAAGCGATTCTCGTGCCTCAGCCCCCTGAGTAGCTGGGATTAGAGGCACATGCCACCAGGCCTGGCTATTTTTTTTTTTTTTTTTTTTGTATTTTTAGTAGAGATGGGGTTTTGCCATTTTGGCCAGGCTGGTCTTGAACTCCTGACCTCAGGTGATACGCCCGCCTTGGCCCCCCAAAGTGCTGGGATTACAGGCGTGCGCCACTGCGCCCGGCTGCATTCCTTAACTCATGCTCCCTGCTTCCATCTTCAAGCCATCTTCAAACCACCCTAATCTCTGCTTCCATCCCCACCCCTCCTCCACGGACCCTCCTGCCTGCCTCTTCCCCATGCAAGGACTGTTGTGATGACATTGGGCTCACCCAATAATCTAGGATCATCTTTCCGTCTCGAGACCCTTCGCTTAGTCACATCTGCCAACTCCCCTTTATCATGGAAGGTAACATATTCGCAAATGTTGGGGGTTAGGTTGTGGACATCTCTGGGGGTCATTATTCAGCCTACCATAGGGGCTACACAGAATGACACTGGACAGATAGGTGGCAGCTCTCAGCGTCTGGACCTTGGACTCTTTGCCCCACTTCCATTTTGGCCTGTCCCCTTCACCCCTGCCCAGCGTGAGTGCGTGTGCATACACACACACACACACACACACACACCCCCAACCCCCCCTCCCAACACACACCCAGAGCCTGGCAGCCCTAGGCTGCCACCACGCCAGCATTCCCCTCCTCTCAAAATCTGCCGGCCTGTGGCCCTTATAGGGCTACATTTCCTGGGGCTGGTTCTTGTCCTTTTCTTGTTAAATTCAGTGTAGTGTTCAATTAGCTTAGGCAAAGCCTGCCTTCAGCTAAGGAGGAGGTAGAGAGATTAAAATTGCTTTCCGGGGCTGGGATTCAGGGCAAGTGAGGGTGGAAGGGAGTTGCTGCGCTTCTTGAATAATCTATCCAAATCCATTTATGGACAAGACTACAATTTTCTGGTTGTGAAAAGGTAACAGTGGGGACCTGGCCTGGGCAGTGTGGACAGTTAGTTCTACAGGAGGGAGGGAGAGGTTACTGGGACAGCAGGGTTCTTTATTTAACTCCTTCCTCTCCACAAGCAGTTCTTTCTGGGAACACATTCCCCTCGCAGAGGCTCATGCCAGGACTAAAGCTTCCAGGGCAAGCTGGTGTGTGGTCTAAGGATCCAAGTCTTCTGGGGGCCAGGCGTGGTGGCTCATACCTGTAATCCCAGCACTTTGGGAGGCCAAGATGGGCGGCTCACTTGAGGTCAGGAGTTCGAGACCAGCCTGGCCAATATGGTGAAACCCTGTCTCTACTAAAAATACAAAAACTAGCCAGGCATGGTGGTGGGCACCTGTAATCCCAGCTACTCGGTAGGCTGGGGCAGGAGAATCGATTGAATCCAGGAGGCGGAGGTTGCAGCGAGCTGAGATCGTGCCACTGCACACCAGCTTGGGCAACAGAGTGACACTCCATCTCAAAAAAAAAAAAGAAAAAAAAGAGAAGGGCAGTTTACAGGCACACACGTTTTGCTTTCAGTCTGACTTCTGCTATGGACAATGGCTATTTTTGCTTTTGTTAGGATTTGTACCTCTGTGGGGGCCCTTAGTATATGGACTAACTTAAAATGAAATTTTAATTGAGTTGGAACTTGTAAACTTAAATACACAAGTTTTTTGTTTGTTTGTTTGTTTTTGCTTTTAAAGACAGGATCTCTGTTGCCCAGGCCAGAGTGCAGTGGCACAATCATATTTCACCGCAGCCTGGAACTCCTGGGGTCAAGCCATCCTCCTGTCTCAGCCTCGTGAGTAGCTGGGACTACGAATACGTGCCGCCACATGAGCTAATTTAAAAAAAAATTCTTTTAAAGATGGAGTCGTAGTATGTCGCCCAGGCTGGTCTCGAACTCCTGGCTTCACGTGATCCTCCCACTTCAGCCTCCCAAAGTGCTGGGATTACAGGCGTTAGCCACCACACCCAGCCCATAAATTTTTCTAACTTTTTTGTTGCTGTTGTCTTTATAATAGTAGTACTTGGGCCAGGCGTGGTGGCTCACGCCTGTAGTCCCAGCACTTTGGGAGGCTGAGGTGGGCAGATCACTTGAGGTCAGGAGCTCAAGACCAGCCTGGCCAACACAGTGAAACCCCGTCTCTACTAAAAATACAAAAATTAGCTGGGCATGGTGGCACACACCTGTAATCCCAGTTACTCAGGAAGCTGAGACAGGAGAATCACTTGAACCTAGGGTGGAGGTTGCAGTGAGCCAAGATGGCGCCACTGCACTCCAGCCTGGGTGACAGAGCGAGACTCCGTCTCAGGAAAAAATAAAACAAAAAGTAGTACTTGTTCATTGTCAAGGAACTATAAAATACAGAAAAGTATAAAGAAGAAAAAACAATTCCTCCATAATCTTACAATACAGAAATGGCCAAAATTCATATCCTGAAACTCCTCAATTTTTAAGCACCAGCAAAACGGCCAGAAGGCAGCATTATTTCACCCTTTCTGAGAAGTGTGTAGAAACCACACACAGGACAGGAGAGGAAGGAACCTTTTGCTTCTCCTGTGTTTCCAGATTGTATGAAAATCAGGTTGCCTATAGTTTCAGGACATTCTCTACAGGTACAGTCTTGACTTTGCAAAGCCCTGAACACGTCTTGACCAGTGATAAGAGGAGATGCCGAATGCCTCACATTCACTGTCAGCAGCCCTCAAGCTTCAGCCTTCCTTGGCCAGCTCCCGGGTATAGTGACTTCCCAGTACAGTCATGGGCACTGGGCGTAAGCCATTATGTAGAGATTATGCTACATTTTGTGAGTGTTAAATACATCGTTAATGTAATGTCCTTTCTTTTGCAGAATCTTAAACTATTGTCACTGTGAACTTTCTTTTTATCTTGGAAACCTCAAACATCATAGTGTGTGACTTCTAGTGTATCCATACAAAACAGATCCAAGCAAAGCAAACACGAATTCATGTGGGTACCTTTGTGGATGAGGGCAAGAACACAGACAGCCTAGGGGCGGTGGAGCATGTTCAGAAAGGACGCGGTGGTCTGGAATATGGTGCCTTCTCTCCCTTCCTCCCTCCTTCCCTCCCTCGCTTCTTTCATGTATTTAGCACATATTTACTTACTGAGCATCTACTCTGTGCTAGGCACTGTTCTGAGAACAACAGATAAAAACTCTGAGCTTGTGGAGCTTATGTTTTAGTGGCAGCGACAGAGAATGCCCGGTCAATCACTGAACACAGCATCTAGTATCTGGAACCATGGTGATCGTGCAATGCAGAGGACCATGAGTGGACTGCAAGTTGCATTACATCCAGTCCCAGGCGATTCTCTTGGGGTCTGCAGTAGGAGAGTCTGTCAAATCCCCTCCTTTTCCTCTGTTCTGGCATTAGTGGTAGATCCCCAGGTGGCTGGACTCTCTGTGTGGGAGGTGGGGAGCCCCTGGCAGGAACTGGGGTGGCTCCTCTGGTTGTGCTAGACAAGCACCAATCCACAGAGCTTTTCAACATCCCCAAGGCACTTGGGGGGTGTCCACTGAGTGGCAGTTTCTTCTCATCTGTCAATGGGCTGCACCCCCAACTCACAGTCCCATGACCTCCCCTGGCTTGGGGGAGCCTCCACCCTGCCTGGGCCTCCCAGTTCACGCAGTGGGGAGGGCACCATTCCTCCCAGCACAGTCCAGTCCAACACCCAGGGACCTGGGCACATCCATACATGCCTCCTAACTCATTCCCCCAGGTAGCATAGGGGCATCTAGGCAAAGGAAGCTCCAGAACCCACTTTACTCAAGACCCAGGGACATTCCTGTTTTCCAAATGAACATCACTCACATTGCCTAGGAAACAGCCTCACCTCAAAAAACATTGGCTCAAATAAAGGCAACACTACCAGATATGATATTCTAATGCTGAAGCTTGGACTTATCCAAGTATCAAAAAGAGATTCAGCCAGGTGCGGTGGCTCACACCTGTAATCCAAGCACTTTGGGAGGCCGAGGCGGGAGGATTGCTTGAGCCCAGGAGTTCAAGACCAGCATGGATAATGTGGCAAAGCCCCATGTCTCAAAAAAAAAAAAAGAAAAAATTAGAGGCCAGGCACGGTGGCTCACGCCTGTAATCCCAGCGCTTTGGGAGGCCAAGGCGAGCGGATCACCTGAGGTCAGGAATTTGAGACCAGCCTGACCAACATGAAGAAACCCCATCTCTACTAAAAATACAAAATTAGCCAGGCGTGGTGGTGCATGCCTGTAATCCAAGCTACTCAGGAGGCTGAGGCAGGAGAATTGCTTGAACCCAGAGGGCAGAGGTTGCCATGAGCTGGGATCGCTCCATTGTACCCCAGCCTGGGCAACAAGAGTGAAACTCCATCTCAAAAAAAAAAAAAAAAAAAAAAATTAACCGAGCTTGGTGGTGTGCACCTGTAGTCCCAGCTACTTGGGAGGCTGAGGCAGGAGAATCGCCCAGGCCCAGGAGTTCGAGGCTGCAGTGAGCCATGATTGCATCACCACATTCCAGCCTGGGTGATAGAGTGAGACCCTGCCCACTCCTCCGCCAAAAAAAGAGAGAGAGAGACAAACTCATTTACTTTTTTATTCCTCAAAAAATATTTACTAAGCACTTCTTAGATGCCAGGCATTGTTCTAGACACTTGAGATACATCGGTGACCAAAGTGTTGTCGCCACACTTCAACTTCAACCTACTGTAGGACTTTTCTTCCTTCCTTCCATTCTTTCTTTCTTTTAAAAATTAAAACCGGGGTCTTGCTTTGTTGCCCAAGCTGGCCTCAAACTCCTGAGCTCAAGCAATCCTCCCACCTTAGTCTTCCAGGTAGCTAGAACTACAAATGTGAGCCGCCCAGCCTGGCCTTCAAGAATTTGGTAATTATCTACAAGTAAGATGTGTTGCATAAATAGGAAGCTAGATGGATCATTAGGCAGATTTGATTACTGAAAACATGATGCACTTCCTATTATAGGCATGAGCCACTGTGCCCAGCCTACTTCCTCTTATAATCCCAACAACATTTATTTCAAAACTGTGTACAACGAGGACATTTTGGGGGTAATGGATATTTATGATTTTGATTGTGGGGATGATTTCACGTATGTTAAAAACTTATCAAAATGTATATTTAAAACATGCACGGCATAATAGATACCAGTTATACCTCAATTAAGCTGTGACAAGAGGGAAAAACTACATAGGCACCTTAAAAATAGGGTTGTAAAATGCTCAGTCAGTGATTGCTGCAGTAGTAGTCCATCTGTATGCTCAAATCTGACTTCTTAGAGAACCTTAATAAGAGAATTTTAACCTAGGGATGTCCTACCCTTAATCTGAATTGGGAATTCTGGGATTTCCTCCCACGGAAATCAGTTCAGGACCCATATGTAAAACTGATGCCCATTCGGCTAGCCGCGGTGGCTCACGCCTGTAATCCCAGCACTTTCGGAGGCCGAGGCGGGCGTATCAAGAGGTCAGGAGATGGAGACCAGCCTGGCTAACACGGTGAAACCCCGTCTCTACGAAAAATACAAAAAATTAGCCGGGCGTGGTGGCAGGCGCCTGTAGTCCCAGCTACTCGGGAGGCTGAGGCAGGAGAATGGCGTGAACCCGGTAGGCGGAGCTTGCAGTGAGCTGAGATCGCGCCACTGCACTCCAGCCTGGGCAACAGAGTGAGACGCCGTCTCAAAACAAAAACAAAAACAAAAACAAACTGATGCCCATTCAATGCTGGTGGCTCTGACTCCCCAGGTAGTTCAAGGCCTAGAGAAATGCTAGTGTCACTTTGGGCTTGGAGAGGCCAACAACCCAGCGATGTCATAAACTACCTGGGGCTCACCTGCCTCAGGCTGAAGGTCACTGGGACTGCTAAGAAGCAAGAATAAGCCAAGGGGCCAGAGCTCTTCCCACGAGAGCTGCAGATGTCATACTCCAGTCCTGTGTCGAAGGATTTTTAAAAAACCAAGTATCAGGCTGGGCATGGTGGCTCACACCTGTAATCCCAACATTTTGGGAGGCCGAGGTGGGATCACTTGAGGTCAGGAGTTTGAAACCAGCCTGGCCAACATGGTGAAACCCTGTCTCTACTAAAAATACAAAAAGTAGCCAGCCACGGTGGCTACTACCTGTAATCCCAGCTACTTGGGAGGCTGAGGCTCTAAAATCGGTTGAACCCAGGAGGCTCAGCTTGCAGTGAGCCAAGATCACACCACTGCACTCCAGCCTGGATAGCAGAGTGAGACTCCATCTCAAAAACAAAGCAAAACAAAACAAAACAAAAAAATCAAGTATCACAGAATAAAATATTTAGGTTATGGGAAAATAAATTCCAACTCACAGCTCCAAAATCCGAAGAGCTCTGAAAATCACAAACATTTTCTTAACTCCTGACTTGAATTAATATCAAACTAGATATAGTCCTTAATTCTTCCATTAAATGTGAAATGGATACACTTTCCCTAGAAAATTAGAAATGGTTTGATTACAGGGTGCTGCCCACAACATGCTGAGAGTGCTACCTAATATTACCTGCACCATATCGCTTTTCTAAAACGCCAAATTAGGCTAGGTGCTCACGCCTGTAATCCCAGCACTTTGGGAGGCCAAGGTGGGAGGGAGGATTTATTGAGGCCAGGAGTTTGAGACCAGCCTGGGCAATATAGTGAGATCCCCCCTCCCATCTTAAAAACAAACCAAAAAACCCAAATCATGAAACATTTCTGGCCCCTGAGGTTCCCAGATAAGGGGTTGTGGACAGGGGCTGATAACACACCCATCTAGTGAACAGCTGTACTTGAGATGTTATTTCGGGAAACGCTCTCAACCCACTTGTAAAGAAGAGAGCAGTATCCCCTTCTCACCTGGGAGGAAAACTGAAGCTCAGAGGCCTTCTGTTAGAGGCCAAATTGGAAACAACAGAACCCACCCTAGCTAGTTTAAGCAGAAAACAAATTAATGGAAGGTCACTGGTAGCAGAATCCTTGGAAGATCCAGGAAGCCGGTTTGGAGGCCCCAAGGCCAGGAAAGGTGCTCAGTTCTCCTTCAGGGGCCGCTAGTGAGCACATTCTTTCCCCACAACCTCACTGGTACCAAGGATATTAAACGGGGTAATATTTGTCCATGAAACTGCCCCCCACCCCCAGGATATCTCATTGTTGTTTGATTTGGATTTTTTGACCGTGGATGAGGTTGGCCATCCATTGTTGTTTGAGACAGAGTTTCACGCTGGAGCGCAATGGTGCAATCTCGGCTCACCGCAACCTCCGCCTCCCAGGTTCAAGCAATTCTCCTGCCTCAGCCTTCTGAGTAGCTGGGATTACGGGCATGCACCACCACGCCCGGCTAATTTTGTATTTTTTTTTTTTTAGTAGAGATGGGGTTTCTCCATGTTGAGGCTGGTCTCGAACTGCTGACCTCAGGTGATCTGCCTGCCTCGGCCTCCCAAAGTGCTGGGATTATAGGCGTGAGCCACTGTGCCCGGCTGGCCACCCATTGTTTAACAACACTTGAATCTCTTTTTCTATTATCACATCTTTTCTCCCCCACTCCATTTTTTTTTGTCTTGTTCTGTTGCCCAGTTTGGGGTGCAGCAGCATGATCATAGCTCACTGCAACCTCAACTTCCTAGGGTCAAGCCATCCTCCCACCTCAGGCTCCCAAGTAGCTGAGACTACAGGTAGGGGTCACCATGCCCAGCTAATTAAAAATATATATAGAGAGAGACGAGGGTCTCACTAAGTTACCCTGGCCGGTCTTAAACTCCTGGGCTCAAGCCATCCTCCCGCCTCAGCCTCCCAAATGCTGGAATTACAGGCATGAGCTACCAGTCTGGCTGTTGCCCTTTTTTGAGTGGGTTATTGTCTCTTCTAAAAATTGATTCGTGTATACGTGCTCCCTCCCTGGGCACTTAATGCTGGTGACCAGTCCCTACTCCAGGCACTCCACAGGGCAGGACTCACCTTCCAGAAAGCAGTTCCACTAACCTGGGGAGAGCCCAGATGGCAAAGGAAGGCGTGATTGCAGCCTGGGATGGCTGGAAGCACTCTTAGCTAAACCGGGCTTGGACTGCCTGACGCCATCTTCAGAGAGGCTTGGGAAGCTGGGCTCAGCCACGAGGCTGGCTTGGAACTAACGGGAAAAGGGTGGACAGATGAGATTTATCTTCTCAATCATGCCGTTTGGCTAACCTACACTCAATCCAGTCTAGGCAGCTTCGCGATCGGCTTGTAACTTGTATCTAACCCATTTAGTGAGAATAACCAGCTGGTTCACGTAATGCTTGCTGCTATGCGGTTTATGTGAGAAGACACTTTTACCAGTGGTTAAAGTCCTTCGAATTCTTCACTCTTGACAGAGAAGACAAAGGACCTGTGGTTATTATGTTATAACCACACAGTATCAAAGGTTACTTAGCTAAGTGTGAAAGTAACAGTAAGCGCCGCGAACATCAAGGAAACTCAGGAAACTCTTCCTCGAAGCCTTTTGATGACATTCAGCGCTGCATAAAAATCACAGATTCCTCTCAGCTCATATGCACAGGATGCCCAGAAATAAGACTCTGTGGAATGGATTTTCTTGGTACATTCTAAGGTTCATAGAAGAATAATTAGAAGTTCTCGATCAGTTATTTAAAGGGAAGAGAGCCTTTTACTGAGGTCCAGGGTGGTCTAGGTGCACCCTGTTTCTTTCTGGAAACAAATACATAGAAACAGCTCAACTGACTTCTCATTAATAACTGTTTATAGAGAATTGATGAGGCAGCCGGGCACGGTGGCTCACACTTGAAATCCCAGCACTTTGGGAGGCCAAAGTGGGAGGATCACTTGAGATCAGGGGTTTGAGATCAGGCTGGACAATATGGTGAAACCCTGTCTCTACTAAAAATACAAAAATTAGCCAGGTGTGGTGGCGCATGCTTGTAGTCACAACTACTTGAGAGGCTGAGGCAGGAGAATCACTTGAACCCAGGAGGCGGAGGTTGCAGTGAGCCAAGATTGCACCATTGCACTCCAGCCTGGGTGACAAGAGTGAAACTAGGTCTCAAAAACAAACAAACAAACCAACCAACAAACAAAAAACCCAAAAAACAAAACTAGGATGATAGGCTGGGCGTGATGGCTCAAGCCTGTAATCCCAGCACTTTGAGAAGCCGAGGAAGGAGGATTGCTTGAGGCCAGGAGTTTGAGACCAGTCTGGGCAATGTAGTAAGACCTCCCTCTCTAAAAAAAAAAAAAAAAAAAAAAAAAAAAAAAAAAAAAAAATTTAGCCATGCATGGTGGTGCACACCTGCAGTCCCAGCTACTCAGAAGGCTGAAGCATGTGAATCGCTTGAGCCCAGGAGGTGGAGGTTGCAGTGAGCCGAGATCATGCCACTGCACTCCAGCCGGGGTGACAGAGCAAGACTCTGTCTCGAAGAAAAAGAAAAAAAAATTGATGCTGAGTAAAAAAAGCCAGTCGCAAAGGACTACATATTGTATGGTTCCATTACTATGAATTGTTCAGTAAAGGCAAATCCATAGAGACAAAAGGTACATTGGTGGTTGTCAGAGGCTGGGGGCGGGGGTGAGGGAGTAGGGTGTGGCTGCTTGATGGGGACACAGTTTCCTTTTGGGGAAGTGAAAATATTTTGGAACGAGATACAGGTGGTGCTTGCACAACAGTGTGAATGTACCAAATGCCTCTGAATCGTACACTTTAAAATGGTTAATTTATGTTATGTGAATTTTACCTCAATCACTGAAAGAAAAAAAAACGCCAAAATGACATCCGGCCCTGCCCCCTTGCTCAATTCCGTGTCCTTCCCTTCATGGATTTGTTACTCGCTTGTCTTGCAGGCGAGGACAAGTCACGACTGCTGTTCAGTTTGCTGATCTCTGAAATGGCAACCCTGATGCTTGTAGACGGGTTAACCCCCTAGCAGGACACAGTGAGGGTTGGTTTCCTGTGTCCTCCTCGCAGTCTGGGTCACGTGGCGCTTCCTGTGGCTCACTGCCTCTGACTTTTCAATCAACTTTGTGGCTAAAGCACCATGCACTGTGCTTTGCATGGTCCGGACTGTCTGGTTTGTCAGCGACTCAGGGGCTTTTCCAGATGCGGGACTTTCAGTGCTGAAACTGGGAAAGCCCAGGGTAAACCAGGATGAGTCAGCGGCCCTGCCTCGTGCTCTGGATAAGTAAGGTGTGCAGAGGTCAAGGCTACAGCTCTCTCCCCAGAGGGGATCTTCCCTCACTTTCAGCACAGTCAGAGGAGGGGGCTCCCGTGTGCCAGGGGAGGAGGCTGGATCTGAAGGTGGGTGGAGCCGGGACAGTACTAGATTAGGGGCTGCCAGCAGTTTCTCCTTTTGTTTCGTTTGCTAGTTTTTGAGACAGCATCTTGCTCTGTTATCCAGGCTGGAGTGCAGTGGCACCATCACCGCTCACTGCAGCCTCAACCTTCCAGGCTTAAGTGATCCTCCCACCTCAGCCTCCTGACTAGCTGAGACTACAGGCACGCACCACCATGCCCAGCTAATCTTTTTGTATTTTTTTGGAAAGATAGGTTTGCCCAGGGTGGTCTCAAACTCCTGGGCTCAAGCGATCCGCCTGCCTCAGCCTCCCATAGTGCTGGGAATACAGGCATGAGCCATCACAGCTCGGCCTGATTTCTCCTTTTGGAGTGAAAACTGGAATTTTCTTTGAGGTCCTTTTTGAAGTCAAGGGCTAACGTCATGAGTGGCCTGTTAGGTGACATAGATGACCAACAACCAGTGATGACCAACAACCAGTGATGACCAACAACCTGAAAATGATGCTGATGGTGGTGGTGGGAGCTTGGCAGGATGGTTTTGGCTGGATAAGGGCCTGGGCTTAGTAGCATTTGTGGGTGAAATTAGGGCATGCCTCAACTTGGGTTATGTAAAGGGATCAGCAAATCTACCGAGATGCCACGGAGACTCTGAGAAGAGCGACTGGGCCTCTCTGCTCTTTCCTTCTTCCCTTCTTTTCTTTTCCTTTCTTTTCTTTTCCTTTCTTCTTTTTCTGTTCTTTACTTTTCTTTTTCCTTCCTTCCTTCCTTCCTTCCTCCCTCCCTTTCTTCTTTTCTTTCTTTCTTTTTTTTTTTTGAGACAGGGTCTCTGCCGCCCAGGCAGGAGTGTAGTAGCACAATCTCGGCTCACTGCAACCTCCACCTCCCAGGTTCAAGCAATTCTCCTGCCTCAGCCTCCCGAGTAGCTGGGATTACAGGTGCCCGCCACCATGCTCGGCTAATTTTTTTGTATTTTTAGTAGAGACAGAGTTTCACCATGTTGGGCAGGCTGGTCTTGAACTCCTGACCTCAGGTGATCCACTCACCTCAGCCTCCCAAAGTGCTGGGATTACAGACATGAGCCACCACACCTGGCCTCTGCTCTTTCTTTGAAGTTCAATGTCACTGGAGGACATCTGATGGATTGAGGGGTGAGGAGAGCTTGGCTGAGGCTGATATAGGAAAGAACAGTAGGGGCCCAGGATCCCCCCAAGGCTGGATGTCTGGAGGGGTAGGACCAAGGGGAGCCTGAACAGTGGACCTGGAGCAGAAGTCACTTGGGAAGACCGTCATCTGGGGCAACCTGTGAGGGACATAGCCCTGCCAATGCGTGATGAGGTGCCTTCCAGAAAGTGGCTGCTTGTGATTCGAAAGTGGGCCCCTAGACTGGGAGTGGTGGCTCACGCCTGTAATCCCAGCACCCAGCAGTTTGGGAGGTCGAGGGCAGTGGATCACTTGAGCCCAGGAGTTTGAGACCAGCCTGGGCAATGTGGAAACCCCCATCTTTACAAAAAAAAAAAAGAAAAAAAAATTAGCTGGATGTGGTGGCTCATGCCTGTAGTCCCAGCTACTCAGGAGGCTAAAGTGGGAGGATTGCTTGAGCCCAGGAGGGTGAGGCTGCAGTGAGCTGTGATTGTGCCACTGCACTCCAGCCTGGGCGACAGAGTGAGACCATGTTAAAAAAAAAGACAAAAGAAAAAGAAAGTGGGCCCCTAAAACACTGCTCATAATCGCCCCCAAAAGTGTCAACAAGCCAAATGTCCATCAACTTATAACTAGATACATAGCATACGATGTATCCAAATGGTGGAAATTATTTGGCAATAAAGAAAAGAAGCACTGATACACGCTTCGACATGGACCAACCTCAAAAATGTGATGCTGAGTGAAAAAAGCCAGTCATAAAGGTCATGTATTGTATGATCCTCTTTATGTAAAATTTCCAAAATGGGTGCATTCATAGAGACAGAAAGTACATTAATGGATGCCAGGGGCTGGCAGGAGGGGAGACGAGGAGTGACTTTTAACGGGTACGGGACATCCAGCTCACAGATGCTCTGCATAATTAGAGGTCACACATTCCTCCAGCATCCTCCGGGGTCTTGCCATTTAATCTCTGTGGCCCCATCATCCATGGGTTTTGTTTATGCTTTAAGACCAGCTCTGTGTGGAGGAGTCTCTGAAGCATGGGGGCAAGGCAGGAAGAAATCGGGCCAACCCAGCCAGAGGGAGGACCAACCCCGAAGTGTCCCCTTTGACCAAATGTGGATTTCCGGGAGCACAGACCTGGCTGCTGCCCCAGGCGTTGGCTTCCTGTCTTGCCAAGCCTCTGCCATCCTGTTGTGTGAGTCAGAGCGAGTCACAGCGGAGGGCGTGGGAGGCCTGAAGATAGCCCAGCCAGTGTTCTCAGCTCGGCTGCATGTTAGAGACACCACGCATGTTTAAAGACTAGTGTGGTGGAGAGTAAAACTTTCTACTCTCTGAAGGTTTGATAATTGAGTCTATGAAGTAAACTGACAGTGGACAGATGACAGTCTCTCCACTAAAACCATTTTAATTATGTGTATACGCATGGAAGTCCCACCAAATCTGAGGCTCAAAAAGTCCAGATGATTGAGGTTTATACAGTATTCTGTTTGGGTTTTTTGTTTTGTTTTGTTTCAGAATCTTGCTCTGTCACCCAGGGTGGAGTGTGGTGGTGTGATCTCGGCTCCTCACTGCAACCCGTGACTCCCAGGTTCAAGTGATTCTCCTGTCTCAGCCTCCTGAGTAGCTGGGATTACAGGCATGTGCCACTACACCTGGCTAATTGTTTTTTGTATTTTTAGTAGAGACAGGGTTTCACCATATTTGCCAGGCTGGTCTCAAACTCCTGACCTCAAGTGATCCAGCTGCCTCTGCCCCACAAAGTGCTGGGATTACAGGTGTGACCACCATGTCAGGCCTTATACAGCATTCTGCTCTACAGAAAGGAGTAGAGGCTTGAGGCTTCCGGGGATTAAGCAACAGCAAGTCATGGCAGGGAAAGGGAAGTAAGTGCTTGGTGAGCAATCCCTGTCCTGCTCTGCAGAGAAACAGTCTCTGAGCTAATAGAGGTATTAAAAAAAAATAGAGATATCCCAGGCCTTCTGCCTGATACAATTTACCGATGTAGATTTCCTTTGTAGATATAAATTTTCTTTACAAAAGGACAGCTTTTCAGCTGTTCCTGTGCCTGTAGTTTCTCAAAATAACCAGCTCAAAATATGCCAAGGAAGTATATTTTGGCATGTTCTGATCTCCTATGGCCATATTTTGGGTGGTTTGTCCTGAGCCGAGGCAGGTGGATCACCCGAGGTCAGGAGTTTGACACCAGCCTGGCCAACGTGGTGAAACCCCGTTTCTACTAAAAATACAAACAATTAGTTGGGTGTGGTCGTGCCTGCCTGTAATCCCACCTACTCGGGAGGCTGAGGTAGGAGAATCACTTGAACCCGGGAGGCAGGATAATTGCTTGAACCCAGGAGGCAGAGGTTGCAGTGAGCCGAGATCACGCCATTTGCACTCTAGCCTGGGCGACAGCGTGAGACTCCATCTCAAAAAAAAAAAAAAAAAGTAACATATCAATTACATGTTAACAGAAACCACATATTTTTCATGAAAAATATATTTTCCAAAACAAAAAAGTATTCTTTGATAAAATTGCTCAAAAAAAAGAAAGAAAAAGAAAGTGGGCCCCTAAAACACTGCTCATAATCGCCCCCAAAAGTGGCAACAAGCCAAATGTCCATCAACTTATAACTAGATACAAAGCACGCGACATATCCAAATGGTGGAAATTATTTGGCAATAAAGAAAAGAAGCACTGATACACGCTTCGACATGGACCAACCTCAAAAATGTGATGCTGAGTGAAAGAAGCCAGTCACAAAGGTCATGTATTGTATGATCCTCTTTATGTAAAATTTCCAAAATGGGCGTATTCATAGAGACAGAAAGTACATTAATGGATGCCAGGGGCTGGCAGGAGGGGAGACGGGGAGTGACTTTTAACGGGTACGGGACATCCAGCTCACAGATGCTCTGCTTAATTTGGAGGTCACACATTCCTCCAGCATTCTCCAGAGTTTTGCCATTTAATTTTGATTTATGTATTTTGAGACAGAGTTTCGTTCTTGTCGCCCAGGCTGGAGTGCAGCGGTGCGATCTTGGCTCAGTACAACCTCTGCCTCCTGGGTTCAAGCGATTCTCCTGCCTCAGCCTCCCAAGTAGCTGGGATTACAAGCATATGCCACCATGCCCGGCTAACTTTTTGTATTTTTAGTAGAGATAGGGTTTCACCATGTTGGTCAGGCTGGTCACAAACTCCTGACCTTAAGTGATCTGCCCGCCTCGGCCTCCCAAAGTGCTGGGAATACAGGCGTGAGCAACCGCGCCCGGCCAAAATTGCTATTCTTTAAAAAGAGATTTTAAAACATCTCTTTAGTTTCTGTCCTAATAGAAGGAAGCTGGGTTTTTACATCTGCTCTGCTCTGCACGGGTGCAATATCACATATGCAGCCGCTAGAAAATCCCATTGCATATCCCACTGAAAGAATGATAGTGAAAAAGACAATTCATCTCTTGGTTGGTTATGAAAACAGTTTTGACCTTGCATCCCCTCTGAAAGGAGTTCTGGATACTTTGAGAACTACTGTTCTAAAACACTTAGATGCAATTAAAAGCTTTGCCATGGCCGGGCATGGTGGCTCATGCCTGTAATCGCAGCACTTTGGGAGGCCGAGGTGGGAGGGTCACCTGAGGCCAGGAGTTCAAGACCAGCCTGGCCAATATGGCGGAACCCCGTCTTTACTAAAAGTACACAAACTAGCCGGGTGTGGTGGCGCACCTGTAATTACAGCTACTCAGGAGGCTGAGGCTCTAAATCGCTTGAATCTGGGAGGCACAGGTTGCAGTGAGCCAGGATGGTGCTACTGCACTCCAGCCTGGGCAACAGAGCACGACTTTGTCTCAAAACAAACAAATAAACAAGACAGCTTTGCCAGTATCCATGAGCTTGGGAAAGTGACTGGATACATGTCAAATGTATGCAAATAAATTGCTTTGCCATATACCAACATCTCTGGAATGTCCCAGGCTCCACACAGCGTGTGTGTATACTGTATCGCCTTTATAGAGAATCTCAAATCTCAACAATCCAGTTGTCCCTTAGCTATGTTGCTGGAAGTCCAGGCTTTGGCTTTTGAAAGGCTCCTTCTCTTCCGCCATTTCTTCAAAGGGCTCCTGGGTGGGGAGAGAAGAGCAGATGGGAAGCCTAGGCAGCAAAGCAGGGCTCACACATATCCTCAGAAATGCACCTGCTGCAAGCAGCCCTACTGTTGGCTGTGCCCTGCCTTCTCTGCTATGTTGCTGTTGGCTATGCCTTCTCTGTGCTGCTGACACTGCTGCTGACTGCTCCGGCTCTTTTGCCAGGTCTTTCAGACAGAGTCCCCACAGTTCTTTCAGCACTGCCTGCTTAGTCCCATCGCTCCTGGGCACTGGAGAAGCAAGTGAATGATAGAGGTTGGGCCAAGGGGTAATTAGGTGGAGAATGTTCTTACAGTCTACAAATTCTGCCACCCTTTCTATCGCCAGCCAGCATCTGCATTCATGAGACATTCGTCAAAAGGGGCTGAGTTTTCTCTTCCTCCAGTTAAGATCCCTTGCAAGAAGGGAGCTGTACAGATGGGTTTCTGGACCTCATGTGAGTCAAGAGGTGACTGGTCATCTGTGTCTGTCAATTCTCACAGTCCAGGGACTTTCAGGGCACCATATTCAGAGCAGGTGAGCACACAGTGGCTAACTATGAGTCTCATTTCATACCTGTCAAAATGCTGCGGTGACTGTGGTCACTGCCATGAGGATGGGAAATTTTTAAGAGCATGGAAAAAAAAATCCCAGAAAAACTGGCAAATTGGAGAAAGTAGAGAAGGTGGCTGTGCTAGATAGAAAGGAGAGTAAATAAGGAAAAGGGCAGGTTGAGCACAGTGTGATTGCTGGGAGAAAATGAGGGACCGAGAGGTGAGCGGTGCCCACCTCTGGAAGGTTTTGTTTGTCCCCTACATGGGATGAGTGGCGCTGGAGGAAGACAAGGTGGGAAGGAAGCTCCCTCCTCCAGGTGCCTCCGGAAGCCCAGTGCTGATGTCGCTGAACACGAAGGGAGAGTGTCACTGTCACGGCACCAGTGGCTTCTTTGTGGCTAAATCCAAAGGGTGCATTTTAGCTCTTTCCTTCCAAAAGCAGTTGATATTTTCAGTGTCATTCAAATTTATAAGAAAAAAACTTATTACCTTTTAAAAAGATCATTATTAATTATTATTATTATTATTATTATTATTATTTGAGACAGGGTCTCACTCTGTCACCCAGGCTGGAGTGCAGTGGCGCAGTCTTGGTTCACTGCATCCTCTGCCTTCTAGGTTCAAGCCATTCTCATGCCTCAGCCTCCCAAGTAGCTGGGATTACAGGTACCCGCCACCATGCCTGGATAATTTTTGTAATTTTAGGAGAGCTGGTATTTCACCATGTTCGACAGGCTGGTCTTGAATTCCTGACCTCAGATGATCCACCCGCCTCGGCCTCCCAAAGAGTTGGGATTACAGGCATGAGCCACCGCAGTCGGCCAAAAATTATTTTTAAAAGATTATTTTAAAAATATTATTTTCTTGTGTCTACTCAGGATTTTGTCTGTAATACTAATTTTCAAGTGTCTCCCGATTTTATCCTACTTATAATTGCATACTATCAAGTGTAGTTGTGTCTCAGCCCCGGAATTTTCTGTTTAAATATTCTTCCTGAAATAGAATGTTTTTACATAATCAACAGCTCATTTATTGCCCAATTAAAAAAACAGCCTTATCTAGGTATAATTTACATGCCACAAACTCATCCATCTTAAATGTATACATCAATAATTCTTATTAACTTCAGAGTTATATAAATACTACCACAATCTAGTTTTAGAAAAATTTTTGTTTAACTTTTTGAAAACACCTTAAATGAAATTAGCATTAGAGAAAAAAATATGTCTATTTTAAAAACCCTGAAATTTGAACTTTTTTTTTTTTTTTTTTTGAGATGGAGTCTTGCTCTGTTTCCCAGACTGGAGTGCAGTGGCACGATCTCAGCTCACTGCAACCTCTGTCTCCTGGGTTTAAGCGATTCTGCTGCCTCACCCTCCCTAATTTTTGTATTTTTAGAAGAGATGGGGTTTCGCCATGTTGGCCAGGCTGGTTTTGAACTCCTGATCTCAGGTGATCCACCCACCTCAGCCTCCCAAAGTGTTGGAATTACAGGCGTGAGCCATCTTGCCCAGCCTGAACATATTTTTTAAATGGTGTGTTTTTTTCTTTCAATGACACTAGCTTAAACTAAGCCATTTGAACTCTTATTTTAATGGATCAACTATTTGATCATTTATTTAACATCATGTGATAGTTAATGTTATGTGTCAATTTCACTAGGTTATGCTACCCAGGCATTCGGTCAGACATTATTCTAGATGTTTCTGTGAAGATGCTTTTTAGATGTGTCCTAATTTTCTGAATGGTGGCTTGGACCAGGGTAGTAGCAGTGGAAGTGGTAAAAGTGGTCAGAGTGGAGGTATTTTGGTAGCATGGGTGCGATTTCCTGACAGATAGAATGCGGGTCATGAGAAAGGCAGGAGTCAGGGGTGGCATAAGGTTTTTGACCTTAGCGACTGGAAGGAAGGAGTGGCTACTTATGTTGATGGGAAAAGACTGAAGAGTGGGACGGTTTGATTTGGTTTAAAATCAGCATCAGCACCTCCCATTTTATAATGGAGGACTTGTGTGTGTGTGTGAAGGAAAATGTGTCTTGGTTGAGTGCAGTGGCTCATGCCTGTAATCCCAGCACTTTGGGAAGCTGAGACAGGAGGATCACTTGAGCCCAGGAGTTCAAGACCAATCTGGGCAACATAGCAAGACCTTGCCTCTATTGAAAAAAAAAAAAAGTGACTGAAGCACATGACCCTAGAATCATCTAGATAATACTGCAACTATGAACTGCGCTAGAAGCTGCATGCTCATCATTTCTCTTTACAATGTCCCTGTGATACCGATGTGAGCATGAGCATGCCAAGTTTATGTTTATTACTATAATTATTATATAATACTTACCAAGCACTTCTTGGGGTTTTAGGTACAGAGACCTAAAGTTATTTGCCCAAAGTCACACGGCCAGTAGGTGGCAGGGCTGGAATTCAAATTGGGTTACTGTACCCTGGAGTCCCTATCCCTTCAAGACATTGTTTTGTGCCTAATTGCGAATCTGAACTTTGTACAACCTCCAAAAGAAATACTTGATAATAATTCTGAATCATCCATTTCCACACTCTAGGGGGGTGAACTAAGTAATTTTTTTCATATTGCAACTGTTTGCTTTTAAGTTCTACAAATAGAAAAAATAAGCATTTCCCTATTGAAGAGGAAGTGTAACTGGACACTACATGCTTTGCTTAGTCAAGGGGAAAATTTAATATAAAAACCACTATACATTTGAGGAAGTGGGTCAAGAGGCTGAAAGGCCAACAAAGAATCAGAGAAATGTATGCTTCTCCATAATAATTGTTTACAGTTGAAGGAAAGTCCCAAAAGCAGTATACATCCCAAATTTCTACTTTGTCCAAGTCAAAGATCCTTGAACCTGGCAATGAGTAGATGTGCACCTTATAGGGCATACAATACACTCACACAGTTTGTAGGATGAACAAATATACTCGGTCTTCTTTCTTTCAACTTCCTTTCCCTGAAGTGACAAGCAGCAACAGAACTAGGAAGACCCAGCTTTGCTTCATGTATTTATTCTTGATGATTATTGTCATAAAGATGTGAGTTTCAGGAAGTAGATACCAGCCAAACTGGTACAGAGCTGGTTACAGAAGGCAGCTTTTGGGTATAATCCCAGTTTAATTTTAGAGGAAAACACGTGCAACACAAATGCTTTATTTTACCAACTTGTTTTCCATGCAGTTATGATTTTAATGAAATCAAATAAACTCTTCTTGCTCAGGGTGAATATATACTTGAACTTCATAAATAATCATTTCAGATGAATTCTCCCAGTTTCGAAGAAACTGGTCATCTGGTAGCAGAGCCTGCTTACTATTCCCCAAGGGGTCTGCTCACCACACTGGCACCTCCTGCCTTTTGCTTGTCTCTCTACTGGTTCAGCCAACTCTGGGCATAAATCCCTCCCTTCATTTTCCAAAGAGATAGTGGTGACAAGATTACAGCTTTAATGTGACTTCCCTGAAGGTTTATGGGTAAAGGAAGGGAATTCCTACCCAGGCAGTCACTTGTTAATGCTGCCATGCTGGGGCCATGCTTGGAACCCACAGGAATGAACTCAGGGCCTTGAAGGGCCTCCTGTCTGCTAAGGAGCCAGGCCAACCTCTTCAGAATCACAGTGCCCTCAGGCAAATCTCTCACCCTGGTAGATGCCCACGCACCTTGAGATCAGAGGGAGGGAGAGGTGCCTCCCTGAATCAGGGATTATGGATTCCTTCAAGTCTTCATTTCCTGGCCTGAAGTTCATTTCATTTGCTTCCCAGGAGGGCTGAGGCTCACTCTCGTTGTTTTTTTTTTTTTTCGGAGTCTCACTCTATTAGCAGGCTGGAGTGCAGTGGCGCGATCTCGGCTCACTGCAGCCTCCGCCTCTCAGATTCAAGCAATTCTCCTGCCTCAGGCTCCCGAGTAGCTGGAACTACAGGTGCGCACCACCGCGCCCAGCTAATTTTTGTATTTTTAGTAGAGACGGGGTTTCACCATGTTGGCCAGGCTGGTCTTGATCTCTTGACCTCATGATCTGCCCGCCTCAGCCTCCCAAAGTGCTGGGATTACAGGCGTGAGCCACGGCGCCCGCCCATTCTCATTTCTTTTTTTTTTTTTTGAGACGGAGTCTCGCTGTGCCTCCCAGGTTGGAGTGCAGTGGCGCGATCTCGGCTCACTGCAAGCTCCGCCTCCCAGGTTCATGCCATTCTCCTGCCTCAGCCTCCCAAGTAGCTGGGACTACAGGCGCCCACCACCATGCCCGGGTAATTTTTTGTATTTTTAGTAGAAACGGGGTTTCACCGTGTTAGCCAAGATGGTCTCGATCTCCTGACCTCGTGATCCGCCCGTCTCGGCCTCCCAAAGTGCTGGGATTACAGGCCCATTCTCATTTCTTTTAGGAGCAACCTCTCTACTC
Organism: Homo sapiens; assembly: GCF_000001405.40. Classification (NCBI taxonomy): domain Eukaryota; kingdom Metazoa; phylum Chordata; class Mammalia; order Primates; family Hominidae; genus Homo; species Homo sapiens. Next base: position 33,372,837 of record NC_000021.9, on the reverse strand, counting down.
CACCCACAAGGTGAGGCCTGGCCCCAGGGTTCCCCAAAAACAATCCTACCGCACCCGCGCACCTGGGCGGTGCCCTCTGGAGCCAGTCCAATGGTCTCCTTCAGCATTAAGTGAGGGCATGGGTGTCTTGCTACAGACCTGGGGGCTGCTGGCCTCTCTGCAGTGACAAATGCTACATCCCATGCTCATACCTTCCCAAGTAGAAGCAATCACTTTTAGTAGCAGAAAAATTGAAATACGTCTCTCAAAGTAACAAAGTCAAGTGTATGCACACTTTGGCCAGGCGCGGTGGCTCACGCCTGTAATCCCAGCACTTTGGGAGGCTGAGATGGGTGGATCACGAGGTCAGGAGATCGAGACCATCCTGGCTAACATGGTGAAACCCCGTCTCTATGAAAAAAATACAAAAAAAAATTAGTTGGGCGTGGTGGTGAGCGCCTGTGGTCCCAGCTACTTGGGAGGCTGACGCAGGAGAATGGCGTGAACCCGGGAAGAGGAGCTTGCAGTGAGCCGAGATTGCGCCACTGCACTCCAGCCTGGGCAACAGAGTGAGACTCCATCTCAAAAAAAAAAAAAAAAAAAAAAGAGTATGCACAATTTTAGGGGTTTCTGGTGATTTTCCAGAAGTGTGGACACAGATGTGTCTAAGGCATAGTCTCTCCACCTGGTCACTGTTGACGTTTTGGGCCAGATGATACTTGGGTGGGGAAAAAGGGACTGTTCTGTGCATGTACCCACTAGATGCCAGTAGCACCTACCCCCACCCTCCAGTTGTGACAACCGAAAATGTCTCCAGACAATGCGAAATTCCTCTGGGGGTAAAACTGCCACCACTGCTTTAATGCAATTAATTTGCAATCTCTCAGCTTCCATAAGTGCTTTTGCCTACAATTCATCTTCAGGGCCCACGTTTTGAGGTTCTTTTCCACCTTCCCTTCCACAATCACCCTTCCTTTACTTCATAAAGAAAAGCATGCTCCTCTCTCCCACCCTTGGACTCTCACTAGGATGACCTGGGTGTGAAAATCTCTGGGGCACAAGCTAAGAGACAACTCAGTTGAGAAACAGAATGATTCCAGTGACTGGGTGACAAGCCCTTTAAGAAGGCTGGCACTTATTAATATTTGCTTACAAAAATAATGTAAGTAGGAACTACTCAAATTGCCTGCTGACCAATCAATCATTGTACAAATTTTTGAAGGTTTTATTATGGGAAATTTTATATGTTCCTGAAATTAGAGAGAAGTATAATGAGCCACTCAGCTGAGTTCCCAACACTCAGCTTCGATTAGCAACATGAAAATCAGGATTTTAAACATTTATGATGACTGTTATGGTGACGAAGGGAAAACTTCCTCTTCACCCTCTGAGGTTTTGCTGAAAAATCAGTGGACAAAAGGCTGATAAAGGCTGGGCCTGGTGGCTCACACCTATAATCCCAGCACTTTGGGAGGCTGAGATGGGTGGATCGCTTGAACCCAGGAATTTGAGACCAGCCTGACCAACGTGGCGAAACCCTGTCTCTACTAAAAATAGAAAAACTAGACAGGTGTGGTGGGGCGTGCCTATAATCCCAGCTATTTGGGAGGCTGAGGCATGAGAATCACTTGAAATCACTTGAACCTGGGAAGTGGAAGCTGCAGTGAGCCGAGATCATGCCACTGCACTCCAGCCTGGGCAACAGAGTGAGACTCCATCTCAGAAAAAAAAAAAAAGGGCAGATTAAAAGGATAAAAGGCATTCAAATGTATTAACGTGCACACAGGAGAACCCCAGAGTGATGACCCCAACTCCCCAGTGGGGCTCAGTAGCTTCCATGCCTTCCTGAGTGTACAGACAGAATGGGGACTTGAATCATGGCAAAACAGGTATGGGAGGGGGAGAAGATGAGGTCTGGTTAGCAAAGGTGGTCTTGTTAGAAAGTTTACAGATAGCAGTGCTCAGAGAGAATAGGTGATGAATGCTTTTCGGACCTTTAAAGATGTCTGACTCTCAGTTAATCTTTCCTGGATAGGACAAGGGAGGGCCTGAGAGGAAGCCTGGTTGCATCCGTGCAGATTTTCTCGACAGATGCAAATCTCCCTGACAAAAGACAGCGTTTTAGTTGCTCTTGTATTTCTAGCCCTTCTGAATCACCATCTTGAACTATGTCAAGGAAATATATTTTGGGGTGAAATATTTTGGTTTTCTTCACTATGGAAAGTTTCAGACTTGTACAGAAATAGACTAGGGTTATGAACCTCTCTGTGCCTGTCACCTAGTATATTAGGTTTCTGTTGCTGTGCAACAAATTCCTACACACTTAGCAGCTTAGAACAATATTCATGGATTAGCTCACACCCTGTGGTCAGAAGTCCAGCATGGCTAGGCTCTCTGCTCAGCATATTGTAAGGTTGAAGTCAAGGTGTCGGCTGGGCTGTGTTCTCATCTGAAGGCTCTGTGGGGGAGAATTCTTGAAGTCTGCTCCTGTTGGCAGAATTCCATTCCTTGCGGCTGCAGGACCTAGGACCCTGTTTCCATGCTGACTGCCCACAGTGGCTGCCCCAGCTGCTACCAGCCACTTGCATCCCATGCACTGTGGCTCCCTCCACCTTAAAGCCATCAGCAGCCTGTTGAATCCCTGTGCTTTGAATTGCTGTCTGGGAGGAGCCAGAGAAAACTCTGCTTTTGGAGGGCTCATGTGATTTAGGTCAGGCCCACCAGAATACTCCTCTCCCCGGCTAGCGGTCAACTGTGCCAAAGAAGCTAGTTACAGGAGTAAAATCTATTGCCAGACAGTACTGGGGATGATACAGGGTGTTTATATCAGAGGTAGGGACCTTGGGGACCATCTTTGAATTCTACCTATCACACTCAGCTTTAAGAATTATCCATTCACGGCTAGTTTTGTTTCAACTTGTACAGGATGAGTTCCCTGGAAGCAGGCTCTGAGATCCAGGTTAGCTTGCAGGAAGTTGAATAGGGAGTGCTCCCAGGATCAAATCTGTGCAAGGGAGAGAAGGAAGCAGGGCTGGGAAGAGTGAGTTCTAGGGGATGGACCTGGGAGCTGACCCAGTGGGGCAAGCCCTGATGGAGAAGACACTGGATGTGGGCTGTCACAGACAAGGGCTCAGCACAGGCTGGTACTCCTCAGTGAGGTGCTTCTTGAAGATACTGACAGAGCCAGGCTGTCTCTTGGCAATGCTTCAGCAGGTGGGGGAATAAGGCCTTCCCTTGTGCACAGTGCATTACACCCATTGCACTGCCCTGCATTTCTGTACCTTTCCTCCAGTGTTCATTTGAAGTAAATTTCAAATATTATCTTACTTCATCTATAAACATTTCAGACGCATCTTATTTAAAGCACAAGATACCATAATATTATTAGCTGGCACAAAATAAGTTAGTAATTCATATTACAAAAATTGTGGGAGGTGCAGTGGCTCAGGCCTATTGTCCTGGCACATAATCACATAATGAGGTGAGGTCAGGTGTTCGAGACCAGCCTGGGCAACATAGGAAGCCCTCATCTATGTGACAAATGAAAACAAAAAAAATTTAGCTGGGCATGGTGGCTCATGCCTGTAATCCCAGCACTCTGGGAGGCTGAGGTGGGTGGATCACCTGAGGTCAGGAGTTCAAGACCAGCCTGGCCAACATGACAAAACTCTGTCTCTACTAAAAATACAAAATTAGACAGGTGTGGTGGTGTGCACCTGTAGTCCCAGCTACTCTGGAGGCTGAGGCAGGAGAATCCTTTGAGCCCGGGAGGTGAAGTTTGCAGTGAGCTGAAATTGCACCATTGCACTCCAGCCTGGGCAACAGAGCAAGACTCCGTATCCAAAAAAAAAAAAAAAAAATTGTTGGTGTTAAAAGTTTTAATTGTCTTGACACAGGATTTTTCTCTACCACTTTGCCAAGCAGGGACCTCCATGGCTGGGGACACACACCCCCACTCCCAACCTCACCTGGGCTTTGCTCAGCCCCAGGCCTGCTGCTGGAGACATCCTGACCACTCAGCCCCACCTGCATTATGGCTTGTACCCAGTTCCCAAGCTCTTGTCCAAGAAGAATGAGAAGAATGAGGATATGCTGACAATTCGAAGGCGGAGGATGGGCAGAGAAGAATTTTGTTGAGCAGAACAGCTCTCAGTGGAGAGTGGACGTGGGGGTGGTCCCTGATCCCCACAGTCAGGTGGTTTCTCTCTCCCAGTGTGGCTGAGTTTGGGGTCTTTATGGGCTCAGAATAGGGGAGTGCATGCTGATTGGTTTGTGAGTATGCAAAAAAGGCTAAAGCAAAGACACCACTGAAAGGTGGGCATGACAGTGTAGAGAACCAATTAGGAGGTATATATAAAACAGGTGAAGGGTGGGGCTCAATCAGAGGAAAGTGCACCAAATGGGAAGACAGGTTCTCAATCCAGTCCGTGGATGTGACCTGTAGCTTGACTTTCAGGCTTTAAACTGTTTTTGGCTTGGCAGTGGGGTTTCACCAGGGACCCGCTGTTATCTGCCTAGGCATTTGCCTGCCTCTTGCCACTATCAGTCTCATAAATGTAACTTCCTCTTTCTCTCTCATGTGCACACACACACACACACACAATTGAAAACAGATAAGCTTGGCTGGGTGTGGTGGCTCATGCCTGTAATCCAAACGCTTTGGGAGGCTGAAGTGGGAGAATCACCTGAGGTCAGGAGTTCAAGACCAGCCTGGCCAACATGGTGAAACCCCGTCTCTACTAAAATACAAAAATTAGCTGGGCATGGTGGTGGGTGCCTGTAATCCCAGCTACTTGGGAGGCTGAGGCAGGAGAATCGCTTGAATCCAGGAGGCAGAGATTGCAGTGAGCTGAGATTGTGCCACTGCACTCCAGCCTGGGCGACAGAGCGAAACTCTGTCTCAAAAAAGAAAAGAAGAGAAAAGAAAAGAAAAAAGAAAAGAAAAGAAAAGAAAAGAAAAGAAAAGAAAAGAGATAAGCTCTCCCTCTTTTTCCTTGCAATTGATTTGTTAATGAAACCAGCCCTTTTGTCATACAGACTTGCTCATAGTCTGGAATTTGCATCTGTACAGTATCATGTAACCTGTTTCTTTGTCCCCTGTATTTTCTATAAGTTGGCAATTCGATCTAAGGCCAGGTCAGGATGGTGTTAGAAACAAGCACTCAGTGCTGCAAAGAAAAACCAGCACTTAGACAGAAAATTTCTCAGCAAGGCACATTTACTTCTGCAGAAGAGTGCTGCCTGTGTCCATCTGCTTGCAAGAGCACACCGAACAAAGGAGAGAAGGGTTTTTACCCCGCATGCAGCTTCTGTTCCTGTGTCCTTTCCCCATTGGTTGGAGTTGGACCGCACAATCTAAACTAACCCAACTGGATAAGACTTAAACTTTCTCTAAATATGGCAAACGTGCAGTTAAGAGAAGGATGGGGTAGGAGTAGTTTGTCTGTTAGAGTACAAGGCATGTCTGAACATGTCTGGGCATGTCAGGGCACAATCAGAGCGGAAGAGTTGTTTGCAGGCTAGAAATGAGAGTACAAGGAGGTTGGGCTTCTGAACAAAGAGCAAGAACTTTACACAATTAAACCCTTTGAAGAGGAATTTATCATTCCTAACAATGGGTTTTTTCAAGACTACTCCTGATCTGTCCATCAGGAGATGTATAATGTTTGGCAGTTTCTGTTTTTATAATGTTAGCTGCTGGGTTTTTTCTTTTCTTTTCTTTTTCTTTTTGTTTGAGACAGGGTCTCAATCTGTCACTCAGGCTGGAATGCAGTTGCTTGATCTTGGCTCATTGCAACATGCACCTCCTGGGCTCAAGTGATTCTCCTACCTCAGCCTCCTGAGTAGCTGGGACTCAGGTGTGCACCACCACGCCCAGCTACTTTTTTGTATTTTTTGTAGAGAGGGTTTTTACCATGTTGCCCAGTCTGGTCTCAAACTCCTGGGCTCAAACGATCCACCTGCCTCGGCCTCCCAAAGTGTTGAGATTACAGGAGTGAGCCACCACGCCCAGTCAATGTTAGCTGCTGTTGATTGTAAACTGAAAAGTATCTGAGACAGGTCTCAATTGAGAAGTTTACTTTGCCAAGGTTAAGGACAATGCCCAGGAGACAGGTCTGTGCCTTTCTCCAAAGATGATTTTGAGGGCTTCAATATAAGGGAAAAAACAGGCTGGTATGGAAAGAAGGAGGGTATGGTCACATTATCGAATCCACAAGTTGCAAGAGAAAAGGAGCAGGTAGGGGAATAGTCAATTTCAATTATGTATTCCTTGTATGCTCAGAAAATCAGCACTTTACAGAAGATAAGGTGAACACAGAGTAGGTTAAATATCCCCCCCAAGACACTTACCTTTACCTCTAGCTCTCTGCTTAGGAACAAAAGGAAAGGCAGCTTCTTGCATGACTCAGCTTTCAGCTTAGTTTTTTTCTTTTGGCAGAGTGAATTGGAGTCCCGAGTTTTTATTTTCCTTTCATATCATGCTCAGCAACTAGATAGAGATAATTTTTGATAAATGTTCACTAAATAGCTTTTGACCTATAAATCAGAAAGAATCCAAAGACTCGAGTGGAGGTGACACTTTGGGATTCCTTCCAAGCCCATCACAAAGCCTCACCCCAAAACATGGAAAACAGGAGCAGCAGAGGCACTAGGTCCTGTCTCCATGTGGCAAGAAGGCATGTTCATCTGTGACACCTGCAGGCATTGAAGGAAGAGGGAAGAAGCTCCATCCAGTTAATTAAGAGATGTATTTCCAGGCAGGGTGTGGTGGATCATGCCTGTAATCCCAGCACTTTGGGAGGCTGAGGCAGGCAGATCACTTGAGGCCAGGAGTTCAAGACCAGCCTGGCCAATATGGTGAAACCCTGTCTCTACTAAAAATCCAAAAAATTAGCCAGGCATGGTGGCATGCACTTGTAATCCCACTTGCTCGAGAGGCTGAGGCAGGAGAATCGCATGAACCCAGGAGGCAGAGGTTGCAGCAAGCTGAGATAGCACCACTGCACTCCAGCCCTGGGTGACAGAGCGAGACTCTGTCTCAAAATAAATAAATAAGTAAATAAATAAAAGAGATGCATTTCCAGTGAAATTGGACTTTTTATGCTGAAAAATTATTTATCAAAGGTTATGAAATATTTGATCAACTGTATACTAATAATTGCAATAATAATCCAGAAAAGCTATTTTTCTTTCTTTCTTTTTTTTTTTGAGATGGAGTCTCACTCTGTCCCCCAGGCTAGAGTGCAGTGGCTTGATCTTGGCTCACTGCAACCTCTGTCACCAGGGTTCAAGTGATTCTTCTGCCTCAGCCTCCTGAGTAGCTGGGATTACAGGCTCCTGCCACCGTGCCCAGCTAATTTTTGTATTTTTAGTAGAGACGGGGTTTCACCATTTGGCCAGGCTGGTCTTGAACTACTGACCTCGTGATCCACCCACCTCGGCCTCCCAAAGTGCTGGGATTACAAGCATGAGCCACCGCACCCAACCAGATTTTTTTCTTTTTAACATTCAGAGACTATGATCATATAAAAAGAAATATATCAATTTATATACTTTTTTGTTGCAAAGATATACGATAGATGATCAATAAATCTACTGCATGAAGATGAACTTTTGTGGGAATAAGAATATGAATTCAAGGAGGAAAGGAAATGGTGTAAAGTTTCAGAACCCATAAAGAACAGTTTCTGGAGTTTCTTTTTAAAAAAATTTTTAAAAAAATATTTCTGAGACAGGGTCTTGCTCTGTTGCCCAGGCTGGAGTGCAGTGGCACAATGTTGGCTCACTATACCTTGACCTCCAGGGCTCAAGAGATCCTCCTACCTCAGCTTCCCAAGTAGCTAGAATTGCAGGCACACACCACCACACCTGGCTAATTCTGTTCATTTTTTTGTAGAGACAAGGTCGTCTCACTATGTTGTCCAGGATGGTTTTGAACTCTTGGACTCAAACAATCCTCTCGCCTCGGCCTCCCAAAGTGCTGGGATTACAGGAGTGAGCCGCCATGTCTGGCCGAGTTTCTGTAATTTCAAAGTAGACAATGATGGGTATCAAATTGCTTTGATAGGAGATTCCATTGAATGCATTTATAAGAGCGATAAAGCAAGTTTATTTTAAAATGTGAATATTTACAACTTACTGTAAAGTATTTCTTTTGCAACTATTTAAACGTGTCAGGAAATATTTTAGATGTTAATTAAAACATGAAGAAATAAATGGATTTATAAAATTCTCTTGGGGGTAAACAAGCAGAAATTAAGACATGAAATGTTTAAAGTTTACCTCCATCCAATCTCCCTGCCCTACTTCTCAGTCTAAACCTTGGTGTTCACATTTCTTCACTGATGTAGAGCAATGAGGAAGTACTTGCCTTATGTTGACATCAACACAAGCCTACGTGATGAACTGCACACTCACGACAGAGTCTCACTTTGTTGCCCAGGCTGGAGTGCAGTGGTGCACTCCCGGCTCACTGCAACCTCTGCCTCCCGGGTTCGAGTGATTCTCCTGCCTCAGCCTCCCGAGTACCTGGGATTATAGGTGTGTGCCACCATGCCCCGCTAATTTTTGTACTTTTAGTAGAGATGGGGTTTCATCATGTTGGCCAGGCTGATCTCAAACTCCTGGCCTCAAGTGATTCACCCACCTCAGCCTCCCAAATTGCTGGGATTACAAGCGTGAGCCGCCAAGCCCAGTCTGCACACTCACTTTGAAAAAGGATTTGTATAGCTTGTAATAAGACGTTACTATACTTGTATTCTGGGCAGATAAAATAATGGCAGAGAGCAGACTTCCTTTAGAAAAAGGAGGAAATAATGTATCAGAAACCAAGGATGAATCACTTACTGTTAAGTCTGCCCTAATTAAAAATAAATAAGTAAAATAGTGACCTTTTTAAAGCTGGGTGTGGTGGTGCACACCTATAGTCCCAGCTACTCCAGATGCTGAGGCGGAAGGATCGCTTGAGATAGAAGTTTGAGGCCAGTCTGGACAACAGAGTGAAACCCTGTCTCTTAAAAAAAAAAAAATTACTATCTTAACCATTTTACACATACAATTCAGTAGTATTACCTATTTTCAGAACTTTTTCATCTTGAAAAACTGAAGCTTTATAGCCACTGAACAACTCTCCATTTTCCCCTTCCTTGAGCCGCCAGCAATCATCGGTCTAATTTCTGTCTCTAGAAATTAGATTGCTTTAGAAACCTCATGTAAGTAGAATCACATGGTATTTATATTTTTGTTGCTGGCCTATTTCACATAGCATACATAATGTCCTCAAGCTTCACCTATGTTGTAGCACATGACAGAATTTCCTTTTTTTTTTTTTTTTTTTTTTTTGAGACGGAGTCTCACTTTGTCGCCCAGGCTGGAGTGCAGTGGTGCGATCTCGGCTCACTGCAAGCTCCGCCTCCCGGGTTCACGCCATTCTCCTGCCTCAGCCTCCCGAGTAGCTGGGACTACAGGCACCCTCCACCACGCCCGGCTAATTTTTTGTATTTTTAGTAGAGACGGGGTTTCACCGTGTTAGCCAGGATGGTCTCGATCTCCTGACCTCGTGATCTGCCCGCCTCGGCCTCCCAAAGTCCTGGGATTACAGGCGTGAGCCACCACGCCCGGCCTCAGAATTTCCTTCTTTTTAAAGGCTGAATAATATTCCGTGGCATGTGAACACCACATTTTATCTGCTAATCTATCAAAGCAAATATTTTGCAAATAATTTTTCCAATTCCAAAGGTTGTCTTTTCCATTGATTATTTCCTTTTATATGCAGAAGTTTTTAAGTTTGATGTAGTCCCATTTGTCTACTTTTGTTTTTGTTGTCTGTGCTTTTGGTGTCATAGCCAATAAATCATTGCCAAGTCCAATATCATGAAGATTTCCCCTATGTTTTTGAGGGGAAAAATCTCAAACCGTTTTTCCTCTGCTCTCATGCCACAACAATAAACACAGAAGACTTCTGTGACCAAATGCGTAGTGATTTCTCCCCATTAACAAGAAGGCAATCAATTCTGCAGCAGACACTGGTTGGGTATCCTCCTATTTAATTCTGACACTGTCTACCTGGAGATAGCATCAGATCCTGATACAACACCTAAACAAAATTTATTTAGGCAGTTAGTGAGGATAAAAGAGTCCTCAGTAAGGTTTGCCTTTTAATAAAAAGAAGCCCCAAATCATTTCTTTTCTAACAAAAAGAGCCTGAAAACTCAAGCTGCAAACATAGATAAGCAAACTGGAAGCTTGCATAGGCGAATGCCAGCAGCTGTGCCAATAGGAAAGGGATACTTGGAAGTCAGGTATATTCAATATTGAAGTTCCCTTTTCCCTTTTCTTTGTTGCCACGTGTGCAGTAAAAAAGCAGGCAACAAGGCCTGGGCTAGGTAGAGGTGCCATTTGCATAATAACAGATGAGGGTGGGATGGCCAGCCTCTTCCTGTGCTATGTAAATGGAACACCTGGTCCAACCAATCCTCTGTGCCCTACGTAAATAAGACACCGCTTCCTCAAGCTCATCTATAAAAGCAACCGCATCTCGCTGTAAACCCGGAAACCTGTTCGGGACTCCTTCCTCTGCACAGGGAAGGTCTCTTCTTTCTTTTGCCTGCTAAACTTCCGCTCTTGAACCCACTCCTTTTGTGTCCCCATCCTCGATTTCCTTGGCGTGGGGCAACAAACCACACGTATTACCCCAGACAACCATGCTGCTTCAATCTCACAGGTTGAGAGCTCATTCCCACAAGACTGCCCCCTTATTTCCGATGCCAATTGCAAGCCCCAGGTTTTACCTGTTATGACTGAATGACTATAAATTGAGGGTCCCATGGCCCCCTCCTTGTGTTCAACTGATTTGCTAGATTGCCTAACAGAACTAGAGGAAACACTAACTTATGTTTACCGGTTTATTATGAAGGCTATTACAAAGGATACAGATGAAGAGATACATAGGATAAGGTATGTGAGAAGGACTGCAGAGATTCTATGCCCTTCCCAGCAGCCTCTGCATGTTCAGCTATCAGGAAGCTCTCTACTAAAAATAGAAAAATTAGTTGGGCGTGGTGGCAGGCGCCTGTAATCCCAGCTATTCAGCAGGCTGAGGCAGGAGAATTGCTTGAACCTGGGAGGTGAAAGTTGGAGTGAGCCGAGATCGCCCCACCGCACTCCAGCCTGGGCGACAAGAGCAAAACTCTGTCTCAAAAAAAAAAAAAAAAAAAAAAAAAAAGGAAGTAGTGACACGAAACACTGTCTCCACACTCCACCCTTATAACCTCCAGCTGGCACCCTGAATGGTCTGGCCTCTCCCTGGGGGCGGATAGGGCAGGAGACACTAAAGTATTAATTATCTTTTTTGATCATGGCTGTAACTGTTCTGCGCCATCTTCAACAGGTGAGACTAAGGAGGGAATCACAGCTAGTCATCTCAGCCAGGCCAGTAGGGGGCGCAGTGCAGTGATCATTCCCTGGGGCCAAGGCTGTCTCCTTGCAGGTTCATCTCAGCTCTGCAGCAATGCCTACTTCTTTCCATCCGCTCCGAGGCTGTTACTAAGTATGTGGAGCTCCTTTTCAACAACTCGCTTACTACAAAGTCCTGCTCATTAAAAGGCGAAGGTGGTAGTGGTAGAGGACTAGATGGGCTAAGTATTTGCTCAACTGCTCTATCTTGCTTTGTAACTACCAAACCATTTCTGGGTGAGATCATGGGGACACCAGATTCTTCACATCCTTTCCTCATTTGCTCAAGACGAGATAATCACAAACAGAACTTTAAGAAACCACCTGTATAAACATACTTGGCGTATCTTCTGGGAATGGAATTATTGAATAGTAACCGATTGTCAGCCTGAACAGGGTGACTTGTTGCCCTCCAGTGGTAAATTCAATCAGTGTTTGTACCGTCAACGTCCCCGCTCAATCACCGTTAAACACTTAGGCAACCAAGTGTCAGCCACAAAGTTAAAAAACAGTCCTTGTTTTCATGGAGCTTGCCAAATAAATATAAGCAAATGGTATAAAATCCCTTCCCTAGGGAGCATGCTAGACACACCCGCAGGTACAGACACAGATGGGGCATGATGACTTCTCCACGTGTATGCAGTGGAGTTCTTTTAGGGAGATTTCAGAGTGGATGATGTACTTTTATACTACAACATTTAGAATAATCTCTCTAAGTACAATTCCAGAATATTAAAAGTATTATAAAATTTGGGAATAGACAACAGAGTCAAGTACACAAAAAGCCTATTATATATTTAAGGACTATGTTTAGAAAAAAGGGTCCTTTTACTGGAAAGATAGGAAAATAGGTTTTTCTTCTTAACTTTGATGTATCCAGAAAATCTGGGAGGGAGGCTCAAGGGTGGTGAGTCACTGTGAGACGTAATGTTTAATTTAATCCAGCTATTGAGTGATAAAATTTTTCAACTTCCTCCCTTTTCTCAAGACCTTAAAAAAAAAAAAAAACAACAGAACATCTTCTCTGCCAACATTTTTTTTCTTTTGAGATGGAGTCTCGCTCTGTCGCCCAGCCTGGAGTGCAGTGGTGCGATCTTAGCTCACTGTAACCTCCGCCTCCCGGGTTCAATCGATTCTCCTGCCTCAGCCTCCCCAGTAGCTGGGATTACAGGCACATGCCACCATGCTTGGCTAATTTTTGTATTTTTAGTAGAGACGGGGTTTCACCATGTTGGCCAGGCTGGAACTGCCAACATTTTCTTCATCCTAATCATTAATCACTTCTTCACCCACAAAATGTCCTTTGCTAGAACATGAGTTCCAAGTGGAGACAGATCACAGAAAGGGGAGGAAAACTCAGAAATCCTTTGTTATGAGAACTATCGAATTCTCCTCTTGCCTTTGTTCCCCTCAGGTAAAGAAAAAGATTGCTATTTTTCCATCAATATCATACCACAAATATCCACCTATATTTATGTTGCCCTCAAGAGTTGTAATTCTATTATCATCCTACTCAAGAAAAAAGGTAGTGAGAAACAACTGGAAGTTACTGGTATTTTGTTATTACTAAGTACCAGGGCATTTCTTGGGCATTAGGGATGATTTATTTATTATTTGTGTCCTTGTCCACTGTAAAAAAGGGAAGCTTAAAAACACAAGTGTGTGTTCAGGTTCCCAGCCTGAATACAAATTGTATTCAATTTCCGAGTGAAATGTGTCCAGACAGCAGGAGAGATCTACTTATCTGTGAGACTGAAGAGCCTCCTTGGAACGAACTAATCCTGAAAGAAGAACTACTTGTGAAGGGCAAACAGTTTAGTTCAAGAAAGCAAGGCTATGCAATACCACAGCAAACTTCATTCAATGAAGACTGAGCTCCAGCCATGTCTTAAGAGCGGGAAGAAAAAGCAGCAAACAGGCTCTATCTCCACAGGCTCTGGGGACAGTGACGGCTGCAGTGGCTCCTTCAGGATGCTCAACCCTGGGCTCTGGAACACCAAGCACAGGCCTCAGCTCTTCCATGATGAATACCTTTTAAAGGCATCAGCTGCAGCATCTCTGTTGCATACAAATTCACTAAGTACAAAAAAACTCCTAGACTTTTGGGCCCATTGCTTATTACATAAAATTGTTTCCAGCAGTAGGGTTTAAGACAAAACACAAGTGAAATAAAATGTACAAGTTTGTTCCATAGAAACACTGAAAACACGGTTATGTCCTTCTACAATTCAGTAAAACAAACACTGCCACAAACACCCTCAGGTTCACAGTTTAGATTTCATTCATTCAATAATTATTTTCTAAGTACTTTCATTACTGGGGATGCAGTAATGAATAATAAGGTCCCTGTTTTCTTGGAGCCTCTGTTCCAGCAGTGGGGCAGGGGAGACAGACAGCAAACAAAATAAATCAATATACCACGTTAGTAGTCACATGGTTACTGGGTAGGGAAAGGAAAGCTTCTGCACACCTAAACCCCTTAAGAGCAATTTGAGGCTGCTGCAAATATCACGGCCTCTTTTAGGGGAAGATAAAAACTCTAAGTTTTATATATATATATATAAATAGAGATGGGGTCTGGCCATGTTACCCAGGTTGGTTGATCTTGAACTCCTGGCCTGAAGTGATCCTCCTGTCTTGGCCTCCCAAAAGTGCTGAGATTATAGGCATGAGCCACTGTGCCTAGCCCTAACTTATATTTTTAAAAGTAACTTTTTTATAAGTTGCAAATTTCTAGTCAGACTCTTAAAAGTTCACAATTCTAGGGAGCTGTTCTAATTTTTAGTTACAAGGTATATGAATAAGTACTTTAAGTCCATACTAAAGGAATAAGACCTACATCAGGTGGGTACATGTGCAGGTACATATATGAATATATGTTTACAGGCTCATGTCAGAAGTGACACAGGTACATATTATATATAATGTTAATCTGTATTATATATTAATATAAAATTATTTCTGGCTCTAATGATACAAATCTTTCATATAAATTCTTAGATTATATCTGGTCTCTCTAAGAACTATCAATATGCTAATTTTCAGGCGGTTAATTGGTACCCCCAAGTGCATGGTATTTCTAAGTAAACTTCTGTTCAGAAAAAATACTTGTCACTTACAGCTAAGCATATACTGATAAAGCAACATGTAGAACATAATGCAGAGTGGAATGCAACTGCCTTTTCATGTCTAGAAGACAAGGTAAAAACGAGGTGTTTTTTTGTTGTTGTTTTCTGCTGCTGGTGCTCAGCGCTTGTTCACTGAAAACCACAGATGGTCTTAAAGCGTGAAGCCTTGTGCTCCAACTTCCTAGAGACCTAACAATTTCACTGGTGTCTTTTAATGTTAATGTCCGTATTTTCCCTTCTCCACATCCTACAAGGGCATTGCTCCTTTTTAGGCTATCCAGTCTGAAGTACGTTTTCCCAGTGGTGAACACAGGGCCAGAAGTCCTGGACAGCATGATTGAGTTGTGGTAGTCTGAAAAGCAATGGTGGCAGGCAGTCATGATATGCTCCCATCGCCTCTTCAAAGACGCAAACGTCCAAAGTGACAAGGCTTTTCCAAAGGTCAGGCCGGCCGTGCACGGTGGCTCACACCTGTAATCCCAGAACTTTGGGAGGCCGAAGCGGGTGGAGCATGAGGTCAGGAGTCCAAGACCAGCCTGACCAACATGGTGAAACCCCATCTCTACTAAAAATACAAATACAAAAATTAGTGGGGTGTGGTGGTGGGCACCTGTTATCCCAGCTACTCTGGAGGCTGCGGCAGAGAATTGCTTGAACCCGGGAGGCGAGGTTGCAGTGAGCCGAGATCAAGCCACTGCACTCCAGCCTGGGCAACAGAATGAGACTGTCTCAAAAAAAAAAAAAAACAGCCTCTGGTCAGAAAGATGAAAATGTGTCACCATGGGGTTCTCCGGCAGAGAGTGGGTTCTCAGATGAGATTCCTGGGTCTCCTCAATGACCCACCATGCTCTGCTTGAAGCACTCCAGAAGCCAGGCGGCAGGTCTGGGGACATGCACGGTGTGGCCTGCAGACACGTGTATGTGCCAGGCAGGATGTGCCGAGCATCACAGCCCTCCCGAGGGCAGCTGCCTTCAACCTTTTCTTCCACCAGGATCATCTGTTTTTTCAGCAGAAATGACTACTTAAACCAGACTGGCCTTAGAAATGGCCGCTCCCCAGCACGTTCTAACTTTGTCTCTTTTCTTTCACTGGTCCCTGTCGGAACGGTGCTGTGAGAACACTGCCCTAGAGGCCACCAGAATTCCCAGACTTCCTGCCTATTAAGGATATCCATGGGTAATCCCCAGTAGCAAGTAATTTAAAACTAAGTTGTAGGTGCCTTTGGAAAGCATTATGTAATTTCTTAAATTGGGTTTTTCTTCCTAGTTACATTTTTCCCCCTCAGTTCAATGATTTGTATTTTAACGCCAAGCAGGCTGAGCAGAAGGGGTATCTGAATACTGCTAGACGAGAAGCCAGCCTGGCATTCAAAGTGACAGAGACCACCCATAACAAGAGTGGGTTGATCACTGAGAGCTGATTAGGTGCTCAGGCTTCCAGTGGAACATTCTTCTTCCTCTTGCACCAAAGCCAGCGACCTTTTTCCTAGGGAAGCATTCTTCTTCTATGTCAGTCTCCTATCATTGCCATTTTCTGGTCCCAAGACTTCTTGCATACACTATCTTCTGGCATGGCATGTATACTAAAACTTGTACACACTCTCAGATCTTAAAATACAACAATTATTTCTCTAATTAGATAGTTACCTATTTTCTATGACTTCAGTGATTGCAAATTCCAGCAGAAGCTACTGTTCTAATAAGTTTTGAATCAGAGGTCTTAATGCATAGTAAAAGATTGCCTGGCTTTAATCCTAAACCATGTAAGGGTAGATACTGTGATGTGGAAGCCAATGTTCTCGGGATGAATGAACAGAAGTCCCTCAACATTTTTAGGGATCATCTTTCTGGCATTTGCAGCTGTTTTCTAGGGTAAGCTACTTTCCAGAAAACCAAGTGATAACGTGTTCAGACTTTCCTAAATAAATTTCCTAAGGGCCTACCCTCAGTGTTAAAAGAAAAGACCAAATGTTTGAAATATCTCCCGAGGAAGAATGAAACAGAATGTTAGGAATGGCGAACAGACAGGTGTGGCACATGCAGTAGCCAGCAGCATCAGTGATGGACAGGAACACAGACGTCATCCTTAGCCACGGTGCGCAGCTAGCACGGCTGCACTTAGGCTCACAGGAGGAAGACGGGTGGCCACTGTTTTGGTCTGACTCATCTCATCCAATGCAAGTCCGGTGACAGGCTTTTTCATGATTTTACACATGGAAAAGAATGTAGGAAACGTTTGTCTCAACTCTTTTAATTTCTTTTTTTAAAGAGTCTCACGCTGTCACCAGGCTGGAGTGCAGTGGCGTGATCTCGGCTCACTGCAACCTCCACCTCCTGTTTTCAAGCGATTCTCCTGCCTCAGCCTCCTGAGTAGCTAAGACAACAGGCGCGCGCCACCACACCCGGCTAATTTTTGTATTTTTAGTAGAGATGGGGTTTCACCACGTTGGCCAGGCTGGTCTCGATCTCTTGACCTCATGATCTGCCTGCCTCAGCCTCCCAAAGTGCTGGGATTACAGGTGTGAGCCACCGTGCCCGGGCCTGTAATTTCATTTTTAAATAGTTAAGAGCTTGCCCGTATTTTTAGGACCTATGATCTGAAGATGTTTTTTCTTTCCCTAAACAGGGAAACGTCCTCTCTGTAGTTACTGAGAGGAAGGTGAGGACCTCAGGCTCCCAGTGTAACTCCTGCTGAAAAACCTTATACTTGACACAGTTCATTTCTGGTCATACAAAGTCCTGCTGTAGTTCTTCACTTGTTTTACTTTCGCTTTCATCTTCATTAGAATAATTTCCTGAATCTTGGCTAGTTTGGGAACTGTATTTTTTATGATCTTCATCAGTTTGATTAGTTTCTTCTACTGTAGCAATTGTGCTTATATTTTCAATTATGAAACATTTTTCGATTTGTTCCTCAGAAGTTGAAAGCAGAAGATTCTTCAATGGCTGTTCAGAGAAATACTAATTTAAAAAAAGGGAAAGAGTAGAAATCAATTATTTAAAATAATAAAAATTCCTTTTCTAGTTGTAATAGCTTTAGTTTCTTACATCCATTACTGAGAAAACCTATCTTCTGGCATGCATATTAAAAAGTCGCCTAAGAACATACTAATTGCCTTATAATGTTTAAAAGCATCATTAGTGAGGTCACTCATATCTTAGTACCTTCTGTGGTGAGTCTTTGAAGAGTACCTAAGAAAGGTACACTGTGCCATCGGGGTAGGCGGGGAAGAACACGGGAAAGGACAGGAGCGGGCGGACTCTGGGATCATGACTTTTTTTTTTTGAAATAATAAAAATGTTTGTATCCAACACATATATATCCAGAAGAAGCACAATTGAGAAATTATTGGCTATTGTAACTAGTTTTTAAGTCTATTTTAAATAATAGCTATGAATATTACAGTACACAGGAATGACATTTAAAAACTCAGGGGTATAATAGTAAAATTGTTAATATTTACGGAGCATTTTTAGAGTGGTAAGGTTCTTATGGTTTAACTCCTTTGCTCCTAACACCTCTATGGGGTGGTTTACAGCCAAGGGTACTTGCTTACCTGCCCTTAGTGACTTGCTCAAATTCACAAAACCCACCCTAGATGAGCACATGGTTTCCCAGGAACAGATTCTATGTTTAGGCCTTCACCATTCAGTGCTTTCATTTAATATGCTAGCTTCATAGAAGTGCCAAACAAAAAACTGTGATGTGTGTCATAAAAAAAGTCTCATGTTTTTAGTTATTTCATTTTGTATGATTTCATCCATAGAATATACTTTCTACGCTGATAGAATATTTTAGTCTTCTGGATATATACAGATGCTCCTAACTTACAATGGAATTACGTTCTGACAAACGCATCACAAATTGAAACAGCGTAAGTTTGGGACTGTCTGTACTGAGAAGAATCACATTACAGACTTTATTTACTTATTTAGAGACAGAGTCTTGCTCTGTCACCCAGGCTGGAGTGCAGTGGCATGACCTCGGCTCACTGCAACCTCCACCTCCCAGGTTCAAGCGATCCCCCTGCCTCAGCCTCCCGAGTAGCTGGGATTACAGGCATGTGCCACCACGCCCGGCTAATTTTATATTTTTAGTAGAGACAGGGTTTCTCCATGTTGACCAGGCTGGTCTCGAACTCCTGACCTCAAGTGACCCACCCGCCTCAGCCTCCCAAAGTGCTGGGATTACAGGCGTGAGCCACCACGCTTGGCCAAGAATCACAGGCTTTAAACGGTAAAACAAATGCCACAGTGAATCTAGGAATTGCCAGAAAAATATGAAATTAAGGACAATCATTACTATCTCATGCTATGTTATTACATGAAATTACTGTTTTTAAAGTTAATTGACTAAAGCTTTGAAGAAGATACCCAAATCAGTCTCTATTATTTTCTGGATATCAAGAAAACCTACATATATCCTGTTGAAATCAAACACATTTTCTGTTCATTACCTAGCTGTTGACAAAAAAATAAAAAAAGTAACATACCTCATCTATACTGGAAGAAGGTTTAAGTGATGGAAAGAAGACATAATTGATGCATCTCAAGAAGACTTTCGCAGCATAAATGACAAACGGGAGAGCAAATAATGCAATACAAATTCCAACTATAAGCCAAATTTTAGAGGTATTTCCTAAAAAGATATACGTGATATTTAGCATATATTTTGACATACAAATGCCTTAACAGTGCTGACAGCTGTGTGAAAGACTAGCCATATGAAAGGAAATATAAAATCTATTAAATAATACTCTTAAAAATATTTCTGGCAGCACTGAGTCCACAGCAACCATAGGCAATGACATTTACATTTAAAGATTGGCGTGGGAACTGAAGTAAGAGATCCTCAGGGAGAAATACAATATTGACATACAGGCCAAACATGCAAGTATCCTTCAGCACTTTTACACCATACAACTAGCAAAATTTAATAGATATTCTGTGACTAAGCCTCTACCGGTCAACACTAGAAACTGTAAAATAGAAAATGAGACTAAACCAATTCCCACATTAAAAAACTCACAATTGAACTAAGTGATTTCTACATGATAATTATGTTAAGGATTATATTCTAAAAATTTAAAATAGTTTTATTAAATGTTAAAGAGAAATACATTAAGGAAATTAATTATAGGGATACTGGATGAAATATAAAGCATCCAACAACACCGACTTGAGAGTTAAGCGTTACAAATATTTTCTAAAAAGTCTACTTTTGATTCATGTAGTTCATGAAGAAAACATTCTTTCTATATATTTTTTGCAGTAAAGAGAAAATGTTTTACAATTTTCAATGTACAGTATAGAATTACTTTTATTATGTCTAGCTACATTTTTAAAAAAGACAATAAAAGATTCTGACCTGGTTTTGTTTTCTCACATACAGCGTCACTAAAAACACTGCTTTTATTCAGCTTTTCATCCATGGTGTGTGCTCTGGCTTTCACACAATATACAGTCAGTGGTTTCAAATTAGGAACTGTAACATCAGTTTTTTTCTCGATAATTTTTCTCTAGAAAATATAATTAAATCACTGATAAAATTTAGTCACCTCAAGAAATCAGGGAATATGTGCTTTCTCAATTTTTTATGTTCAGTCTAACATTGGCCTCTCCCACGTAGTTGGTATGTATTTTTTGTTTTGTTTTGTTTTGTTTTGTTTTTTTTGTGAGACAGTCTCGCTCTGTCACCCAGGCTAGAGTGCAGTGGTGCAATCTGGGCTCACTGCAATCTCTGCCTCCTGGGTTCAAGCGATTCTCCTGCCTCACCCTCCTGAGTAGTTGGGATTACAGATGCAGATGCCACCACGCCTAATTTTTTTTTCTTTTTGGTAGAGATGGGGTTTCACCATGTTGTTCAGGCTGGTCTTGAACTCCTGGCCTCAAGTGATCCACCCACCTTGGCCTCCCAAAGTGCTGGGATTACAGAGTATATGTGTGAGAAATATAAATTTGTTTTAGATACACCACTATAACCAAATCAGAAAGTTAAAAATGCTGCTGCCAAAAAAGCATATGATCTATTCCTAAGAGAATTCTAATTGATTTACAAGTACATGCCAAGTCTGGGGTAATTGCCATTGTATTACCTCTGATTAGTGACAGAATGGTTAAGAGTAGGGGTTTTGGCCTCAAACTGCCTTATTAAGAGTATCACTTACAGCTGTGTGGTCTTGCAAGCATTATTTAATTTCTCTCTACCTGATTCCCTGATCTATAAAATCGGGACAGTTATTGCTGCTATCTGTATCAGTCAGCTATCGCCAGAATAATGTCTAACAAGCCGGTGGGTCACACCTGTAATCCCAGCACTTTGGGAGGCCAAGCAGGAGGATCACTGGAGCCCAGGAGTTCAAGACGAGCCTGGGCAACATAGCTAGACTCTGTCTGTACAAGAAATTTCAAAAAAATTGGCCAGGCATGGTGGTGTGAGCCTGTAGTCTCTGTTACTTGGGAGGCTGAGGAAATCCCTATTTCCAAAACAACCACCACCACCACCACCAAAAAAGCCTGGGCAACGTGGTGAAACTCCATCTTTAGCAAAAATACAAAAAATTAGCTAGGCATGGTGGCATGTGCCTGTAGTCCCAGCTACTTGGGAAGCTGAGGTGGGAGGATCACTTAAGCCCAGGAAGTCGAGGCTGCAGTGAGCTGACATCACATGAGTGCACTCCAGCCTGGGAAAAAGAATGAGAACCTGTCTCAAAAAAAAAAAAAATAAAATAAAATAAAATAAAAAAATATAGATAACAAAACTGCCTTAACGTTCAGTGGCTCACAAAACGATTATGTAGTTTCTCACTCACAAGTCTACAGACTGGCTGGGCAGCTCCCACGGAGGCTGTGCATGGGGTTTAGGTCAGCTCCAGCAGCCTCTAATCCTCCTTGGACCAGAGACTATGTGGAATACATTTTATTCCTGGCAAATAGGAGCAGTGCAAGAGCCAAGCCAAACCCTGCAAGCACACTTAAGGCCTCTGTTCTCAGCACATCTACTTGGGCTCCAGCATCTACGGTCTGGTGGTGCAGGGAAGAAGTCACCGTCCCAAGTATTTGCCAAACAGCAATGTAACCAATCACATAATCCGGCAGGGTTGTTTTGAAGAATGACTGAGACAATTCATGTACAATACTTAGCATAGTACCTTACATATAAGTATTCAATAAGAGTTTCTATAGTAACAATTATTGATATATTATCCAGTATAGGTTAAGATGGCAACTACAATTTATTGAATCTCTACTACTTGTCCAGCAATGTGCTAGGTATTTTCATATTTGTTACTTCCTTTTAAACCTTATAAACATCCTTTTGAAAAATTTAGTTGTTATGATTACCACCACTTCAGAGAAGAGGAAGCAAAGTCTCCAAGAGGTAAAGCACCCTGCGTACGTAAGGTTACACAGTTTAGCAGTGAGATAGAAATTTAGGTTTGTCTGATCTACAGACATCTGAAAACCGACCATAATTCTCAATGGGCTACATTAAGCTATGGTTACAGGGTTGTCAGACAATTAAAAAGGGAAGCAGCCAAATCAATGGAATTTGCTTAGATTTCCAATAGAAAATGAGGTGAAGTTAAAGAATTTACCAGCCTGACTGGACAGGAGTTTTAAAGGTCGATTCTTGACTACAAGTCCACGAGGGGGAAGTGATCTGGGAAACACGTATATTATCTGACGGTATATATTATCTTTGTCAGTGGTATCTGAATTTTAGGGTTTAGACCAGTGTTTGTCAACCCTTTTTTCATTACCTCCCCAACTAAACAACTTTTTGGGCAATTTTTTCCTAATCCTTCCCCCATCATAAAATTAAATACTAAGGAATAAGATTTTGTTGGGCAAAGCTGAACTTTGGAAGAATGCTTTCCAATGGTTTTGGAGGAAAACAAACAACTGTACTACATAAATTCTTTTGTCCCATAAGAACCAATTTTTGTCCCCTTGGAGGAGCCACCAGGGGACATTTGACAATATCTGAAGATGTTTTTGGTTGTCACAACTAGGAAGGAACACTACTGGCATCTAGTAGGCAGAAACCAGAATGTTGCCAAGCATCCTGCACTGCACTGGACAGCCCCCTCCCAAGGAACTATCCAGCCCAAACGTCAATAGTGCTGAGAATCCCAGGTTTAGATGAATACATGGGAATCATGTTAAAAATGCAAATTCCTGAGTTCCATCCCCAGAGATAATGATTCAGTAACAATAGGCTCAGGAATCTGTATTTTAAAAGCAAACTGGGGCCCAGATGCAGCTCACCCATAACTCTACAGTGCAAAACATGAAAAATGCTCATAATCTTCATTTTGTTAATATCTGAGTTAATCACATTTTTTTTTTTTAAAGACAAGCTGTCAGTCACTCTGTCACCCAGGCTGGAGTGCAGTGGCACGATCATGGCTCACTGCAGCCTTGACCTCCCAGGTTCAAGTGACCCTCCCACCCCAAGTAGCTGGGAATATAGGTGCACGCCACCACACCAGGCTAATTTTTTAAAATTTTTATTGAGACAGGGTCTCCCTATGTTGCCCAGGCTGGTCTCAAACCCTTAGGCTCAAGTGATCCTCTCGCCTTGGCCTCCTGAAGTGCTGGGATTACAGGCCACTGCATCCAGCCCACATAAAGTTTAAAAATTTCCCCCAAATTTTACATTCAAGCTTTATTTACCCAAATCATAATTATAACTCTAAGTTACAAAATTATACTATACAGTCTTTTTACCTCAGCATTTGAAGTGTTTTCCCAAAAAATAATTTCATAAATCAGTGGATAATCCTGGATCACAGGCGTGTTTCCAGACTGTTTTGGAGCACCGATATAGATATGGAATGAATCACTAAGGGATCTAATGTTAAAGACTGGAGGAAGTAGGAAAGCTAGAAAAAATTTGTAAAGAAATAATGTTCAATTAGAAAAACAATTTTAAAAACTTGCACCAGAGAATTACAATCTCCAGTAAAAACTACTGCCTTACCTTGTATTTCAGTATCAAACTTTATCTCTTCAGACCAAAAAGATGTGTTATTTCCATCAGATGCTTGTACGCGGAGAAGGTAAATTCCTTTTTGGAAAACGTTTTGAGGAAAGACACACTGGGTAGTTTTGACATTTTCACAGTCAGGTATTTGTTTCCATTTATACAAATGGTTTCCAGGATTCCTTTTTAAAAAGGCGCTTTTAAGACAAATATTTTTTAAATTCATTAGATATTTATTAAGTATTTACAATTGCCAGACACTATGTTAGGGGCTAAGGTTACAGAAATAAATAGTATCCACACTCAGGAAACTCACAAACAATGGAAGAGATATGCATCTAACATAAAAGAAAACCAAAGACTGTTCCAGACTGTGGTCATGTTGTGCTCTGCTGGAGGTGGCTCATATCAATATGCAAGAACATCTGTTAGTTAGAATTTCCAGGAATGCTGCAAGCTGGTTTATTTTTTTTGGCTTTTTTTTTGAGACCGAGTCTCGCTCTGTCACCCAGGCTGGAGTGGAGTGGTAGGATCTTGGCTCACTGCAACCTCTGCCTCCTGGGTTCAAGCAATTCTCCTGCCTCTGTCCCCCTGAGTAGCTGGGATTACAGGTGCACGCCACCAGGCCTGCCTAATTTTTGTATTTTTAGTAGAGATGGGGTTTCGTCATGTTGGCCAGGCTGGTCTTGAACTCCTGACCTCAGGTGATCCACCTACCTCGGCCTCCTAAAATACAAACTGGTTTTTAAAGAAAAACCATTACTAAAAATTAAGTTATATAAATTTGCAAATAAAAAATTGTTTTAAAGACAGAGGTAATAAATAAATTCATCTTGTCCTAATTATTTTACTACATTTTATTTTCTAAGCTCTTGGGGCTATCTTTATCTATTGTAGCTATATGATAGTGGTGTGCTACTGTGCATATGTTCCCAACTCCATATTCAGGGACATCAGGCTGGTGGCTTGAAAGTGGCCATGGTGGGAATATTTATATCATAAAAATCAGCAAACACTACAAAATAGGACTTTTTCTTTCTGGAAAGCCAGCTGCTAAACATGCGCCAGCATACCAATGGACACTGATTAAGTGCTAAAATAGAGACACACTGCGGGGTTATAAGAGCAAGTATAAGTACGAGACTAAAGAGGTTAAGTAACTTGCCCAGAAACCAACAGCTAAAAGCATCTCAGTTCAAGCCCAGAACTCTAATAGCCTCCTGACTGGTTTCCTTATCTCTCTTTAGTGTCTCCTTAGTCCACTCTCCCACATACCATGTCGCCGCATGCACCTTCCTCAAATCCAGAGCTCAGGTTAACTATCACCCCAACACAAAATCCCCAAAAGCCTACAGGACAGCCTGAGGTTGACCCTAATCTTGTCCCATTCTACTTATTCAGCTTTCTTCCCATTGCCACCTGGTGTCCAAATGTTCTGCTACTCTAGAAGGACATCCTCCCCACTGGAGAAGGCAAAATTCTGAGATGGCCCCCAAGATTCCTGCCCCCTGGTGTACACATCCTGTATAATCCCCTCCTCTTGAGCATGGGCAGGACCTGTAAATACGATGGAGGCCCTCCTCTCATAATTAGGTTACATTAAGTGGCAGAAGAGAAGGTATTTCACAGATGTAATTAAGGTCCCAAATCAGTTGAATCAAATGAGAGACTATTCTGGGTGGGCCTGACCTAATCAGATGAACCCCTTAAAAGAGGATCTAGGCCAGGCATGGTGGCTCATGCCTCTAATCCCAGCACTTTGGGAGGCTGAGGTGGGCAGATCACTTGGGGCCAGGAGTTTGCGAACAGCCTGGCAAACATGGAGAAACTCCGTCTCTACTAAAAATACAAAAAAAATGGCTGAGCGCGGTGCCTCACGCCTATAATCCCAGAACTTTGGGAGGCTGAGGCGGGTGGATCACCTGAAGTCAGGAGTTCGAGACCAGCCTGGCCAATACGGTGAAACCCCGTTTCTACTAAAACTACAAAAATTAGCTGGGTGTGGTGGTGCACACCTGTAGTCCCAGCTACTTGGGAGGCTGAGGCAGAAGAATCACTTGAACCCAGGACGCGGAGGTTGCAGTGAGCTGAGATCATGTCACTGCACTCCAGTCTGGGTGACAGAGTGAGACTCCGTCTCAAAAAAAAAAAAAAAAGGATCTAGAGGTCAGACTCTCCCTTCCTGATGGCCTCTAAGAAGTGAGCCACCATGAGCTCTAGAAATAAATTCTGCCAACAACATGTGAGCTTGGGAGCGGCCCCCAAGTCTTGTATGAATGACTGACTCCTTGACTGCTTAGCAGAAGAGCCAGCTAAGCCACGCTTGGACTCCTGACTCACAGAAACTTTGAGACAATAAACAGCTGTTTAAGTTGCTAAGTCTGTGGTAATTAGTTACAGACACAGAAAACTAACATCTAATAGTTGTCTACTTAAAAAAAATCTGAATTAACAATCAAGGCCTTGTTCATACCTTATCTCTTTCCTTATGGCTTCTTTGGTCTCTTTAGCCCCTATTCACCTTTACATTTTCAATTTCTGCAACCCTTATAATTTGTATACCACTCTTTAGTCCTAAACCACACAACACTTTGCAATGTTGGCTAACTGCTTTCAATTTTTGAACCACGTTTGATTCTGCTGACTCTTTCCATTTCTTCAGTGCTTTGTACAATATGGTAAGTACCCAAAAGAAGCTTAGAGATCAGCTATCAGAAATACCTCTCATTATCTATTTGGTGACCCTATTATTTATTCACTTCTGAAAGTGAGGTATACACAAAAGACTACTGAACAGTTTCCTGATTGGTTTGTGAGGTTATATATGCATTGTGGGGCACATATGCACATAAATGCATTTGCATTCTACCAGTCACCCTTGGTTCAAAATTAACACTAAAAGATAGAAATTGATCATAGCGGTACTTACACTTCCCTTCTCCCTCATTTTTTCTGTTTCTTTCCAGTTTCTTCTGACTTTTCCTTTCCTGTCTTAGCTATACTTGCCTTTGCTCTCTCTACTCCTCTGCCACCAATGTATATCTTTCTTTCCATCTCTTTTCTCCCCATAACCCATTTTTCCTTCTACTTAATTTTCCTCTTCTCTTTTCTCTATTCATCTCCTACAATTTTCCAATCAATATAAACTACATGCAGTTCTCTTTTATCAGCTTTTTAAAAATTTTAATGCTTAGAGATGGGGGTCTCACTATGTTGCCCAGGCTGCAGTGCAGCGGCTACTAGCAGGTGTGATCATACAACACTGCAGCCTCAATTCCTGGCCTCAAGTAATCCTCCTGCCTCAGCCCACTGAGTAGCTGGGACGATAGGCATGCGCCACTGCACCAGGCCAGTTCTCTTTCATTTATGCAGCGCCTGGACTTCATCCATGTTTAGCTAGCCTCTGCTCAACCACATAGAACATAGTTCTTTCCAACTTTCTTTCCCACCGAAGTATCTACTACAAAATTTTGTCAAAACCACTAAAGTAATAAAGAAAATAGGAAGGCTAATTTTTTGAATTGAACAAGTGAGTGGACTGAGATCATTTTAAGGACTCATGGAAGAAGTGAGTTCTTAGAAAAAGATCAGGGTCAACTGTCGAGTCTTCCAGATTGGGGAAATAACACATGCAACTAGTTACACTTTCTTTTTTTTCTTAAGCCAGTAAGAACCCCAGATATTAGAATCCATCTATTTTACAAGTGAAGAAATTGAGGCCCATGGAGGTTAAGCGATTAGCTCAATGTCATCCAGTTAGTTACTGGCAGAACTGGGGTTAGAAATGAGATTTCTCACGTTTCCAATATATCGTACCCACCTCCCAGTCGGTCATTCTGTGTGCAAGGACCTGGTGACTGATGCAGAGCGAAAAGAAGCATAATCAAAACAAACTGGGCAAAAGGAAATTTATGGAATGGAACTTACTGGAGCCACTGAACTTGAAAGGTCATGTTTGCATATGTATAATCCCATTTAAGAACATAGTTCTGATTTTGGACACTGACTTCTATATTTTCTGGTGGAGGTAGTTCATTTTCAACTAGAAGCCAAAGAACAGATAAAAAAAAGCACACATTTTTACTCAAGTGAGATAACTGGCAAGAAGATAAAGGCTCGCATTTTATCATTATAAGGTAATAGTTAAATATGGTTTGTATTCACACTATGTAATACTATGCAGCCATTTGAAAGACTACAGGCCGGGCGCAGTGGCTCACACCTGTAATCCCAGAACTTTGGGAGGCTGAGGTGGATGGATCACCTGAGGTCAGGAGTTCGAGACGCGCCTGGCCAACATGGTGAAACCCCATTTCTACTAAAAATACAAAAATTAGCCAGGCATGATGGCACACGCCTGTAATCCCAGCTACTCGGGAGGCTGAGGCAGGAGAATCGCTTGAAGCTGGGAGGCAGAGGTTGCGGTGAGCCGAGATTGAGCCACTGCACTCCATTCTGGGCAAGAGAGTGAGACTCTGTCTCAAAAATAAATAAATAAATAAATAAATAAATAAATAAATAAGTAAAAAAGAAAGAATGCAATAGATGGCTAAGATCAAATGAAGAACGTAATAGATCTGTATTGAGTGATATAGAATATCCCCAACACACTGGGTTAAGTAAGCAAGCTGTAAAATACTTCTAGTAAGATTTTATTTTGTAATTTTAAAAAACAAAACCCAAGAAACTGTGGGTCTGTGTATATGCTTACATAAATCCTGAAAAAAGTTGTGAAAGGA
Organism: Homo sapiens; assembly: GCF_000001405.40. Classification (NCBI taxonomy): domain Eukaryota; kingdom Metazoa; phylum Chordata; class Mammalia; order Primates; family Hominidae; genus Homo; species Homo sapiens. The sequence continues at coordinate 33,344,548 of NC_000021.9, read as the reverse complement.
TATACACAAACTGCTAAGCAATGCTTATCTCTAGTGAATGGAATTGGGGATAAGAAGGGAGAAGAAGACTTCACTTTAAACCCTTCCGTAATGTTTGATTAAAAAAAAAAGCATATGAAATTTACAATTAAAATAAACAAATCCCAGCTCCTGCCCTTGACCTTAATTATTGGAAAGATGTTACTAAATGTATCAGGATACTTTCATATTTTAACATTCCACTTACAAAGGTATGCTTTCTTGAACAATAACTTGTCTACTAGCAACTACTTCCCCACCTTTTCTTCCCACTTGCAGAACTCATAGTTCAGCTACCTCCTGCTTCATGTGGATTCTGAACAAATGAAAAGTTTTGTCATTACAAAATATTTGAACTTTTTTTTTTTTCTAAGACGGAGCCTTACTCTTTGTCCCCCTTGCTCCCGACTGGAGTGCAGTGGCGCGATCTTGGCTCACTGCAACTTCCACCTCCCAGGTTCAAGGGATTCTTGTGCCTCAGCCTCCCAAGTAGCTACCACTACAGGCGTGAGCCACCACGCCCAGCTAATTATTTTTAGTAGACACGGGGTTTTCCCATGTTGGCGAGGCTGTTCTCGAACTTCTGGCTTCAAGTGATCCAGCTACCTCAGCCTCTCAAAGTGCTGGGATTACAGGCGTGGGCCACTACGCCCAGCCTGAACTTTTAAGTAGAATTAATTTTCATTACTATTTGAGACAAAAATCCCAAGTAACATTTATTTTGCTTATGTAAATGTTACAATGTTTTTAACATATATTGACCTATCATGTAAACTTCAGCAATATGGGGAAGATGCCAAAATTGACAATCTGTTTATATATTTATTGAATCTAAAACAAAACATCTTCCTTACCTGTGGTCTTTATACAATGTACTGGACTATAGACACCAATTTTCCATGACGTAAGTAGTGCTGCTTTAACTTTTAGACAATAAGTAGTCTCTGGTGAGAGTTTATAAATTTTATGTCTGGAATAAATATTTTCAATCCTTTCCTATAACACAAATATAAGTTGGTTCTTTAAAAAAGTATAAAGTCAAATTTTAGGATTAATTCGCCTAATTTTTCTCTCACATCGATTAAACAGAGGTAAAAATAATGCTTACTTCTACACCTGAAGAGTTTTTCCAGATAACTAAGCTATATGTAAAGCTTAAACCATCCAAAGCCCACATAACACTATCTTTTGTTCCAGGAGAGATGTGTATCACTATTGCCTTATCTTCAGCTTCTAAATGTACTTCTGGAGGACCAATCTGAGCTGCAAAAAAATCAAAACAATTACTATGGAACTTTATTAATACAATGCCAAAACCTTCATTCAACAAATAATTCTGAGCACTTAATATGTGCCTGCCACTTCTGGGAGTTAAGAGCATACAGATAGGATAGAAAGCTGTAAGATCACCAGTGGAGTGATACAGAAAGAGAAGAGGTTCAATGACTGAGCCCAGCAGCAGTCTAACACTGAAAAGTTGGGAAGATGAAGCGATCAATGAGCAGGAGGAGAACCAGGAAAGAGCAGTGTCCCAGAGATCCAGTAAAGGAAAAACTGAGTGATGACCACATCTATGCTACAGAGGGATGAAGCCAGAAGAGGACTGGGAATTTGCTTGGCATTGTGGAGGCTGCTGTGACCTTGAGAAGAGTGGTTTATTTATTTTTTTTTTTTGAGACGGAGTCTCGCTCTGTCGCCCAGGCTGGAGTGCAGTGGCACGATCTCGGCTCACTGCAAGCTCCGCCTCCCGGGTTCATGTCATTCTCCTGCCTCAGCCTCCCGAGTAGCTGGGACTACAGGCTCCCGCCACCATGCCCGGCTAGTTTTTTTTTTTTTTTTTTTGTATTTTTAGTAGAGACAGGGTTTCACCGTGTTAGCCAGGATGGTCTCGATCTCCTGACCTCGTGATCTGCCCGCCTTGGCCTCCCAAAGTGCTGGGATTACAGGCGTGAGCCACCGCGCCTGGCCAAAAAGAGTGGTTTTAAGTGAGGAGGAACAGAATTTGAATGGAGAGGGCTGACAGGGAATTGGAAGATTAGTATAGAAAGGGAGTACAGATCATTCTTGGTACAGGGCAGTGGTTCTCAAACCTTTTGGTCTCAGGATCCCCACTTTTTTTTGAGATATGGTCTAGCTCTGTTGCTCAGGCTGGAGTGCAGTGGCACAAACACAGCTCACTGCAACCTTGATCTCCCAGGCTCAAGTGATCCTCCCTCTTCAGCTTCCTGAATAGCTGGGACTACAGGTGTGCACCACCATGCCTGGCTAATTTTTATATATTTTTTGTAGAGATGGGGTCTCACTATGTTGCCTAGGTTGGTCTTGAACTTCTGGCCTCAAGTGATCCTCCCACCTCAGCCTCCCAAAGTGTTGGAATTACAGGTGTGGGCCACTACACTCAGCTCCTTTACATTCTTAAAGGAATTATCGAGAATCCCAAACAGCCATTATTTATGTGGGCTGTATATTTTTATATTAGCATATTAAACATTAAAACTGGTAAAGTTTTCAATCCATTTTAACTAATTAATCCATTAAGAAATAACAATGGACTGGGCATGGTGGCTCACGCCTGTAATCCCAGCACTTTGGGAGGTTGAGGTGGGCAGATCACCTGAGGTTGGGAGTTTGAGGTCAGCCTGACCAACATGGAGAAACCCTGTCTCTACTAAAAATACAAAATTGGCCAGGCATGGTGATGCATGCTGGTAATCCCAGGTACTCGGGAGGCTGAGGCGGGAGAGTCACTTGAACCCAGGAGGCAGAGGCTGTAGTGAGCCGTGATTGTGCCATTGCACTCCAGCCTGGGCAACAAGAACAAAACTCTGTCTCAAAAAAAAAAAGAAAGAAATAACAATGATAAACCTATTTTATGGTAACAAACATTTGCCAAAAGGAACATAGAAACTTCAGAGTGGTGCTGTTTTACATTTTTTTTCCAAATCTTTTGAATGTTTGGATTAATAAAGAAGGCAGATGAATTTCACATTGAATTCTATGTTAAATCAGTGACCATATCACCACATCACACATCAAACAGCCTCCTCTGGAAAACTCCACTGTGAATACAAGAAAGAACAAAAATTAAAAAGGCAACTAAGTCTTAGATTTGTCATAAATATAGCTTTGTCTTTACAGCCCCCTGAAAGGGCCTTGAGGATCACTCTTTGAGAACCACTACTACAGGGAAAGTAGGACAAATGGAGCCATAGCAGGAAGAAGATATAGGTTTAAGGGAATTTTTGTTCTTTTTAAAAGATGTTAGATTTTGCATCATGCAAATGAATGGCTTGGAAAGTGAACTGCTCTGGTAATATTTACTAAAGAATATAATTCAGCTAGCAACTTTTTCTTACCTTTGCGAAATGGTGTAAATGAGTCAACCTCATACCATGAAGAAGTGTTTTCTTTTTCTGCTCTTATACGCAATTTAATTTCTTCATAAACATTCAGCTTGAGTGAAGAAAAGTTGCATTTGGTACTAGTAATATTCTGACACCCAGACAATTTTATCCAATTATCCATCCCAGTTCTTTAAAGTAAAAAAAACAAATGAATGAGTGAGCAAATGTATAAATGTAAGTGTCAAATACTTTCTATTTACTGGTATAAGAGTTATTTCTTAACTCTTAATAACTCTTGTTTAAGAGTTATTTCTATTTTTGGTTTAAGAGTTATTTCTTCTACTTGAGCTAATGTCCTATTAACATTTTAGCATACACCCTTCCACTCTTTTTCAATGCATATAAGCCAAGTTATTACTTATGAAACTGAATTTTAAAATACAGTTCTTTATATAATTTTGTGGGTGGTTGCTTCAGGAAGCAGAGAAATAAATGACCCATAAGGTAAAAGTGGATTTAGTATGTTGGCTCTGTTAAAAATAGCTGTGTGACTTTTGGTAAACTATTTTGTGTTTCTGGATCTTATCTTCCTTATTGAAAGTTTGGAGCCTGGTCAACATAGCAAACCCTGTCTCTATGAGAAATAAAAAAAAAAAAAGGCAAAGCAGGGCATGGTGGCACATGCCCACAGTCCTAGCTACTGGGTAGGCTGAGGTGAGAGGGTCATTTGAGCATAGGGGTTCAAGGCTGCAGGCTGCAGTAGGCTATGATCATATCACTGCACTCCAGCCTCAGCAACCGAGCAAGACCCTGTCTCTAATAAAATAAAATTAAATAGAAACTGGGGAATTGGATTTGATGATTCCCTTCTGACCTCCTCCTATGAATAGACTTACCTTCCCTAAGAAAGACCTCAGAATCAGTATGGTTTCAAGGTTTCCTCTGCCCTCTCCAAAAGCAAACCATCCCTTCTGCTTGCCTGTCTCCGTAATTTCTTCTATTACATCATCAGAAACCACAAAACTGAAAATGTTTACATAAACAAATAAATTTTTGGAAGTGGAACTGGCCAATCAGAAAGCTGAAGTGATATTAGATTCTTCCTTTCAAAAAAGGGGCAAACATGAAAAATAAAGTGGGCATGGAGTGCCTAAAGCAGAAAAGGACATGTTGCCCAGAAAGGGGAAGAAGAGCTTGCAGGGAAAGTGAGGGATAGAAACGAACTTAGCAGATTTCTTTTTTTTTTTTTTTTTTTTTTTGAGACAGAGTCTTACTCTGTTGCCCAGGCTGGAGTGCAGTGGTGCAATCTCGGCCCACTGCAACCTCCACTTCCTAGGTTCAAGCAATTCTCCTGCCTCAGCCTCTCAACTAGCTGTGATTACAGGCGTGTGCCACCACGTCTGGCTAATTTTTGTATTTTTTTTTTTAGTAGAGATGGGGTTTTGCCATGTTGGCTAGACTGATCTTAAACTCCTCACCTCAGGTGATCTGCCCACCTCAGCCTCCCAAAGTGCTGGGATTACAGGCGTGAGCCACCATGCCCGGCCAATTTAGCAGATTTGAGAACTTTTACCTATGTTAAGCCCATTGACCATAAGTAGCAGAGAAACTATCTTCTGGGAAGGCATTTTTGTCAAGCCTAATTCATTAGCTGATTTATTTATTTTTAATAATATCACAGATGCCATTTTAAAGACGATTTAGATATTAGAAACCAGAGATAATACCAAAATAATTTTGTTGCTGAACCAAATACAAGTCTACCTTGTTTTTCAAAATGGAAACATTTTTAAGAAATTACCAAAAATATACACTAGCATATGAAATACTTCATTCTTGGCCAGTTTTCACTTCCACTTTTACATATCTGAGGCCTGAGATTAGAGCTGGCATTAAAAATACCTTAAACATTCTTGAAAAGGTTCCACATCAGAATCTATTTCTAAAAATCCAGAAACTCTCATTATAAACAGAAAACCTTATCAAAAATTTAAAACTTAATATAATTTCAACCCAACCTCACTGTTTACATCTGTCTTTCCTACTTCAGGAGATGCTGAAGCATGCTCCATTAAAACTGTTTTACATCTAATCAAGATATTGCAGCAGAAGCTACTTTTATATTTTCTTAAAAAAATCATTATTGGCCGGGCTCGGTGGCTCACACCTGTAATCCCAGCACTTTGGGAGGCCGAGGGGGGTGGATCACTTGAGATCAGGAGTTCGAGATCAGCCCGATCAACATGGAGAAATCCTGTCTCTACTAAAAATACAAAATTAGCCGGGCGTGGGGGTGCATGCCTGTAATCCCAGGCACTCGGGAGGCTGAGACAGGAGAATTGCTTGAACCCGGGAGGCGGAGGTTGCGGTGAGCCGAGATTGCGCCATTGCACTCCAGCCTGGGCAACAGAGCAAGACTCCGTCTCAAAAAAAAAAAACCAACAACAAAAAAACTATTATCATATGCAATAATTAGCTCAGAACAGAATATGAAATATGAATATGTAACTAATGTAATATTTACTTCATGAAATCCGTTTCATAATATAACTTCATGCCATCTTTGCCTCTCCTGTTCACTGAGGCAGTCTAAGCAGTCAGAAGAGTGTTTGGCATGAAATATATTCAATATTTGTTGGGTTTTTTTTTTTTTTTGAGATGAAGTCTTGCTGTCACCCAGGCTGGAGTGCAGGGGCACGATTTCAGCTCACTGCAACCTGTGCCTCCTGGGTTCAAGCGATTCTCCTGCCTCAGCCTCCCAAGTAGGTGGGATTACAGCACGCACCACCACATCCGGCTGAAGTTTTTGTATTTTTAGTAGAGATGGGGTTTCACCATGTTGGTCAGGCTGGTCTCGAACTCCTGACTTCAGGTGATCCACCTGCCTTGGCCTCCCAAAGTGCTGGGATTACAGGTGTGAGCCACCATGCCCAGCCTTTTTTAACTTTTTAATAACAGCCATTCTGACTGCGGGGAGACAATATCTCATGGCAGGTTTCGTTTGCATTTCTCTGATGATTAGAGTGATGTTGACCATTTTTTCACATACTTGTTGGCCACTGTATGTTTTCTTTTGAAAAATATCTATTCCTATCTTTTGCCTACCTTTTGATGGATTTGGGTTTTGTTGTTGATTGTTTGAGTTCCTTGGATATTAAGCTCTTGTTGGATGCATATTTTGCAAATAGTTTCTTTATACAAGTAACATTAAATAAGGGTATCTGAAATAATTCCTTCTCTACCTAAAATAGTTGTTCATAAGGAAATTCCAAACTAAGGGAAAAAACAAAACTGGTAACCAAACTCAAAGTTCAATTTAATGAAAATCTCTAGAGATAAAAAATTTTAAATGATCAATTCTGAGAAAAGTCATATATGAATTTGTGTGTGTATATACATATACATATACAGTGTGTATATGTATATATAGTGTGTATATGTATGTATACACAATGTGTGTATATGTATGTATACACAATGTGTGTATATGTATGTATACAGTATGTATTATATATAGTGTAATGTATATATACAGTATGTATATATATAGTGTATATATGCATATATACAGTGTGTATTTGTTTATATATGCATACACAATTACTGAAGCTGTGAGATTCATATGCCAGTTTTAGTTACAACTCGAGAATAGTGTCACAGCTGTGGCTGAAGTGGTGGGCTCCTGGTTCCGGAGGGCCTAATGCCTTATTTCTTCATTGCCTGCTTTTTCTTGGACAGGGGAACATGGTTGGCAGGTGGGGCCCCAACACATAATCGGAAGGCAAAGTACTGTACTTCCTGATCTGTGTTCCCTTCTATATTCCTCCTTCTGCCTGCCTCTCCTCTTGAATAATTAAGTAGAAAGTACTAAGGAAGAGACATCAACACTCCAGAAAAACTGAGTCTTTAGAAATGCAAGGTCCAATATATCGATTTTTATTTTATTTTATTTATTTATTTATTTTTGAGATGGAGTCTTGCTGTCTCCCAGGCTGGAGTACAGTGGTGCAAACTTGGCTCACAGCAACCTCTGTCTCCTGGGTTCAAGCGATTCTTCTGCCTCAGCTTCCCAAGTAGGTGGGATTACAGACACATGCCACCATGCCCAGTTAACAATATATTTACAAAGTGTATCTAGGCCAGGGCAGTGGCTCACGCCTGTAATCCTAGCACTTTGGGAGGCTGAGGTGAGCAGACCACCTGAGGTAAGAAGTTTGAGATCAGCCTGGCCAACATGGCGAAACCCCATCTCTACTAAAAATAAAAAAATTAGTCAAACATGGTGGCATGTGCTTGCAATCCCAGCTACTCGAGAGGCTAAGGCAGGAGAATCGCTTGAAACCGGGAAGTGGAGGTTGCAGTGAGCCAAGATTGTGCCACTGCACTCCAGCCTGGTTAACACAGCAAGACTCCACCTCAAAAAAAAAAAAAAAAAAAAAGTGTACCTAAAATTAAAATATAGTATATCATGGAGATAATAGGAAAGCCTGATCACAGGAAACCTGGTGGCCTATTCCAAGGTCTTCGATGGACCTTTTGGAGTACAATGCCATATCTTCAAGATATACCCTAGCTCAGACCCCAACTTATATTGAAAGAAGCTGGAGCTGGAGAGGATGTGGAGAAATAGGAACACTTTTACACTGTTGGTGGGACTGTAAACTAGTTCAACCATTGTGGAAGTCAGTGTGGCGATTCCTCAGGGATCTAGAACTAGAAATACCATTTGACCCAGCCATCCCATTACTGGGTATATACCCAAAGGACTATAAATCATGCTGCTATAAAGACACATGCACACGTATGTTTATTGCGGCATTATTCACAATAGCAAAGACTTGGAACCAACCCAAATGTCCAACAATGATAGACTGGATTAAGAAAATGTGGCACATATACACCATGGAATACTATGCAGCCATAAAAAATGATGAGTTCATGTCCTTTGTAGGGACATGGATGAAATTGGAAATCATCATTCTCAGTAAACTATCGCAAGAACAAAAAACCAAACACCGCATATTCTCACTCATAGGTGGGAACTGAACAATGAGAACACATGGACACAGGAAGGGGAACATCACACTCTGGGGCCTGTTGTGGGATGGGGGGAGGGGGGAGGGATAGCATTGGGAGATATACCTAATGCTAGATGACGAGTTAGTGGGTGCAGCGCACCAGCATGGCACATGTATACATACGTAACTAACCTGCACATTGTGCACATGTACCCTAAAACTTAAAGTATAATAATTAAAAAAAAAAAAAAAAGAAGCTGGAACACCCAGAAGAAAGAAGGAATGGCTATGGGTTAGAGACGCTGTCTACCACCCTCATCCCCAATTTTTTGCTTCAACACCCAAAGATGTATTTGACTAAGTCTCTACAGAAACAAAGTTAAAAATATTATGTAAAATAGGCGTAACATTTCTAAAAAATAGAAAAACCAAACACTTTCCAAATCTAAAAATTATGGTGTTGTTAAACTTGTAAAAATTATTCAGGTCATTCTGACAAATCAGTAAGTAGAGTCACATACTTTTGATAATCGAATGAAAAAGTCACATTCCCGACAGACTCATCGCTCCTGTTCCACCTCAGGATAAAGTTGTCATCTATGATGTCGACCTCTACTTTTTGAGGAGATTTTAGATTTTTTCCACCTATAAAAGCAACAAGAAATAAGAACATTATATACAAACTGTACAGATATTCTAAATGTTATTCTATCCCTCACATCCCTGATTAAAGAATGAATACAGTGAAACATAATGAAGTATATTTTAAAAATCTAAAAAAACTAATGATTGCTCCCAGCACAGGGATGCTGATAATTACATTTCTGCATCTGAGAGAGCTGAAAAAAGAGTTGATTTTTTTTCCTCTTTGAAATAGAGTTGTCTTTTAATTAAAAAACAAATGGTCTCTGCATAAAAATAGAATTTTTCTTGGTCTTAGAAGTGACACCGATGAGTCACTCTTATGATGAGGTTCAACTGTTTTATGGCCTCAATTTGATTTCACATTGTATGTTCATAGATAGATAGAGATGCTTCTTGACTTACAATGGTGTTACGTCCAAATAAATAAGGTTGAGTCCTAGGGGCAATCAAGTGCTGGCTTCCTCCCTGCAGTACTCCTTGTGGTGACATCATCACAAATAATTGACCAGTGCCAGGAAGAGTCACCTGCCCAAGCAGTGCCTCTGAGCCCTGGGTAGTAACAACAGCAGCTGTACTCCCTGATGTGGTACCCCCTGCCCCATCTCCCACTGCAGGGGTGGGAAAGTATAGTGTATCTCAGCAGCTTTCCCCTCTGTGTTAACTGCATCATAACTGGT